>NC_000017.11:19885050-20188080 GCF_000001405.40 Homo sapiens | reverse complement strand
CCACCACTAGACAGCCCCTTCCACTGTTGAGCAGCTCAAATAGTTGGACAATCCTTCCTTATATGAGGCTGAATTCTATATCTTCATTAACATGGCACACACCGATTCCAGTTCTGAAACACTCTGGAACCACAAAGAACAAATTTATTGCCTCTTCCACGTGACATCTGAATGTCTGCAGGCAGCTTTGTTTCCCCATTGGTCTTCTAAATCTTCACTCAAAACATTCCTAATTCTTCCCACCAGGCCTCATAGGTCCCGGGGTCCATTCATTGGATAAACTGCCTAGAGAGCTTCTGATTTACCAAGGTCCCTCTGAAATATTACCCAGAATCTCAGAAACACTGCAGATGTGGGTTTCTGTGAGTTAAAAATCTCTTGGTTGCAAGAGAAAACCCAACTCAAGCTTACAACAATAAAAAGAGGTTTTGACTCCCATAACTGAAAGTCTAGGATCAAGTCCAACTTCAGGTCTGGCTCAACTGAAAGATGTTCTCTCAGGGTCAATTTCTCTCCATCTTCTGCTCCTCCCTTCCTCCACAGGTCACCTTCATCAATAAGCTGCCTGCCCTCATGGCTATGTGATGGTACTGGCAGCTCCAGGGCTCACATCTGCACACCATCAAATCCAGCAAAGAGCGGGGACTCTCTCCCAGGCACCCCAAAAAACATCTACTCAACACTCATTCTGATTGAGTCTCTGCCATCCTTGACTCACTGAGACCAGGGTGATATGCTGACTCACTTTAAAGTGGGAATTAGCTAAAGAGAATTCCTGGGAGAAGACGGGGTTAAATGCTGGGAAGTCAACCAAAAAGTGTTCAAAATGTGGTCTGACCAATGCCGAGTCAGTTCCCTGGTGTAGTATACTGGTACGGGTTGAGCATCCCTAATTCAGAAAAAAATACAAAACCCTAAACATTCTGAGTGCTGACATGACCATAAAAGGAAACACTCATTGGAGTATTTCAGATTTCCAGATTAGGGATGCTCAATTGCTAAGTATAATGCAAGTATTCCAAAATACAAAAAAAAAATCCAAAGTTCAAAACACATCTGGTCCCAAGCATTTCAGATAAGGGATACTCAAACCTGTATAATTAATACAGCACATAGAACTGGTGTAGTGTGCCAGTTGAAAACAAACCAACCCAAAAGACTTCAGGACCCAGCAGGGGACATCAGGCAACAATTAAAAACAAAAATTGGCCAGGCTCAGTGGCTCACACCTATGATCTATAATCCCAGCACTTTGGGAAGCCAAGGCAGGAGCACTGCTTGAGCCCAGGAGTTTGAAACCAGCCTGGGCAACATAGTGAGACACCCATCTCTACTGAAAATACAAAAAAAACCCAGGTGTGGTGGTGTCTGCCTGCAGCTCTAGCTACTCAGGAGAGGCTGAGGTGGGAGGATCACCTGAGCCTGGGAAGTCAAGGCTGCAGTAAGCTGTGATTGTACCACTGCACTTCAGCCTGAGCGATGGGAGTGAGACCCTGTCTCATAAGCAGATACATACATACAAAAATCACGTAAACCATTTGGCATACTTTTAGTATACATGAGACACAATACAAGCACTTGCTTTATTGAGCTTTGCTTTTTTGTGCTTTGCAGATAATACATTTCTTACAAATTGAAGGCTTGTGGCAACCCTGCATCGAGCAAGTCTATCAGTGTCATTTCTCCAACAGAATGGGCTTACTTCGTTAGCATTTTTTAGCAATATTTTTTAAATTAAGGCATGTACATTGCTTTTTTTAAGATGTAATGCTATTGCACACTTAACAGACTACAATATAGTGTAAACATAATTTTTGTATGCACCAGGAAACCAAAAACCTCATGTAATTCATTTTATTGTGGTGGTCTGAAACTGAATTCACAACATCACCAAGATGTGTCTGTAGTTAAAATGCAACGTGAAATAAAAAATACAAAACACAAGCTGGGTGCAGTGGCTCATGCCTGCAATCCCAGCACTTTGGGAGGCCGAGGAGGGTGGATCACCTGAGGTCAGGAGTTCGAGACCAGCCTGACCAACATGGTGAAACCCCGCCTCTACTAAAAATACCAAAATTAGCTGGGTGTGGTGGCACACGCCTGTAGTCCTAGCTACTCAGGAGGCTGAGGCAGAAGAATAGCTTGAACCTGGGAGGCAGAGGTTGCAGTGAGCCAAGATCGTGCCATTGCACTCCAGCCTGGGCAACACAGAGAGACTCTGCCTCAAAAAAAATAAATAAATAAAAATACAAAACAGGACACCACACTTGAAGACTCCTGTGATTATCACTAGACAAATGCTTCTGGTTCATGGGACCATCAATCTGGGTGCAAGGAGTAGTGGAGGTTGGCTCTGCAAAGGTCTTTCCAACATGAATGAATGAATTCCTTCATCACAGAGTCGCTGCTGTTTACTAACCCTTACATTCCTGCCACCACTGTTTCAGAGCAAATTTCCCCATAACCTCATCACTTAACACAACCGTTTTATTTTCTGATCATTTTGCCGGTCAGGAATTTGGGAAGAGCTTGGCTAGGCCATTCTTACATAGACACTAGGAGGTGGCTCCTGCCATCCGAAACCCTGGCTGAGATGACAGCTCCACGGACTGTGGGCTGGAGCACCATGTGGTAGTCTCCCCAGCATGGTAGCCTCACAGTGGTTGGACTTATTACAGAACGGCTCACGGCTCCAAGCACAAGTGCCCCCGCAAACAAGAGGGGCCTGCACAGCCTTTTATAATTTAGCCTCAGCAGTCAGAGGAGCACTTCCACCCTCTTCTACCAGCTGAAGCGGTTCTAGGGCTGCCCAAATTCAAGAAGTAGATCCCTTAACAGAGGAAGTGGCAGAGTCACACTGTAGGAGGGCATGTGGGACAAGGGAGAGTCACAGCCTCAGCTGGAAAATGCAATCTGCTCCACCTCAGGAGGATGACAAGACAGATTTTTATCTCAAAACCCATTCATTCAAGTGTCTCTATTTCCCAAACTGATTTTTGCATCACTGAAGTGTTTAGACATCGAACCAGTGTGAATTCTGTGGACAATCAGCCAATTCCAAAAACACAGTGAAGACAGCTATAAAGCCCACTCGCTGTTAAATACAAAACTCTGTGCTTCGCACTTTCTCAGGCCAGCTGATCCTGTTTCTTCACTCCACTGAAAACGAGGCAAAGGCATAATTAAGAAATATTTTGCTGCATCACCATGTTCTTCAAAATCAAGCTCTAGGACTGATGAAAATATGTTCAGCACTTTACCACGGAAAGAATACAATGACCTTTCCTCTACCCTTGACTTACTTTAATAATAATACTTAAAATGTTTAAAAATAATAAAGCCGGCCCTCTCTTATATAGAACTCTCATGTAGAACTTCTACGGTACCAAATACTTTACATATACTGACTTGTTTGAAACTATATACAGTAGGTCCTGTTTCTACAAATATTTTACCAAGGAGGAAACTGAGGCACAGTAGAGATAACTTGCCCAAGATCACACAGCTTCAGCTGGAATTCAAACTCAGGAAATGCGGGCTCCAAAGTTCATACTTTTAATCACTAAACTCCCCTAAGCCCTCACATATAAAAACAATACATGCTGTTTCTAAGAGCAAAATAATCAAAATCCCCTACTTGCCTGGGATAATCATTATGAACAGCCTGGAAAGAATGTATTCTTCCAAGAATACATTCTCTCTGTGTTGACACAAACATGCTTAGCCTTTCGTTTGGGATCACAGCATAGGCACTATGACATAAAGGTGTAAACACTCTCTTGTGAGTTATATTTGTCACCTGATAATACATCCTGGTCATAGCTTCAGGAAATAGCTCTCACTTGTCCTTTTTAATAATATTTCTTACCTCTACATCTTTTTTTTTTTTTTTTTTTTTTGAGACAGGAGTCTTGCTCTGTCACCCAGGCCGGAGTGCAGTGGCACAATCTCAGCTCACTGCAACCTCCATTTCCCGGGTTCAAGCGATTCTCATGCCTCAGCCTCCCGAGTAGCTGGGACGATAGGCACGTGCCACCACACCTGGCTAATTTTTTGTCTTTTTTTTTTTTTAAGTAGAGATGGGGTTTTGCCGTGTTGCCCAGGCTGGTCTCGAACTCCTGAGCTCAGACAATCCGCCTGCCTCGGCCTCCCAAAGTACTAGGATTATAAGCGTGAGCCACCACGCCCGGTTGACATCATTCTTATTTAATAAAATTTCATAAGAATGATATAGTCGGCCTTCCATATTTCTGGGTTCCCCACCCAGAATTCTACCAACCACAGATAGAACATATTTGGGGGAAAAAGGGATGGGTACATCTGAATGTATATAGACATGTTTTTCTTGTCATTATTCCCTAAACAATACAGTATAACAACAAATGACACGGCATTTACATTGTATTAGGTAGTATAAGTAATCTGGACATCATTTAAACTATATGGGAGAATGTGCGTAGTTTAAATGCAAATACTATGCCATTTTATAGCATTTTATATCAGGGACTTGAGTTATCTGTGGATGTTAGTATCCATAGGAGATTCTGGAATGAATCTCCCAAGGATACTGAGGATGACTGTACTATAATTTATTTAACCAATTCCTACTGAGGGACATTCAGTATTCCTAGATTCGGGCCAGAACAAAAAAAGTACTGCAATTAGCAAACTTTTCCTACATTTGCAACGTTAAGTATGTACTTGTGCTTTTATGTCTACAAGACAGAATTCCTGGATTCCTCAAGAGAAACATATTTTCAATCTCAAAATTATTGCCGGATTGCTTTATAAAAAAGATTGCAATCATTCACACACCACAGGGGTAGACATATAGGAGTAATTGTTTCTCTGTACACTTACCACCACTGGAAGTTATTATTTTTGAAGGTCGAAAAGTGATTTCTTTTGATGTGCATTTCTCTGATTACTACTGATGTTGAACACCTTTGTTTTTCTTTTTTGCCACTTGATTGCTCATCACCCTATACCTACTGACCTCTACCGCCACCTCTTTTGGCATTTACTTTTATTTGTTTACAAGCGTACTAATATTTCAGCATATTTTATAATGTTTTCCCCCAGAGTACTACCTATGTCCAAGTAGAGGCTAGTTGTACCCCATTATTTGTTCTCTTTTCTTCCTCATTAACTCAACTTTTTGTTGGGCACTTGGTGGTTCCAGAACACTTCCAACGTCTTTTGCAGCTGGGTGTGGCCAGATGGCTAGGTTCTGGCCAAGCGGATGAAGCATTTTCTGGAAGCTCTCTTTAACAGGCAGTGCAGGTATCATGCATCACCTTGGTTCTCTCTTTCTTCACCCCTTTCCTCTATCCTCTAAGCTACTTGAGACTCAGTACTTTCTGAATCCAATGATAGTATTACGCTGTCATTGAAAATGTTATACTAAGTCACAAATACGTACTTATATGACATTAGGTCAGTTTTTTTAAAAACATTCTTCCTGTAGGTATACATTTGTGATCTCTACAACCTAACCAATTATTGCATTGTTATATAGTCTTTCAAAGCCTCAATTCAACAATACTTGTAACTATGAGATCATACCCAATGGAATAAGTACTAAATAAAACAAAATTGTCTATCTTTTTTTAAACCGATTCTGTCCGGTGGCCTCTATAAAACTCAATTTAAAATAAATTGAAGAGGTTGGGCGTGGTGGGTCATGCCTGTAATCCTAGCACTTTGGGAGGCCAATGAAGGCGGATTACTTGAGTCCAAGAGTTTGCTGCTAGCCTGAGCAACACGGCAAAACCTTGTCTCTACTAAAAATACAAAAAGTTTAGCGGGACATGGTGGTGTGCAACTGTAGTTCTAGCTACTTGGGAGGCTGAGGTGAGAGAATCACCTGGGCCCTGGAGGATGAGGCTCCAGTGAACCAAGTTCATGCCACTGCACTCCAGCCTGGGAAAGTGGAGTGAGGCCCTGTCTCCAAAAAAAAAAGAAAAAGAAAGAAAAAGAAAAAATTGAGGTTTGTCTGAAGTATTACTTCGTTATTCAAAAATAAAGTTATTAAGAACATGCCAAGTTTAAAAAGACACTTTCTAAGACTTAAATGTAAGGAGCTTCCTTTTTTCCTAATGAAAAATTCTGGGGAGAATTAGTCTCTTAAGCAGGCTACTTGGGAAGGACAATTTTATAACATTATATCTACCCACCCTGGAACATACTGCAGTTTCTCCATTATCTCAGGTCTTGTTTTATGAACCACAGTAAGATTTAATATTTATTCACTTTATGTCCTATAATTTTCTAGTTTAAATTACTCCTAGATATTTTATGGTATTTGTGAATTGAATTTTTTTTTCACGTTCCAATGCTAACCAGTTATTGATGGCATAGAAAAAAGGTATTTTGTTTTTATATTTATCTTATATATAATCACAAATTCTCTTATTCTTAGGTCAAGTTTATTTTCCTCTTTTTCAGTATTTAAAACAAAAAATGTTTTTGCCTTATTGCATCAATACCAAAACAATGTTAAATACTAGCAATAATACTTCAGGTTTTATATTTTTTCTAGAAAACAATTTGTGAATTTATATTTTGAGGGGAAATTGCCCACTTCCTCCAGAGTTTCACAAATATTGCTGCAGATTTAATTTTTCATTTATTCCATACCTATAACAATGGATTCTTCTTTGCTAATACTTTTTCCTTTTTCCTTTAATCAAGAATAATTTCCATTATTTGCCTTTTCAAAGAACTAGTGTTGTTCTTATTTATCTTCTCTACCATTTTATTTTCTATTTCATTCATTTCAGCTTTTACCTTTCTCTTTATTTTGTACTTTTTTCTAGTTTCATAAGTTGAATATTTCGCTCTTATATTTTCAGTCTTTCTTTTCTTATACTAATAAAAGCATCTAAGATTATACTTTTTCCTGACTATAGATTCAGTTCTATTCTACAAATTTTGATATCAAAAGGCTTCTATTTCTTTTATTTCTAGATGATTTATAATTTGTCTAGATTTTCTTTTGGTGCAGAGATTATTTTACAACAGTGGCTCTTAACTCCAAGGTAGTTTTTGTTGTTGTTGTTATAATCATCTCTTTTTTTTTACCACTAATTTCACTGGACTGACAGGACAGGTTATTGCATACAAAAATCAAAATTTTCATATTTCACTTTTTGTTTTCTGTGATAAATGACATGATCAACTTCTGTAAATACTCCCTAGACCTAGGGGAAAATGTACATTCCCTGTACATTTTCGCAATAAATATGTTTGCAACATATGCAATACATTTGTTGCATATGTTGTTTCTAACCTCTATACTTTTGCTTTTTTGTTTCAAAGGTTGAAAACTGGCAGGCTGCAAGCAAGCTACAAATATATTTTGTTTGGCTGGCAAAGTGCTTTAAAATGTATGAATTTCAATGCCTTTAGGCAAGACATGCATTATCCAGTTCGCTGTGCAATTCCCACCATCCCTGGTCTCTCACCATATAATTCACATATTCATGCCACCCACCGGCCCCTGTGAGCATCCAAGTTGGCAATTTAGCTTAGCTGACCCGTCAAATTAGAAAAGACACATAATTAGCATCTCTTAGTAGAATATGTTTCTTACCAAATTCTTTTGTTCCTGGTGTTTGTTCTATGCATTTTGCTGCTTAAAGGCAGTTATACTTTATATTTTTGGTTTCTACCAATATATAGTACCTCTTAGTCCTGTTCAATGCTTTTGTTCTTGCATCTTGCTCTGACACTAATATTCTGGACCTTTGTTTTTTAATAGGTGAGTTTAGCTGATGAGTATTTACTGTGGGGCTGCTCATTTGGCTTTACTGTTTCCACTTGATTTTGTTTACTATTTGTTAACTCATTTCATCTTTTTCCTCTCCTCGCTTTTGCTAATTTGATATTACTTCTCTTTATTCCTTCCTGGCCTGCTTACCTCTGTGCTCACTATCATCCTTGATCCCTGTTATTTTGGGAATACTATGTTTTACTACTTGGTTAGTAGTTACCTGCCATTTCTAACACTCTTAATTAAACCTTCATCCAAACTAAATAACCATGCCCCCCAGTCCCACACCAACAAAGATGAAATTTTTAGAGGAATTTTATATCTGAATGCCTGCAATCCTAGTTCAGGATTTTGCTGAGATGGTCTAGAATTTTTAGTTCCACGCTATTTCCTAGATGTTCCAAGGCAGTACGATCCTTCCAAGAATTCTTACTTTACACTTACATTCTGAATCTTCAGCCGTGTTAATATCTTCCATTTATGTATGCAATGTTTCCTGCTGCAACATTCACTGCTCTCTACTGTTACTTATATTATTCATTTTCTTCTATCTTCATATTTCTATTCTGAGCCAATTACCAGCATCCAATTGGACATCTGAATATTTGTTCAAATGAGATGGATGAATCCCTCATGGCTAAAAATATTCTTCTTTTGCCCTGGTTCGCTGAATTATATCTGGGCAAGAGTACTTGATCTCTGACATTCTTTCTGACTACCTAGCTTTTGAACCCTTCTTTCCTAAGCCTGGGGACTTTCCCACCTTATTAGTCTCAGTTAAAGGTAGGGTCTACCTCCCATTAAATAAGCTAAAAATGCCAGCTGCCTGCCTTCTCAGTGCCCCCTTGCAGCTAGGAGGCCCCCTTGACCCTGCCATTATTTACACCTGTCCCAGACTTTGATTCAGGAACTAATGCTGCAAAGCAAGGACTATGATGGAAAATGCTCACTGCAAGAATGGTAGCTGCAGCAAGATCAAGATCCCAGAAAGCAGTGGCCAAGGCACTCACTGTAGACTTTAGTGCCTGCAGCATCTGGTGCAAGCTACACTGTCTACGCCCAGGAACACAGCAGCAGCATCCGGCCTGGGCCAATTCTGTGTAAGATTTGATGCGCTGTCCCTGGCTGCAGTGCCTGCAGACATCTCTCTCTAGCCCTTCTAACAATTTCACAGCAACTCAACATCTTTAAAAATTTATTAGCCAACCAAAATCAGCTTCTGTGGCATGCAAGTAAAAACCCAGGCTGATATGTCTGAATACAGAAGATTTATATTAGTTCCTTAGAGTCAATAATCCATACAGACTCTATTCTAGCTTCTTTGTGAAGTGGGTAAGAATTCCTATGGCATCCCAATTTCCCTCAAAACAGACCTATCTTCCTGCCTAGAAGTTGACAGGATTTCTATCTTTATTGCTGCAGTCCAGCAATTGTCTTTTAAAAAAGAATTCCATGAGTCCTTTCAATCTGAAGTCTAACATTTTATTCAGCTCAGATGGGTTTCTTCTTTTATAATACGATGTATTTTCCATCTGTTACTTTGTCCCCTTCTAAGAATCCTATCATTCAATTATTAGGTCTCCTACATAGATCCCTTAAGCATCTTACATTTTTCACCTCACAATATCTTTGTTTTACAAGACACTCCTTCCAGAAAATTAATTCAGTTCTCAACACAGTCTGTTACCCTTTGTATTTCATCTAGTAAAAGTTTTAAATCAGGAGTAATCACTCTTTAAAAGTTAGTACTTATTTTTCTGGTTAATGCTTTCTTCTGCCTCTCTGATTTAGTTATGCTTGTTGTGAATGTTCAGCTTGATATCTCCATCTCAAGTTATTAAACCCCCTTTTAAGTGGATCACACTATTTCTTTGCTAAATGTGGGTTTGGCCCTTGGCACCCACACAAATCATCACACAGAGAAAAACACAGAAGTTTCCACTCTAGAGCCCAGGAGTAAATGAAAGGGCACACTGGGGTCTCCTCCACCTAGACACGGGAACATTTCTACCTGATCTCACGTCTCAAGAGAATAAACAGAGGAGAAGCACTCCTGCCCTGAGGAAACATTCAAAAACTTAAACACAGATCTATGTGTTAGTATTATTTAAAATAGAGAGGAGTCGGGAGTGGTGGCTCATGCCTGCAGTCCCAGCTACTAGGGAGGCTGAGGTGGGAGGATTGCTTGAGCCTGAGAAGTCAAGGCTGCAGTGAGCAGTGATCGTACCACTGCACCCCAGCCTGGGTGACAGGGCAAGACAGACCCTGCCTCAAAAATAAATAAATAAAATAAAATATGGCTGGGTGAGGTGGCTCATGCCTGTTAATCCCAGCACTTTGGGAGGCCGAGGCAGGCGGATCACGAGGTCAGGAGTTCAAGACCATTCTGGCCAACATGGTGAAACCCCGTCTCTAGTAAAAATACAAAAATTAGCCGGGCGTGGTGGCACATGCCTGTGGGCCCAGCTACTCGGGAGGCTGAGGCAGAAGAATTGCTTAAACCCAGAAGGCGGAGGTTGCAGTGAGCCGAGATCGCGCCACTGCACTCCAGCCTGGGCGACAGAGAAAGACTCTGTCTCAAAAAATAATAATAAATAAAATAAAATACAAAAATATTGAATCTAACAATGAAGGATTAAATAAATTATGGTAATATATACAATAGGATATTATGGAGATGTTAAGGATAGTTGAGAGTATTTAATTACATGAAGAAATGTTGATATGCCGTTAACTAAAGAATTCAAGATATGAAATTTAATATACAGTGAGGTTTCAACTGGGTAAACAGACACACAAATGGCTCAATAATGACACTACACAGAAATGTCAACAGTCATTATCTCTGAGTAGCAGGGCTTTGAATGATTTTATTTTCTTGATCTATTTATTTGGTTTCTTCATTTTCTAGAAGAAGAAAACTACTTACACAATCAGACAAAAATTTATAATTGAAAAGCCACCAAAACAACTCCACTGGCTCCCCTCTCTTTACAGGATACATTAGAAGCTCATTATCACAGCACATTCTAGTTTTAACCTACAATTTTCTTTGCCTACCACTCTCCTCAATATACCCTGTGTCTTAGCAACATCAAAGATTTCACTATTCCTCAAAATTGCTGGATTTTTTTTACAAGTCTATTTCTTAGCAAGTGTTGTTTCCTCAGCCTAAAAGCCTTCCAAACTTCCCTGGCCTCTTCATCCTTTAGGACTCAGCTCAAACATCTCTCTTCTATCAAACTTTTCCCAATGTCCTCAGAAATAACTGCTTCCTTGTCTGAGGTCCACACCTTTGGCTCAGGGTACCGCTGTGCAAGTCCCACCTGCACTATGCTATGATAAAAGGTTTACACATCTACCTTCCTGCAGCACACTGAATAACAATCCCCCAAATATGTCCACATCCTAATCCCTAGAACCTGTGAGTATGTCACACAACAAAGGGATTTTGCAGATGTGCTTAAGGATATTGAGATAAAGAGATTATCCTGAATTCTCTGCTGGGCTCAATATAATCACCAGGGTTTTACAACAGGGATGCAAGACAATCAGGGACGGAAAAAGGAGATGTGATGACAGCCCAAGAGGTTGAAGCAATATACTCTGAAGAGGGAAGAAGGGGCCACAAGCTGAGGAATGCTTGTGGCCTCTAGAAGCTGGGAAGGCAAGGAAACTGATATTCCCCTGAAGCCTCCAGAAGGAACACAGCCCTGCCAGTACCTTGACTTTAGACTTCTAACCTCTAGAACTGCCAGGAAATAATTCTGCATTGTTTTTGAATCCACTAAATTTGTAGTTATTTGTTATAGCAGCAACAGGAACCAATACACTCCCTGACTACATAAATAATACCTTAGAGAAGGCAAGAAGGGTAGTGGGAGAAGGAGAGGGACACGGAAGTAGGGAGAAGCACCTGTCTGCATTTGGTGAGAAATGAAATGTTGCCTACCCTCAAGTAAAATGACTGAAAAGTAGGAAAACGAGGCGGAGAAGACAAAAGAAAAAGAGAAGGGGTTAAGATTTTTTGAAACTAACATTTTCTGATAATTTATTTAACATTTATTAACATTCATTGAGAACTTATTAACTTCTGGGCTTTGTTCAAAGAACTCCCTAAGGAAATACTAACAGCCCCATTTTACACAGGAGGGGAATGTAGCAAGCAAGCAAGAAACTAGCCTGCGATCCTACAGCTAGTAAATAAAGGAAGCCAGGATAAGAATTTTCGCTCCAGAAAGCATGAAGAAAAAAACTTCTATGCAGAGAATCTGCAGAAATTTGCGCATTTACATAAGCCAAGGGGGCTGAATATAGTTTAAATCAGGCCTAATTCATTTAAAAAATACTCTCTACTCAATGTGCCATAGGTCAGTATGGTTCTCTTTTATGAGTAGTTGAATTCACACCTGGATTCAAATCCCTTGGCATGACACAGGAGAAGTTCACAGACTAGGAATGCTGCACTAAAGCCTACCCTACATGTGCATCCAGCCCACTGTCCCACCCGGCAGAGGCCCAGGCCCCCTAGGGACCTGAGCTACAGAAGTCCCAGTACTTAATCTCCAGGAGCAGAACAGTCATGGGTACCCACATACCCAGCAAGGCCAGTGTAGTAATAGTCCTTCAGAAAGTCAACCAATTTTCAGTAAGATGTTTAAAGAAAAACATCTTTGTTAAAAGGGAAAATGTCACATCAGAAAAGATTGCTGTCACTTGCAAAATAATGATCACTAGCAATACTGAACACTACAGAAAATCCAATCAATGAATGAGAAGACCGACTAAGAATACTGAAATGAATAGAAGTTTTAAAAATTTAAGAGACATAGAGGACTGAAAAGATCCAATACAAGTATAACAGGAAAGCCAGAGAGCCAGGAGAGGGCACACACAGAAGAAAAAGTAATGGAAGAAAACTTGCAGTAAACAAAAGCATTAAAAGATTTTAAAGGGAGTGCCAATTTCTAGGCAAAAATTAATAAAATGGTATTCACGCTTAGATGATGATCAACTGCCTGAATTCGAAGTGCTGTGCTGGCTTAGGGCAAATGACTTATGAGTGGAGGTGGTGGTGAGGGGTTCTAACGTGATGATGATGGCATCAGGAGCTTTGGCATGACTACATCCCCTCTGGGGGCTGCAGGCTGAAGGTCCTGGGCCCACAGCATTACCCCAGAAACAGAGGCGCACTTTCTTGACAACTGGCCAGGGCTCTCCCGCCAAAACTGAGCTGCGGAGCACAGAGGCGGCCCCAGGCTGTCCAGGGGCCTCTGACCCCACCCTCCACACTGCAGGGTGAGCCTGACCTGGCCTGCCCACCCACCACAGGCAAAGAGGAGGTTAAGATTTTTTTTGAAACTAACATTTCAAAAAATTTTGACCAAAATTTTGCCTTGGTCATTTTGACCAAGGCAGAGGGCTTGGTCAAATGAGGTGCCAGGAAGCAGGCCCTGGTGAGGTCGGCAAGGAGCGGAAGAAAATGAGTCAGGTCTAGGCGCTGACCTCCTGAGTCAGCCAGGCTGAATGCCGGCGGGACCTGTGGTCAGCCAGGGAGCCACCTCCCCGAGAATAAACTTTTGAAAGAAGAAAATACTCGGTGAGTGTTTGAGATGTATAAAGGAAATGAAGGGCAAGACTGCTGGAAAAGGCAAAGAAACAGATTCTCTGCAGACTCCCCTCCAAGACTGATGGGGGGGAGAGACTGATGTGACCACCTGGTCTCCATTTGGGACACGGTGAAGGCCCATTCCAGCTCAATCCCCTGGGACTGAAGAGGCAGCTATCGCAGCTGCATCCATCTTAGCTTCTCCCTCTGCCCAACCGGCTTCCCTCACCCCCTCATTGGTACTGTTCCCAGAAGCAACCCCCATAAACTCTGCACACAAATCTGGGTCTTGAGTCCTGCTTCCCTGGGAAGTAACCAGGAAGATCAATTATCTCCTAACTGCATATTTACAGTATATCAATTTAATTTTTAAAATTTATTTTATTTAAAAATCACCTTTATTGTAATTTAAATTCCAGTATTATAATAGTCTTTTCTTTTTTTAAACAGGGGTCAAAACTTCAACTGCCAGCCAGGTGTAGTGGCTTAGGCATGTAAACAGCACTTTTGGAGGCTGAGGCAGGTGGATCAATTGAGGTCAGGAGTTCAAAACCAGCCTGACCAACGTGGTGAAACCCTGTCTCTACTAAAAATACCAAATTAGCCAAATGTGGTGGCACATGCCTGTAATCCCAGCTACTTGGGAGGTTGAGCAGGAGGATCGCTTGAACCTGGGAGGTGGAGATTGCAGTGAGCCGAGATCACACCACTGCACTCCAGCATGGGCAACAAAAGCAAAACTCCGTCTCCACAAAAACAAAAAAAAAAAACACCAAAAACTTCAACTGTCTATAGAGCTAAATAGGTAAATAAATGTTTGCAAGAGCCAAGTAAAGAACAAAGGGGCTGGCAGAAACTGCAGCAAGTGGAGAACTCAGGCCCAAAATGTTATAATTCAAAAAACTTTAAACACTGTAAGGCAAATGAATTTTGCCAATTTGTGTCCTGTGGACTGTACTTTCACAAAGACTGAATCAGCATTCACACAACTTTGCACTTAGCTTTGTTCATGTACCTTTATGCCCAACATTTCACCACGGTTGAGGTCTAATCCTGACAATTACAGTTTAAAACGGCAGTCTACACACTCTCCAATAAGGCAAGTTGCCATCATTACTTCGCCATTCCTTTATGGTTGAGATGGCTAGACTGCTGGGAGGCGACCTAGCAATGTTATAGTGATAGTGTCATTGGGGGTATACTGAATGTCACCATAATCATTTGTGAGCCCAGGTTTATTTCTCTAAATTTAGCTTTCCAGCACTGCTCCTGATACATATACAATAAACATGGCACTTTGATAAATAAAAGTGACCACAGCTGTCTCACAGATAATAAAACCATCTTAATGTTGCACAAATATCTTAAAGTCTGGAGAGAAACTTCTTTGGGAGTAATGGTCAAAGCTGACCATTTCACCTAAACGTGAAATAAAACAGAAACCTTTAGGTCAGCTAACAGTCTGCATTCTTTTCATGCCAGGGCAAAGGCTAGACTTGTATTCTAGTTATTGTTTCCCTGTGTTTCCCAGAGTGGACTGTGCATCCTTATTTGGAAATTTTCCTTTCTGGCCCACAATTAGGGGAAAAGAAATAGTAAAATTCAAAATGCTTTATAGTCTGGACTCACTAGAGCGTACAACAGAATTATATACTTCTAAAAATTGGAAGGGATTTCATAGATGTAGCCCAAGTCTTCATTTGACCAACATGAAAATCCATCAAGGTAAAGAAAGGAGGCAAAATGCACCTAGAGTGCCTTTTCTCTGAATCCAAAGTTTTGTCTAACAGTCCAACCTATCACCTAGGAAAAATGAAGCTTGTCATCCACTTATAATCAGGCCTCACCAAAGATCTCTCCTGTATCAGTTCTCTTCAAGTTAATCGCACACACCGTCTCATTTTCAAAACACTCAGATCTGACTCTTACAGCCTTGAGGGGTAAAGCAGATTAAAACTCATCAAGGGCTAGTGGGCACAGAGCTTACAGCACACTTCCATGTTTCTTCCCCCTGGCTTCAGTCCTCACTCTTCCTCCCCATGTCTCTCCCAACCCTCCCAGCACCTGGCTGCCCCTCCCATCTCACGTCCTCCCACGCTGGCCTGCCATGGGCCCTCACATAGAAAGAAGCCTGAATTTGTCTGCTGGCAAACCCTGGCTCAGCCCAACCAAGCCCTGGGGTTTATTCTGCAGTCACAGCAAACCAGGAGACTTGCCCCCTGAGAGAGAAAGGGAAAGGTCTACCTGAAGAGGTGACACTGGACTGAGACCTGAAATGGTTAAGTAGGAGACAGTATATTTTATCTTCCAAATTGGGGCACTTTTTGAGAGTAAAAATAACAGGAGTAAACTGATCCACAATCAGGTGTTAACTGGAAGTATCCTGTGCAAACTGGGCCTTGCAGTCAACCCATGGAGGATCAGCTGTAACACGCTGAGAGAGGAGCATCCAGGCACAGAGAAGCCCATGCAGGAGCCCTGAGGCCAGAAGGGGTGTGGTGTGGTACAAGAAAGCAACAGAAAGGAGGCCCACACACCTTCCACAGGTGCCAGGGCAGGGGAACAGCACCTGACCACATGCTTGTGCAGTGACACTTTATCTAAGACTCAGTTCTATGGCCACTCAGCTACCTGAGATAATGTCATCAGCGGGAAAAGGAAGAGAGCTCCAGAGAAGCTCAAAATGACTGTGCCCTAAACTCCACACCTGCATACTACTAGGAGAAGCACTTCTGGTCTGTATACAGTTCTGGCAGGTTTGGCTACCAGTCTCCAGGCACACAGGAACAGATTAGAGGCAGCAGATAAGAGAGGAATGACCAGAATGCTGGCAAGCACATGACCATGGTGTGGGCTGACCACAGCCATCAAGAAGCCCCAGAGCATCTCCAGAGTCAAAGCTGGTACCAGAATTCACATTAATAGGGATGAGACCAGCCTGAGCAATACAGCAAGACCCTACCTCTACTAAAAATTTAAAAAAATTAGCCAAGTGAGGTGGCACACGTCTGTGGTCCTAGCTACCCGAGAGGTTGAGGCAGGAGGATCACTTGAGCCTGGGAGGTCGAGGCTGCAGTGAGCCATGATTGCACCACTGCTCTCCAGCCTGGGTGACAACGCAAGACTCTGTCTCAAAAAAAAATAGGAATAACCTAAGTAATGAAAAAAACAGTAAATGAAAAAGGCATGTTTGTGATACTTCAAGCCCTGTTTTCTATCTGAAAGGGTTAGCATAAGGTTCTGGATACCAAAATTTACAGAAGAAGTCATTTTAATGTATAGTTTACACTAAAATTTCATCATTGATCTGATTACTGGTATCTCTTGATTTGCAATCTTTCTTCTTTCCCTTATGATTCAAAATCCCTATGAAAGCATAAAGCACAGGCTGTCAGGGAAGTTGTGCAGGAGGAACACAGAAACACAAATACAAACAGGCAAACAAAGCACTCAGAGCCACATACCCCTCTCACTCATACTTTGTTAACCTGCAAATACAGGCTGTTATATGACATTTTTGGTCCAGTTTGGAAGTATATTAATTCCATGTATCTTCAGCATACTATAACATACGACTGAGGGGAGAGCAAAAGAGGCCAAAATATAACTATAAACAGATAATTTTCATAACAGTTTTTTACCACTATGAATAGACTCTGTTTATCTGCTTACAGATCAAAAGGTTAGACTGCTTATAATGTAACCTTCCAAGATTTTTTTAAAATTTGGCTGCTTGTGCTAGAGAGAAAAGCAGGACCAATTAGAGAAAGAGATGAATTCTCTGGCAGATAAAACAAAGGGGATTTTCAAGGGCTTTGGAGGTGGTTGGTACCAGTTCTTTACTAGATATAGTTTCACATAAAAATGTATTACTTTATCTTTCTAGGTTTATCATAAACCGTAATCTTAACACTCAACCATAATTAGGCTTAATTTGGAACAGGAAGTTGGAAATGAGGGGAGCATAAAAGAAAAAAGAAAAATTTTTCTGAAGTAAAAGAGCAACAGTTAAAAAGGAAAAATAACAGAGAAAGAATGATATTGGTAAAAGAGTATTTACAAATACTTATGAAAGACTGAGGGAAAGGAGACCATGGTGATGTTAGGTCTCTGGGACAGGGATGAAAGGAGACAGTAGGGTGGGCAAGGTCCCAGTGATACCTGCACCCCCCTGGGAGTTCCACTGGCTCAGGATTTCTGGGTCACTTTTGTAGTGGTGTGGGGTGAGGAAAAACTCTTATGGACAAGCTTTCTGGAAGTTTGTGGTACTAAAATAATTTCTTTAATCCCAATATAAAACATTTGGCCAACCACATTCGTTTTGAAATATCAAACCTACTTTCTCCTGAGAATTCAAAACTTTCCTGGAAATACAAGGGACAGCTGCCATCAATTCATTAAAACCATACATTTTGCTAAGGACTCTGCAGAGTGTTGGAGACCATGGAGATGGCAAAGATAAACATGGATCCTCAGACAGTTCTTACTTAGCTGGAGAAGCAACCAACTGCAGCACAATGTCCATGTGAAGGCAGATGCCAAACAACACACATCCTGGCTAAGCAAGAAGGTAGCGGACAAACTGGACGGAGGAGGGCAGCAAGGGCAATGGAACAGCAGAGGCTGGGTCTGGTGGAAGGACAGCCCTATAAGTGTTTTTGTCCTGTGACGGTAAAGTCTTCAGGATACCTGGAACCCTTCAAAATTCTCAATATTTTAATGTTACTTCTATGATACTACATAGGCTGGTTTGATCTGATTGGAGCCATATAAAAAATTTTTGTAAGTAAAATAGAATTCAACAAACTAGAAATCCCGTACCTAAAGCAAATTGGCGCAACACATTCAAGAGGTAAAATCCAAACACTTCTCTGAGTTAGAAATGTTTAAAAGTCTGGCCATGAGCGGTGGCTCATGCCTGTTACACCAGCATTTTGGGAGGCCAGGGCAGGAGGATCCCTTGAGGCCAGGAGTTCGAGACCAGCCTGAACAACAGAGCAAGCCCCTGTCTCTTGGGAAAAAATGTCTAAAACCATAAGATCACAGAATGTTAAAATTATCAGGAACTTTAGAACTAACCATGCACACATACCCTTATTTTATATATAACGCAATAAGGGACCAAGAAAAATTAATGCTGTTAATTCACCTTTCATGTTAAAAAAAAAAAAATTCCAAAAGGAAGATTTAGAAAAACCTGACACAGTTTATTGTAAGGTGAAGATATTTAAATCCATCAAATCATTCTATCTAAAAAGAAAAATAGATCTGTGTGAATGCCCAAAAGGCATTTTGGAAAATTCAGCAGCTATTTCTGATTTTCAGAACTATAATATATAATGATAATTCCTCCACTTAATGGAGGACACCTACCACATCAACACCAGTGCCTCTGAGGAGATAGTTTGTATCTATGCCCCTGAGTAGATAGTTTATAGCTCCCACAGAGGCCTTGCACACTTCTTATTTCTTCCTCAGGTTTTATACATTTTGTTCATAGTGTGAATGAAACCTTTTAACAAACCATTGTGGCCAGAGTGGCTCACGCCTATAATCTCAGTACTTTGAGAGGCTGAGGTGGGTGGCTCACTTGAGCTCAGGAGTTCAAGACCAGCCTGGGCAACATAGTGAAACCCCGTCTCTACAAAAAATACAAAAATTAGCTGGGTGTGGTAGCGCATGCCTGTAGTCCCAGTTACTCAGGAAGCTGAGGTGGAAGGATTGCCTGGGCCTGGAAGGCACAGGTTGCAGTGAGCCCAGATAGCACCACTGTACTCCAGCCTGGATGACAGAGCAAGACCCTGCCTCAAAAAAATAAAATAAAATATACCATCGTTTCTGATTACTAACATAAAACTACTGTTACATATACATCTACATCATATAAGCATACACATACATATCTGAATCATTCAAGCATACAAGCACACACATATATATCTGAATTTATATACTCATTTCCAAGCTGGTTACCTTACTAAATTGCCATAAGTTCTCATGCTTTTTCAGTTGATCTCCTTGGTTATTCTAACAAGAGAATTCTAGTATCTACAAATAATGCTAATTTTTTCTCATTTTTTAATAACCATTTTTTTAAAATCTTACTGGTTTGGCTAGTATATTTGAAAACAGTGTCATACAGTCTTGTATGGGCACCACTGTTTTGTCCCTGACCTTTATGGGGATGTTTTTAGTTTCCTGTTAAGCATGGTATGTGCTGCTTTTAGAGCATTTTATTTATCTTCAGAAAAGATCCAGACTATTCCAACAGGAATTAAATGTTTATGAGGTAGATGTTAAATTTTATTAAATGCATTACTGACATACAGTATGATGTTAATTTTTATCTTTAAATGTACTGATATTTCCAATTCTATTTATATAATAATATTTTTGCATTCTTAGAATAAGCCACTTTTTAGCCAATGGTGTAATGTTTTTTTAAATGCATGGTTGGATTAAATGTGGCTGATATGTCAGTTAAGGAGAGCATCTACATTAGTAAGAATATACTGTGGCTTTCTTTGTTCATACCATCTTTGAAAAGCTTTGGTATCAGAAACAGTATTAACAGTATTAGTACTACTTTTATCAAAACAAATCGGAATGCTTTCCATCTTTTCTGTACTTTGGAATATTTTTCAAGTTTCTATTATTTGAATATCACCTTCATAATTTTGGCTATATTTGCATTCAGCTGTCTTATGTGTTTAATATTTTTCTGCATAAACTTAATATTGACTAATTTCTTCTTTGACTTAACCTGATCCTAAGCAACAGACATAGATTAAATGTACAAGTTATAGTTTTTCTAGCATATGTTAATTATTAAATTAAGAAATAATCATCTGTACATATCTTATTATATCCTCTGTAATATGTAATATCCAATATCTTTGGGAAACATACCACATAACTTTAAATAGCACAGAAATTACATTTTTCTCATATATGAAAAACTTTACCTATAACACCATCTGGATTCAGGATTATTTGAGGAGGTATTTTCTTTTTGTTTTTGAGACGTAGTTTCACTCAAGTTGCCCAGGCTGGAGTGCAATGGCACAATCTCAGCTCACTGCAACCTCCACCTCCTGGGTTCAAGTGATTCTCCTGCCTCAGCCTCCCGAGTAATTGGGATTACAGGCATGCACCACTATGCCCGTCTAATTTTGTGTTTTTAGTAGAGATAGGGTTTCTCCATGATGGTCAGGCTGGTCTCGAACTCCTGACTTTGGTGATCCGCCCATCTCGGCCTCCCAAAGTGCTAGGATTACAGGCCGTGAGCCACTGCGCCCAGCTGGGAGCTATTTTCTTAAGTCACTTTGTGACATCTTCCAAGAATATTTTTCTGTCCAAGTGTTTCATTTCTTTATGAATTGATTTTGGTAATTTTGTTTTCCTAATTTCATCAAGATTTTCTATTTTTTATTCTAGTTTTTAAAAAATATCCAACATTCCTGATTATATACATTATATATATAGTATATATATAAACACATATATGTAGCTAACATATTACATACACTATATATAATATAAATTATATATAATATAATATATATATACACATTACATATATATAGCTAATTTGGGGTATTTGTGTTATCCTATTTCTTGATGAGTCTAACTAAAACTTTACTTCATTTGTTTAACAAAGAACATACTCTTAGGCTTTTTCTGCCCCAGCCTCCTGAGTAGCTGGGACTACAAGCAGTGCCACCATGCCCAGCTAATTAAAAAAATTTTTTTTTGTACAGATGGTGTCTCACTGTGTTGCCCAGGCTAGTCTCCAACTCCTGGCCTCAAGCGGTCCTCTCACCTCAGCCTCCCAAAGTGTTGACATTTGCCACCATGCCTGGTCCCATATAATTTTTGGGGTTGTCTTCTCAGTTTGCTGAGGTTTTTTTAATAAACAGAGATCTCTGACAGGGACAAGGCTGGGCTAGGTACTGAGGAAAGAGAAGAGTGAAACAGACACAGTCGTAACTTACTTCATTAATGTCTGCCGTTTTTAAAAACTCCCTCCGGTTATCCCAGATTTCTTTTGTTGTTTCTTTTCTTTTGAATGTCCTTTGTGTAGAACTTAATTTTCATTCTTTATTTTTTGATAATAAAAGTTTTCAGAGGAATAAATTTGCTTATTATTTGTAACTTTATTAGTATTTCATAATTATTTTTCTAAATGATCTATAATTGTAGTTTTCAATTCCTATTTGACTCAAAATTTCCAAATAGAATAAGTTTTTAAAATGTCAACTTTCATTATTTACAGTTTTATTGCATTACGATCACAGAGTGACCAGTAAAATTTCCCTTGAACAACAGTAATGACGTTTTCTTCCTGGCCTTAGAATAGATCAATATATTAACCATTCCATGATAATTTTGAAAAAATGGTTTGTGTAAGACAGTTAAATTCTCCCACTTTACTTGTGAGTTTTTCCATGTGTTTCAAATAGGTTTTGCTTTAGTTATTTCCAGTGTTTTGCTATTTAGTGAGTGGACTTTGTAACTGCTACTTTTTATTCTTGAATTGTACTTTTATCAATATAAAAGGTCCTATCTCATTTAAGACACTCTGTGGTGTATTGTGTTTTTAACTGATACTATTGTTTCAGTAGAATTATCTTGTAAGATAGACAAAGCCAAGAAAGATATCCACAATTAAATCACATTTTGTTTTAACTGTCAAGAAGGATACTGCTACCTACAGAATGGGAGAACATTTTTGCAAGCTATCCATCTGACAAAAGTCTAATATCCAGAATCTACAAGGAACTTAAACAAATTTACAAGAAAAAAAAAACCCATTAAAAAGTGGGCAAAGGACATCAACAGGTACTTTTCTAAAGAAAATATTTATGCAGCCAACAAACGTATGAAAAATAGTTCAACATCACTGATTATTAGAAAAATGCACATCAAAACCACAATGACATACCATCTCATGCCAGTCAGAATGACGATTATCAAAAAGTCAAGAAACAACAGACGCTGGTGAGGCTGTGGAGAAATACACTGTTGGTGGGAATGCAAATTAGTTCAACCATTGTGGAAGACAGTGCAGCGATTCCTCAAAGACCTAGAACCAGAAATGCCATTTGACTCAGCAATTCCATTACTGAATATATACCCAAAGGAATATAAATCATTCTGTTATAAAGATACATGTACCTGTATGTTCACTGCAGCATTTTTCACAATAGCAAAGACATGGAATCAATCCAAATGTCCATCAATGACAGAGTGGATAAAGAAAATGTGGTACATATACACCATGGAACAGAATGCAGCCATAAAAAGGAACAAGATCATGCCCTCTGCAGGGACACGGATGGAGCTGGAAGCCATTATCCTCAGCAAACTAACACAGGAACAGAAAACCAAACACTGCATGTTCTTGCTTATAAATGGAAGCTTAACAATGAGAACACATGGAAACGGCACAGGGGGTGGGGGGAACAACACACACTGGGGCCTGTCAGGGCGGGGGTAGTAGGAGGGACAGCATCAGGATAAACAGCTAATGCACGTGGGGCTTTAATACCTAGGTGACGGGTTGATCTGTGCAGCAAACCACCATGGCACACGTTTACTTATGTAACAAACCTGCATGTCATGCACGTGTATCCTTAAAATAAATTTAACTTTTTAAAATAAATTTAACTTAAAATAAAATTAATTTTTTTAAAAAAGATACTGCTTTAAGAGACAGAAAGTATAAAAAAACCAGGCAGTATTCTATCAAGTCAAAGTTCTTTGGAGTTAAATGGGAAAATATTTATATATTTTAAGTGCTAAAGAAGTGTAAACTCTAATCAGGTGATATGGCCGTTCGAATGGGGGTCTCAGGCTATTAGAAGCTACACAAATTAAATGTAATTTGAATCTAAGGCACATGAGTATTATGACACCTCTTTCTTCAAGTTTTGAAGTCCATGCTACAGAAAGATTACAAAGGTGGTGAACAAGAATTCTATACCCGGGCAAAGTATATAAAGGGTAAGGGCAAAACATTATCCTCAGATGAAGGTTGAGAAAACTAACAAGCACAGAATATCCCTGAATATGCTCAAACCAAATATGTTAAAGAATATGTTCCAACCAAAGCAAAAGTTGCTCAAGCTGATATCTGAAGTCTGGGTAGGGTAAGAATCCCAACCTTGTCCCTGTCAGAGATCTCTGTTTATTAAAAAAAACCTCAGCAAACTGAGAAGACAACCCCAAAAATTATATGGGGCCAGGCATGGTGGCAAATGTCAACACTTTGGGAGGCTTAGGTGAGAGGACCGCTTGAGGCCAGGAGCTGGAGACTAGCCTGGGCAACACAGTGAGACCCCGTCTGCACCAAAAAAAAAATTTTTTTTAATTAGCTGGGCATGGTGGCACTGCCTGTAGTCCCAGCTACTTCAGGAGGCTGGGGCAGAGAGGAAGGTCAAGGCTGCAGTGGGCCAGCATCGCACCACTGCACTCCAGCCTGGCCAACAGAGCAAGACTTTGTCTCTTTAAAAAAAAAAAAAAAAAAATTACATGGGAAGAAATCCCAATATTATTTGGAATAAAACACTTATGTAAACATCTTTTAATCCTAGAAAGATTTAGAACAAGTGGGGAAATAATCAAAAGAATCAGACAAGTAGTAATAGAATTCCATATTAAGAAATATCTGCATTATAGAATTATACTTTTAATGTTTATGAGAATTGGATCTATTAAAGAGTTACAGGGTCAACCTTGCGATTCCAATTCAAAATATGTAACTGAGTAATTAATTTGTAATTTTAAATTGGAAAGCTTGCATCTACATATACACACATATAAAGAGAGAATACAGGCTGGGCACTGTGGCTCACACCTATAAAATCTCAGCACTTTGGGAGGCCAAGGTGGGAGGATAGCTTGAGCCCAGGAGTTCAAGACCAGCCAGGGCAATATAGCAAGACCCCGTCTCTATAAAAAACACAAAAATTAGCCAGGGGTGGTGACATGCTCCTGTAGTCGTAGCTACTCGGGAGGCTGCAGTGAGAGGACCGCCTGCACCCAGGAGGTCAAGGCTGCAGTAAGCTCTGACCCTGCCACTGCACTCCAGCCTGTGTGACAGAGACAGAAACTGTCTCAAAAAAAAAAAAAAGAGAGAGAGAGAATATAAATGTTTTGGAATATATAAGAGGACTTAAGAATCACTAAGTTTATTAGAATAATTATTAAATTTATAAGACTTTAAAAACTGGATTTTTTTGTCAGACTTTAACAAGAACCTAAATATACTAAATTAATAAACACAAATTAAAATGTTAATTTTATTAGCAAAGTTTGTAAACAGAACTCAATTTAACCAGATGCTCTTAAAGAGTGCTTATTAAATTTTACTGCATTTGTAAATAGAACATATGGAATAACAAGACGTTGAACTTGAAAATTTCAAGAGCTACTTTTTTATTATCCACAACTTTAAATGACTTAATTTTAAAAATCAAAGTAACGTATAAACAAGCTTTTCTGCAGTATATATATTTGATTTTCTGTCTTAATTAGGGGAAGCTCTTTAATGGGGAGCTTAACCCACTGACATTTATTACAGTAACATATATTTGACCTTCTTAGATTTTTTACTATGTATTACCATTGATATTTGATGTATGCATCTTCACTTTGTTTTTTGTTTTTGAGATGGAGTTTTGCTCTTGTTGCCCAAGCTGGAGTGCAATGGTGCAATCTTGGCTCACCGCAACCTCCGCCTCCCAGGTTCAAGGGACTCTCCTGCCTCAGCCTCCCAAGTAGCTGGGATTACAGGCATGTGCCACCATGCCTGGCTAATTTTGTATTTTTCAGTAGAGACAAGGCTTCTCCATGTTGGTCAGGCTGGTCTCGAACTCCCAACTTCGGGTGATCCGCCCACCTTGGCCTCCCAAAGTGCTGCGATTACAGGCGTGAGCCACTGCACCCAGCCACATCTTCACTTTTACAAAAGCAAAGAGAATCCAAAAAAGAGAAAAAGGATCCAAGAAATAATGAACTAACCTGAGAATGAGATGGGACTAGAAAGCAACCAGTCCAAACCAAAGTATTATGTTGGAGGGTTAAGAAGAATTAACAGCTAAAACTTATCAGGTGCTTTCTATGTGTGTCTATTTTAAGCCTTCATATGTTTTAACCTATGAATCACCACAACAATCCTACAATGTAGGTTATATTACTCTTCCCTTTCCTAGATAAAGAATTTGAAGCTCGAGGAAAAATTATTTGCCTGGGCCGGGCGCGGTGGCTCACGTCTGTAATCCCAGCACTTTGGGGGTCCAAGGTGGGCGGATCACAATGTCAGGAGATGGAGACCAGCCTGGCTAACGCGGTGAAACCCTGTGTCTACTAAAAAATAGAAAAAATTAGCCGGGCGCAGTGGCAGGTGCCTGTAGTCCCAGCTACTTGGGAGGCTGAGGCAGGAGAATGGCGTGAACCCGGGAGGTGGAGCTTGCAGTGAGGCGAGATCGTGCCACTGCACTCCAGCCTGGACGACAGAGCGAGACTCTGTCTAAAAAATATATATATAAAAAAATAAAAAATTATTTGCCCGAAGTCTGAGGGCAGAAGTGACAGAAATGAGAGCAGGGCACGGTGGCTCATGCCTGTAATCCCAGCAATTTGGGAGGCCCAGGTGGGCGGATCACCTGAGGTCAGGAATTGGAGACCAGCCTGGCCAACATGGCGAAACCCCGTCTCTACTAAAAATACAAAAATTAGCCAGGCATGGTGGCACGCACCTGTAGTCCCAGGTACTCAAGAGGCTGAGGCAGGAGAATCTCTTGAACCTGGGAGGCAGAAGTTGCAGGGAGCTGAGATCACTCCACTGCACTCCAGCCTAGGCAACAGAATGAGACTCTGTCTCAAAAAAAAAAAAAAGAAAGAAAAAAAGAAGTGACAGAACTGAGTATGAAAAGGCAGACTAGCTTCTTGTTTTTAAGAAAAAAGAAATTCCCTCTTACAGTCTGCAAAAGACAGAAACTGAGTAACAGGATAAAAGCATATTAATTTTAAAAGTAAAGAGCATATTCATACCAACTCCTTTCCATTCTCCTTACTCCTTCCTCCTGTCTTCACAGATCACGCGTTATGCAATGTAAGATGCCACTGTCTTCTCTATAAATCTAAACATACTACCTGGTTCTCCATTAAATAATACATGAGATCCTGATATTTTAAATGCTGATAGGCCTTCCATTTTTAGAATTAACCTATAAATGATGCACAGAAGACTTACTAATACTAATTATGGAACAGAATGAAAATGTTCTAGCCATGTGAAAGGTCCAGAGGCAGACTGGGAATAAGTGCAGGAGGGGGACTCTTGAGAATAAGGCAGAAGACATTTAGGGGCACTACATCCTCATTTACCTGTGACGAAGCCTAGGACACTATTTAAAGCTGGTGAGTCAAGAAATAGAAGTGGAAAACAATAGATTACCTTAGAATTTTAAAGTTTTTTCTTTTTTGAGACACTCTTACTCTGTCACCCAGGTTGGAATGCAGTAGCGCGATCTCAGCTCACTGCAACCTCCGCCTCCCGGGCTCAAGCGATTCTCCTGCCTCAGCCTCCCAAGTAGCTCGGATTACAGGTGCCCACCACCGCACTCGACTAATTTTTGTATTTTTAGTAGAGACGGGGTTTCACCATGTTGGCCAGGCTGGTCTCAAAATGAAATTTTCATATAGCAAAGTGGAAGGACTTTTACAGTAAACTTCTGTATACCACTACTTGTATTCTACCACTAGCATTTTTATACTAACAATGGATTTGGAAAATTTAAGTATGACTTGCAGAAACGGGGAGTGAGGAGAATATATAGCAGGGAAAATGTGCTTAATTCCTCAACTTTCATAGTGCAGGTTAGTAGTAGAGAGGCTTGAAAACTAACAAATCAAGAAACAATAAGGGTATAGTATATCATGTAGAATTGTAGAGGTAACTACCATTTCATTGAAATGCATCAAAAAATAAGACAGACTAATGGGTGGGTAGAGGAATGAATATAGAGATGTACAAATAAAGCAAATACAGCAAAATATTAATTTAGAATCTAGGTGGTTGGTACATGGGTGTTTACTATGTAAGTCTTAATTTTTCTGATTAAAATTTTTGTAATAAAATACTGATGCAAATGTGGTTGAGAATGGTCATCATGTCTACAAAGAGACACTAATGTTTACCAATATGCATGCTCTCTGCTTGATGCAGTCCCCTGGCATGTCAGTGGGTCTCTGTGACTGAGTCTGGCCAGTGGAACATAAGTAGAAATAATGTGCACCACTTCTAGGCCTGGCCCCTAAAACCTCGGGCAGGGTCCTCCACACGCCTTCTCCTCTCCCGACTGCTGGCAGATTCAGGGCAATTTGGGAGCCATATGCTGAAGAGGAGCATCCACCAGCCTGAGTCTCTAACAACCACCTGCTGATGGCCCCCAACTCACACCAGATGCGACATGAGGCAGCAATCAACTTTAACTGTCTTAAGTGGCTATTTTGGAATTTATCTGTAACCACAGTTAGCATTAACTATAACTAATACAGAGTGCACCTGAGCAGCTTTTATTTCATGTAATTTGCATTAACTTTTTAATTTCATACATGCAAATTTAAAACAAATAATAAGCTGGTACTGGGACTAGGGAAAACCTTCTAAACTCACTTTCTAAGACTTCTTTAACACTTTGGGCACCTTTGTGTGAATATAAAAAGGCAAAATTGCAAAACGGCACCCCTTCCTCTGGGTTGCTACAACCCTGCCAGGCCCACTCAACTCTCTAAGCAGATGCCTTTGAACAGTACACAAATTGCACAACCATGCCCAGCAGCCCTGACAATGAGGTGATGACAACCTGGTTGGAAACTGAAGGACTGTTAACTAGGACCTTTTAGGAAGCATGAGATGTGGTCACCAACTTTCTCTGCCCAGGCTGAAAATTTCAGACATGAAATTTTCATATCTTTTACTGGATCTATTTATCTTATCCATTCTGCAATACCATGTTAAGTC
Organism: Homo sapiens; assembly: GCF_000001405.40. Taxonomy (NCBI): domain Eukaryota; kingdom Metazoa; phylum Chordata; class Mammalia; order Primates; family Hominidae; genus Homo; species Homo sapiens. Next base: position 20,159,667 of record NC_000017.11, on the reverse strand, counting down.
ATGATGTCCCAACTCGGAGGACTGCAGATACCACAACAGAGGAATCCTGCTGCCACCACAGCCAATTCCAGGGCTAGAAAAGCAGCAGCAGCTGAGAAGCTGCCTTCTGCCTTAGAAACACCCCAGAGGGGATGAGGAGCTTCCATCTGGAAAAGATGGTGCAATCTCAACGCCTACAGCGGGTCTCAGATGGGGATTTTACCTCTTTACTCTTTAAAGAGACTCTCCCTGTCCAAGCAACTGAGGTCCTGTGGCAGTCAACCATGGAGGTGTTCCACTGGGATCCCTTTTTCAAGAAAGAACTTAACCAGGTACAGTGGCTTACACCTGTAATCCCAGCACTTTGGGAGGCTGAAGCAAGAGGATCACCTGAGCCCAGGAGTTTGGGACCAGCCTGGGCAACATGGCAAGATCCCATCTCTACGCCAGGCATGGTGGCTCACACCTGTGATCCCAGCACTGTGGGAGGCTGAGTCAGGCAGATCACTTGAGGTCAGGAGTTCAAGACCAGCCTGGCCAACATGGTGAAATCCCACCTCTACTAAAAATACAAAAATTAGGCGGGCATAGTGGTGCACACCTGCAGTCTCAGCTACTCGGGAGGATCGCTTTAACCCAGGAGGCAGAGGTTGCAGTGAGCCAAGATCACACCACTGCACTCTAGCCTGGGTGGCAGAACAAGCCTCCATCTCAAAAAAAAAAACAAAAACAAAAACAAAATCCCATCTCTACAAAAAAAAACAAAACAAAAACGAAACAGCCGGGCCTGTTGTCCTAGCTACTTGGGTGGCTGAAGTGGAAGGATTGCCTGAGCTTGGAAGGTCAAGGCTGCAGTGAGCCATGATCACAGCACTGCACTCCACCCCAGGTGACAGTCAGACCTTGTCTCAAAAAACAAAACAGAACAAAAAAAACCGAACTTGCCATTCATCTGCAAGGACTGCAGAGGGCTGACAGCTTCCAGCTGTTGGCACCACGAGGATCCCAAGACTTGTGTTAGCTTCTGAGCTGAAGGCACGTTCTTCCAAAGTAGCCTCTGGCCAATGACTGACCCACAGAAAGACTAGGGACTGTCCTTTCTGCCCAACCTGAGACCCCTCTAATGGGTGGGCTTTGCTAGGGAGCTCCCCCATCAAGTGGCCAAGACTTCAGGTCTGCATCATTATCTGAGGCTCTCCCTGCCCAAACCTGCTGCCTCCCGCTTCCCTTTCATAGGTGTTGGGTCTGCATCATGATCAAAAGCTTTCCTTGCCCAGGCTGGTCTCGAACTCCTCTAATTCTGCTTCCTATCCCTATTGTCTGTCTTGGATACATTCTTAATTCTAAATGTCTGTTCTCCATGGACAAAACTGACACAATACGGGAACCATGCGACACTCAGGCTTGTGTGCTGCTATCACTCATCCAGCCTCCCTTCTCCTTCTGCTTCCCCCTTATATCCTTTTGGTCCCCTTGCTCTGATGACCCTCGGAAGCACTTGTTGAGATTCTAGTCCAATGTACCACAACTGCCAGTTGGGGCCATGCGACCTCATCCCAGTCCCTGTGGTAAAGCCGACTGAAAACCCACGCATCTTTAACAAAGCTCTAATTTCCAGGATCTCAGTGATGAACTCTACAGCATTTCATCACAGCATTAGAAGGCCAGTTAAAATTACACTTTCAGACAGTAATCCAGCATTTAAAGTTTTTACCACGAATTTCTAGCCAGGCAAGGTGGCATTTGTCTGTAGTCTCAGCTACTTGGGAGGCTGACGGAGGAGAGGTGCTGGAGCCCAAGACTTCAAGGCCAGTCTGGGCAACATAGTGAGACACCATCTCTTAAAAATGCCCTAAATCCGGTATCTTCATTTGCAGCAAATCAGAGTTCCCATTCTGAAATGATATGCATTCTTTGAAAAATACAATAAAATAAGTCACTGGCATAAACATATTCTTTTTATGTCCTATCCATCACAGTGCTTTAAAAAGTAAGGTCACTAAAAAAATTGGAACACAGGCATCCAATCAGTCTTAAAAGCTGTAACAAGAGTAACTCTTTTCACAATTTTAACACAAAGGAAATAATACACAGGGGTTTTCACAATACCTGGACAAGCATGTAACTAATGAGAAGTGTTTTTAAAATGTTACCAATCCTTTACCGAACCAATCCTTTACCAACAGGGTTATTTATAACAAGTATATTATTTTTATTTTATGCATATTTCATTTTATGAATATGCTTATTGTTGGTTATTCTGCCCAAAAAATAGTCTGAACAAGTGCTGTGTAACTAAAGTCACCTCTAGGCAGTAAGCTGGCCCCTGAAATTTTTCTTCATAGTATTCCTGTGAAGAAACTTGGACAGCCCGTCCAAGTTTTCCATCCTGGCTGTGGTACCAGTCCAATGTACCCCAAGTGTCAGGGAGGCACCCGCCTCCACCCCACCCCGAGGATAGGGCCAAGGTGGGGCGGCTGGGGCGCTGGGAGATGAAGGAGAAGCAATGCGCAGAGGCCAGGACGACCCAGCGTCCTACAGCACGGCACCCAGCTCCGGAAAAGGTCACTCGGACAAGTCGCTTCACCTCTCAGAGCCTCAAAGTCCTCATTCAAATTAAAATTCAAATATTACGCCTTTGGAAAATATTTACAGTTCTGACTCTCCCACAGAAACACATACCTGTCACCGGCCCCCCACCCCCACAAGGACTCCAGAGTCAGGTCAACCACCTCTTTCCTATCAGCCAAGATGCCATTTTTCAGGCAAAACTAAATCCCTTTTGCTTCACGTGACAGTCCAGAAATGTTTCGTTTTGTTTTTAAAAGCAACCCTGCTTATCGGCATCTAACTCTGCTGGGGGCCGACATGAGCTACCAGAGGACGAAAACTACGGCCCAACTGACTCCACGAAGCTCACTCAGGACTGAGGAAGTAAAAACGGGATAACCAGAGGCGCGCCCGACACCCCAGAACAAGCACGGACTATTCTGGGTTAGGAACAGTCGCGGGGCAGCCCTGGCGTGAGTGTGAGGGGCAGAGCCGCGGGCGCCACAAACTGCGGGGCCGGCGGCCGACAGGGAGAGGCCGCGGGGCACGCCCTCCCCGCAAACGCCCGGAAAGTCCGAGGGCGGCCTGCGCGCTCAGGAGACCTGGTCTAGGCGCAGGCCAGGCGCGGAGTGGGGAACCCCGCGGCAGGGACCCAGCGGTGCCTGCCCGGCGGCCCCGGCGCCCAGGTGCGCGTTCAGGACGAGCAGCGTTTTCTGGTCGCGGCGTCGGCACAGGTAATTTCACAATCCCAAGCGGCGCATTCCAACGACAAGAATCACACCCCAGGACCTTAGCCTTTCGCTCGCCCCAGTCGGCGCCGCGAGCCGGAGGCGGTGGGGGAAGGGCGCCTGGAGGGGGGGTGGGGTTGCGGCTGCGGCGCGACCCCCGCCAGCCGCACAGACCTGGTTCCGGATCCTCGGGCCGTCCTGAGTGGTTGCCCATGCTTGGCCGACTCGGGCACCAGCCGGCTTGCCGGCCTCGGACCGGGTGTCCACCGTGCCGAGCTCGCGCTGGCTCCGGCTGGCGAGGCGGTTGCGTCCGGCGGGTCCGCTCCAGTCAAAGAAAGGACCGGGCGCCTTCCAGTTCCCAGCAGCTGCCGGCGGAGCCGCTGCTCTCCCGCGCCCGTGGGCCCCGCCCCCTCATCTGCATCAAGCCCGCCCTCGCGGCCCGCCCCCTTCATCTGCATCCTGCCGGACCACCTCAACTGCACACCGCCCGCCAGGCGCGGCCCGCCCCCGTCATCTGCATACTGTCCGCCCACCTCATCTGTATTTCCTTCTTGGCTGCCAGAAGGCCCCGCGCCGTGGGCGGGACGCACCGGCTGACCGGCTGCAGGCCTCCGCCCGCGGATGCTGAGAACCGCAGCTGCACAAGGTAGGCTGGAAAAACCCCACTGCGGTGAGGCGGAAGCCTAGTGCCGCCGGAAAGGCAAAATCCTGCTCGTGTGAAGCTAGACCTATCAGGACAAGAGAAACCTAGGACTAGCGCAGGACAGGCGCTTAATAAGCATTTCTTTGGGTGAATGAATGAATGGATGAACAACTCGAGGAGGTGGTGAAGAAAAATAACGCTAACAAAGACGTACTCACCCAAAATGAATACTATGGCTAATAATAAAAATGCATACCAATCGTAAGTAGAAACTGTTCTGCCGCTGTCGGAAATTACTAAAATGGAAATTACCCTGAACGACTTTCATCCTTCATCTGACAGTGAAAACACTTAGAACAACGAAATCTTGCAGTAAAAATATTTAGGACTAAAAAAACCATTAGTGGTATGACTGGTTCTATCTCGTGCATCACTTGAACACTACGGTCCATTCTCAGGTGTCACGCATCAACATCGTAGGACACCACTGATTACTCCTAACGCCTCCAAACAGTGTGTTCACTTGGTTCCAGGATGCTACCCTCTCCTAGTTTTCTGCTCACTCCCCTAGAAGCCTCTTCCCAGTCCCCTTTGTTGGTTCCTCCTCATCTTGACCCACCCTGGGCACTAAAGCTCAGCCAACAGACCTCTTTCCTATATACTCTCTTGGTCTTTGATTTACCAACTTGTGGCTTTCAAATACCATCTACATATCTCCAGGCTGGTTCCCTCTTCTAACTCCAGACTCATTTGTCCAACTACCTTCTTGACACCTTCTCTTGACACCTCCACTTAGGTTTTTTAATAGTCCTCTCCATCTCCATAAGTGGCAGTTCCGTTCTTCCAGTGACTCAGGCCAGAAACCTCGACTCCTTTCACATGCCACATCTCGTCCCTCAACAACGCCTGTCAGTATGTGTATCATAAATAGCCCTACATCTCAGCACTTCTCACCTCCTCCACTGCTACCCCCGATCCAAGCCGCTGTCATCTCCTGCCAGGATTACTGCAACTGCCTCCTAACCAGTCTCACTTCTCCTGCCCTTGCCTCTTTATAGTCCATTCTGCACATACAGTGAGAGTGATGCTTCTAAAGCCTAGGTCAAATCATGTCACACCCCCACTTGCAACGCTCCAGTGTCTTTCTGTCTCACTTGGAGGGAAAGTCAAAGCCCTTACAATGGCCTCCAAGGCCCTGAATAATCCTCCTCTTCCCCCATCAGTGAACTCACCTTCCCCTTCTCACATTGCTGTTGCTACACCGGCCTCCTCACTGTTCCTCAAATAAGCGGGGCATGTTCCCATCTCAGGGCCTTTGCACTTGGTGTTCCCTCTGCCTGCAACATTCTTCCTCCCGACACCTACACTGCATAGACCTTATGTCTCACCCTCTCTCACTCCCTGGGCCTTTGCTCAAATGTCACCCTACTAAGGGGGCTTCTCTCATCGCACCACATTAAATAGTAAGCCAGACCCTCAGCACACACCCTCTCCTACTTTGCTGGCCTCTGTGACACTGATCACCATTCCATATACTACATGTTTACTAATTATTGTTCCTCCACTAGAGTGTAAACTTTATAAACACAGAGACTCGGAACAAATGAATGAAAACAAATGAATGAACCAATGTATAGGCTGCAGGCAGCAGACACAAATTAGCCCTTAAATACACATTACTTCTTTTTAGTGGTAGTATAGTACCATGAGTTGGTTTCTGCCACAAAACTAGCGTGTCAAAGACAAGAGTCACAGTTTTATTTCTGTAATCTATAAAACACAGCACAATACTGAGCATGTACAAGCAAATATACTAAGGAAAATAAATAGCAGGAAACAATGTTAGAGCAGAAATGCATATGACACCAAGTGCAACTCCCTCCCCTTTTAAAAAGGTAACTAGCCCAGAAAAGATGGTCGACTTCCCCAAATAGTTCCAAAATGATAGGCAGAGCCTGAGTTTGTGATCATGGTAAGAGTGACACAACTTCAATCTACAGAACAGTTACATACTTATTCAAAGAGTTTTGGAAATCAATGAGTCAATATACTAATTCTGTAAAATGTCAAGTAATTAACATGTCTCTTTATGGAAACTGGACAAGTAAGACCCCAACCCAACCTGGACTCCTATGGCTCTCTCACCTCCCACATTTAAAATATCTAGTCAAGTCCTGCACATTTCATCACCTTAACATTTTCCAGACTTTGCCTCTCTTGTCTTTGCTGCATCTTTGCTTCACAAGGGCTACTGCATTAGCTTCCCAACTAACTTACTACTTCCACTTTCGCTGCTACTTAAATTGCTCCTCCACCTGAATTATCAAAAATGCAAATCTGACTGCGCCATGCCTCTGCCTAGAAGTTCCTGTGGCTCCCCTCTACCCTTAAGATGAAGTCCTTCTAAGCTTAGTATACCAAGGTCCTTCATAATCATGTGCTCCACCTCCACCCCTATTGTTCTAGCCTCAGCTTTCAGAAGTTCTCCCTCCCAACTTATATTACAGCAATGTTGAGCCAGCTGTAGCTCCCTGAACACACCCTATTGTTTCAGGCCTCTATGCTTTCATATCTGCTATATTCCGTCGGTTTCAACACCTCGTCCATAACTGAGCTGCCTGGCAAATGCTTATTCATCTGCTGTGAACTGAGTTGTGTCCTTCCTAAATTCATGTTGAAGCCCTACCCCCCACAATGTGATAGTATTTGGAGACAGGGCCTTTAGGAGGTAATTAAGGTTAAATGAGGTCATAAGGGTGGGGGGCCCTAATCTAGCAGGATAGGTGGCCTTATAAGAAGAGGAAGAGGCTGGCGGAGGCTCACGCCTGTAATCCCAGCACTTTGGGAGGCTGAGGCAGGCAGATCACGAGGTCAAGAGATCAAGACCATCTGGCCAACATGGTGAAACCCCATCTCTACCAAAAATACAAAAATTAGCTAGGCGTGGTGGCACGTGCCTCTAGTCCCACCTTCTCAGCTGAGGCAGGAGAATCGCTTGAACCCGGGAGGCAGAGGTTGCAGTGAGCCGAGATCGCACCATTGTACTCCAGCCTGGCAACAGAGCAAGACTCCATCTCAAAAAACAAAACAAAATAAAACAAATAAAAATAAAAAAAGAAGAGGAAGAGATCTTTCTCTCTCTCTCTTTCTGTTATGTGAGGTCACAGTGAGATGGTGGCATGTATAAGCCAAGAAGACTCCTCACCAGAACCCAGCCATGCTGGCACTCTGAACTCAGGCTTCCAGCCTCCAACACTCCGAGAAATAAATTTCTGCTGTTTAAGCCATCCAGTCTGTGCAATTGGTTATGGCAGCTGAAGCAGAGTAATATATATCATCTTTTAAATTCTTGCTCTGTTATCACCCCCCTTTGGTCTGCCTGCACATCTCAGACAGAATTCAATGCTGTCTCCCTCATGGTACTTCTGTACCTGTCAATGCTTGTATTATTTTATTTTATTTTATTTTTTGAGACAGTTTTGCTCTGTTGCCCAGGCTGGAGTGCAATAGCGTGATCTCAGCTCACTGCAATCTCCGCCTCCTGGGTTTAAGTGATTTTCGTGCCTCAGCCTCCCAAGTAGCTGGGATTACAGGTGCATGCTACCATGCCTGGCTAATTTTTTTATTTTTGTAGAGATGGGGTTTCACCATGTTGGTCAGGCTGGTCTCAAACTCCTGACCTCAAGTGATCCACCTCCCTCTGCCTCCCGAGTAGCTGGGATTACAGGCATGAGCCACCAGGCCCAGCTGGGGTTTCTCCCACAGAACTAGCATGTCAAAGACAAGAGCCTCCCGGGTTCAAGCGATTCTCCTGCCTCAGCCTCCCAAGTAGCTGGGATTACAGGCGCCTGCCACCATGCCCAGCTAATTTTTCTATTTTAAGTAGAGACAGGGTTTCACCATGTTGGTCAGGCTGGTCTCGAACTCCTGACCTCAGGTGATCCACCTGAGTTGGCCTCCCAAAGTGCTGGGATTACAGGCATGAGCCACCATGCCCAGCCATGGATAATTTTAAAAAGCAGTTCAGGGATCAGTCAGGTTGTGGCAGTCACACATCCTGGGCAAATGAAAAACCAACTGCCTGAATGTTATATGAACAGGATAAAATTTCCTGTGGAATCAAAGAGTCCAGTGGAATCAAGCAACACGCGGAAGTGAAGCTGATGTGCTGTGTATCTGATGTAAACCTTAAAAGTGGCTCTGATGATCATGGTGACAGGGTGACATGTCAAAGACGCCTGTGATGACTATAAAAAAAGCAACAGTGTACAGACACTCCTCAACTTATGATGGGTTACGTCCCAATAACCCATTGTAAACTGAAAATATTCTAAGTCGAGATGGGCTTTGTAGACAGGATGGATGCAAAAATGCTGGCAAACAATATTCAAAAAAATGCTGACAACGCAGTACTGTTGAAGGTTTACCCCCATGATTGCAGGGCTGACTAGGAGCTGCGGCTCACAACCACTGCCCAGCATCACAAAAAAGTGTAGCTCCACATATCACTAGCCTGGTAAAAGATCAAAATTCAAAATTTGAAGTACAGTATAGCTTTTGTACCATCACAAAGTCAAAAAATCCTAAGTCAAACCATCATAAGTCAGGGACTGTCTGTAATTTCTAAATTACTGTATTTCTATAATGTGTAATTTCAAATGTAAAGGTATAACTAAGTTGACAACTTGGACATTATAATTACATATTTTTTACTTCACCTATAATCTAAGCGTTTTAAGGAAGACAAAAAGGTTTTTATGGAACTTCACTGAATATAAAGATCCCTTATATACAGGCATAAACAATAAAATAATATATATGTGGTCCCATTTTTATTAAAAATTTCTATATTCTACTGTCCATATTAATATGTGTAGAAATAAATTTTGACATGTATATAGCAAATTATTAGAAATAACTATATCTGAAATATAGAATTAGGAAAGACTTTTTTTCTATACCAAATATCTGTCTTAATAAATATATTTTACTACTATGACCAGAACACATTAAAAAAAGTACATATCCTTAAGCTCAGCAGTTATTCTTACAGAAATTTATTTGAAAGAAATAGTTACAGGCCAGTCACGGTGGCTCAAACCTGTAATCCCAGCACTTTTTTTTTTTTTTGAGACAGAGTTTCACTCGTTGCCCAGGTTGGAGTGCAGTGGTGCGATCTCGGCTCACTGCAACCTCCGCCTCCCGAGTTCAAGCGATTCTCCTGCCTCAGCCTCCCGAGTAGCTGGGATTACAGGCATGCACCACCACACCTGGCTAATTTAGTATTTTTAGTAGAGACGGGATTTCTCCATGTTGGTCAGGCTAGTCTCGAACTCCCGACCTCAGGTGATCTGCCCGCCTCGGCCTCCCAAAGTGCAGGGATGATCCCAGCTACTTGGGAGGCTGAGGCAGAAAAAATCACTTGAACCTGTGAGGCAAAGGTTGTGATGAGCTGAGACTCCGTCCCAAAAAAAAAAAGAAAAAAGGCCGGGCACAGTGGCTCACGCCTGTAATCCCAGCACTTTAGGAGGCTGAGGCGGGCAGATCACCAGGTCAGGAGATCGAGACCATCCGGACTAAAACGGTGAAACCCTGTCTCTACTATACTAAAAAAAAAATACAAAAAAATTAGCCGGGCGTGGTGGCGGGCGCCTGTAGTCCCAGCTACTCGGGAGGCTGAGGCAGGATAATGGTGTGAACCCGGGAGGCGGAGCTTGCAGTGAGCCGAGATCGCACCTCTGCACTCCAGCCTGGGAGACAGAGTGAGACTCCATCTCAGAAAAAAAAAGAAGAAAAGAAATAGTTACAAATATACACAAACATCTAGCTTGCAAGATAATTCTTAACATTTGTTGAGAAATAATTACATGCCAGGCACTATTCTAAGTACATTATATATTTCGATTTATAAAACAAAACTGTTTTTTTAACTCAAATTAAAGATTAGAAAATGACTGAGAGGGTGAGTAACTTGCCTAAGTTTACTCCGCTAGAAAGCAGCAGAGCCAGGATTTAAACCTGTGTCCCCAAGTCCACCCCAAGGTTTGGTGATTCTCTGAAAGGACTCACAAGACTCAGCACACAGTTGCACTCAGAGCTATGATATATGACAGCAAAAGGATACAAAGAAAAGGGAAAAGGTCTACAAGACCAAGTCCAGAGGAAACTAGGTGCAAGCTTCCATGAATTTCCCCCCAGTGTAGTCATTCAGGGTGTGCTTAATTCTTCCAGCAATGAGCTGTGACAACACGTGTGAAATGTCTGCCAGGGAAATTCACTAGAGACTTAGCATCCAGGGTTTTTACCAGGCGATCACATAGGCTCCTGGAAGGAAAACAGGAGTTCAGCATAAACTACAGTGTTTGCACAGTTTATGCAGTGAGCCACTCTTACCAATTAGGGTGGCAGGAACCCTTCCGAAATCCAAGTTCCCTGACACGAGCCAAGTGCCAACCTTGGAAGCAGCCTTTCTAAGGACAGCAGTCCCAGACCTGCTACATTCACCCTTTTCTGCAGAGAAACCATGCCATTTAACTCCAGAGTTTGTGTTCTTAACAACTGCACGTTGCCTCCTTTCTGTTTGTAATAGCAAAAAGCTGGAAAAACCTACAATGTTCAACACAAATGTCCAAGTTTAATAAAATATAATACAGCTATATGATGGCTTCCTATGCAGTCTCTAAAGCTATGTGTCAGATACTAAGTTAAAAGCAAAACAGTACATATGTTAAGAATGTAATCCGCTGGGCGAGGGGTGGTGGCCTACCCCTGTAATCCCAGCACTTTGGGAGGCTGAGGCAGGCGGGATTGCCTGAGGTCAGGAGTTTGAGACCAGCCTGGCCAACATGGTGAAACCCCGTCTCTACTAAAAATACAAAACAATAGCTGGGCGCAGTGGCAGGTGCCTGTAATCTCGGCTACTCGGGAGCCTGAGGCAGGAGAATCGCTTGAACCTGGGAGGCAGAGGCTGCAGTGAGCCGAGAACGCGCCACTGCACTCCAGCCTGGGCAACAAGAGCAAAACTCTGTCTCAAAAAAAAAAGAATACAATTCTAAATTTTTGTACATAAACAAAAACTATATAGACACAGATACCTGGATAAGATGGAAAGGGTTTCAACAATTATACCTCAAGGCACTGATTGAGAGTGGCCCTCTCTGAGTAGGCAAGATTATGATGTCCTTTATATAAGTTCTTTTATTGCTTGTCCTTTTTTTTTTTTTTCTAGTGCACATGTACTGCTTTTTGCTTTTGAGTTAAAAATACATTTATTTGGAAAAATACATAAATGTTAAAATAATTTAAAGTAAAATTCAGCCTGGGAAACAGCACAAGACCCTATCTCTAGAAAAAATAAAAAATCAGCCAAGTGTGGTAGTGTGCACCTGTAGTCCCAGTTACTCGGGAGGCTGAGGTGGGAGAACCACTTGAGCCCAGGAGTTCAAGGTTGCAGTGAGCTATGATTGCACTACTGCACTCCAGCCTGGGCCACAGAGTGAGACCCTATCTCTAAAAATAATAATTTCAAGTAAAATTTATCATATTACCAAAAATCTTCAGTTTCTAGGAAGATTCCTTGAATAATAAACTCTAATACATATATATTCAACAAATATTCATTTATTCCTCAGAATACTGTTAAGAACTAAACTTAAGCAAAGGTAGGACCAGAAGACAGTTCCTAATTTTTACTAAACACCAAAGTGTCCATCTTTTTTCTTATTTTGAGACAGAGTCTTGCTCTATTGCCCAGGCTTGAATACAGTGGCCCAATTATAGCTCACTGCAGTCTCGAACTCCTGGGCTCAAATGATCCTCCCACCTCAGCCTCCCTCCCAAGTAGCTGGGATTATAGCCTCATGTCATCACACCCAGCTAACTTTTTTAAATGTTTTATAGATATGGGATCTCACTATGTTGCCCAGACTGGCCTTGAACTCCAGGCCTCCAGCAATTTTCCCTACTTGGCCTCCTGAAGTGTTGGGATTATAGCATGAGCCATTGCACCCTGTCTCTATCATTTTTAAATAATACATGATTAAACTTTAATTAGTAAAAACCTTTTATGAAAAGCCGCAACATACACAAAACTAAAGAGAACTAATATAATGGCCCTCCATATGCCTCTCAACTCAGTTTCAATAGTTTCCAACTCAGAGCCAATTTTTTTCATCTATCACCCACTTCTTCCTCTAGCTTCAATTATTTTGAAGCAAATCCAAGACATCCTATTTCATTGGTAAATATTTCAGCATGGATTTCTAAAGATAAGAACTCTTTAAAAAACACACACACAATTCCATTATCTCAACTAAAAAATATTAACAATAATTTTTTACCAAATAGCCAGAGTTCAAATTTCCTTGTGCCAGTATTTTTTTTAAATCATGATCCATGGCCAGGCATGGTGGCTCACACCTGTTAATCTCAGCACTTTGGGAGGCCAAGGCAGGCAGATCACCTGAGGTTGTGAGATCGAGACCAGCCTGACCAACATGGAGAAACCCTGTCTTTACTAAAAATACAAAATTAGCCGGGCATGGTGGTGCATATCTGTAATCCCAGCTACTCAGGAGGCTGAGGCAGGAGAATCACTTGAACCCAGGAGGCGGAGCCTGCGGTGAGCCAAGCACTCCAGCCTGGGAAACAAGAGCGAAACTCCGTCTCAAAAAAAAAAAAAAAAAAATCACGATCCATACTGTTATGCACCTATTAGAATGGTGAAAATCCAAAAGACTGACAACACCAAATGCTGGCAAGGATGTAGAACAACAGAAACTCTCATTCATTGCTGGTGGAAATGCAAAATGGTACAACCATTTTGAAAGACAGTTTGTCAGTTTTGTTTTGTTTTGTTTTTTGAGACAGAGTTTTGCTCTTATTGCCCAGGCTGGAGTGCAGTGGTGCAATCTCAGCTCACTGCAACTTCCACCTCCTGGGTTCAAGCAATTCTCCTGCCTCAGCCTCCCAAGTAGCTGGGATTACAGGCACCCGCCACCATGCCCAGCTAATTTTTTGTATTTTTAGTAGAGACAGGGTTTTGCCATGTTGGCCAGGCTGGTCTTGAACTCCTGACCTCATGTTCCACCCGCCTCAGCCTCCCAAAGTTCCAGGATTACAGGCGTGAACCACCATGCCCAGCGTCAGTTTCTTACAAAACTAAACATATTCTTATCATAAGATCCAGCAGTTGAGCTTCTTGATATCTACCCAAATGAGCTGAAAACTTAGGTCTACACAAAAACCTGCACATGAATGTTTATAGCAGTTTTATTCATAATTGCCAAAACTTGGAAGCAACAAAAATATCCTTCAATAGTTGAATGATAAACTGTGGTACATCCATATAATGGAATATTATTCAGCACTAAAAAGAAATGATCAAGACACAAAAAGACATGGAGGAACCTTAAATGCATACTGCTAAGTGAAAGAAGCCGGTCTGAAAAGGCCACTTCTTTTCAGCTACACTACATCATTCCAGCTATCTGACAAAAAAGGCAAACCTGTAGAGACAGTAAGATCAGTGGTTGCCAGGCACTTAGGAGGAAGGATGAACGGGTGGAGCACAGGCGATTTTTAGGGCAGGGAAACTACTCTGTATGACTCTGTAATGGTGGATACGTGTCAAAACCCATAGAATGTACACCACCAAAAGTGAACCCTAACATAAACTATGGACTTTAGTTAATAACAATGTACTTACACTGGCTCATCAATTCCAAGAAATGTACCATCCTAATGCAAGAAGTTAGTAACTTGGGAGTCTGGAGGTGATGGTGAGGGGGTATATATGGAAACTTTCTATACTTTCCACTAACTTTTCTATAAACCTACAATACCTCTAAAAGATAAAGCCCATTAATTTTTTAAACATTCCTGATCCAAATAATAAACTAGACCTTAAATTAACACCACAAAACAAGTGTGGCAGTCTCTGTGGACTACCTATCAGCCATTTCCCACATCTTCCTTCCTTCCTTCCTGCCTGCCAGGGAGCTGGCCCTGAGAGAAGGTGGCCTGTTCTTAGCTGAGTAGTAGATCCTTCATGCACAGCCTACGTTAATCCTGGTGATTCCATTTTCCTTGCTAGTGACTAGGTCAAGGATGCTATGAGACCCAGTTCTGACCAAAAACATTTGAAGGGAGGTCTGCTGGGAGGAAGGCTGGGGAAAGTTCTCTTATTCTTAAAGAGATACTGAAACCTTCTTCTTCCATGGGACTCTGTCCTCGGTTTGAGGTTGCCAGAACTCTAGTAGTTATCTCGTGATGACGAGGGGAGCTGGCCAGAGGGCCAAGCCAGCACAATCAGGGTGGTCGACCAAAAAGATGGAAAGAACCTGCACCCTTTTTGGCATGCCGAACCCCTGAATTAAACACCCTCTGAGTTACCTACTTTCCATTCTGTTACGCACTTGGCACACTTCCTCAGTGTTACAATCCAGCGAATCCGGTGTGGTCTGACCCAGTAGCCATTCTTTTTCTCTACTTACAAGCAAGAGACCGAGGTTCAGGGAGATTACGCTATCTTGCCCAAGGTCATATAGATTAAAAGTAGGGAGCTGAAATTTAATGCAGGCCTGTTGCCACTGAAGCACTCGTTCTTCCTACACTAAACCACTTTGTCTCCAGTAGAAGCTGGACACAGAATCTTCAAAGAGAAATCAACATTTCAGGATTCACAGAAAACAAATAGTTTCTTTAAACAGCAAACTATAAAATATGTAATATCTTTAAGGAGAGAATCTTGAACATCCTTCTTGAATTAGAATGTTTTTAGCCTTAATAGGGCTTAACTTAAATATGAATAACCTTGCTATAATCTAAATGAAAGAAGACTGATATCAATCACTATAAAACTATACACACAAAAAAAACCTCTGTACTTGTCTCAGCCACTGATTCATTAGGTGATCCATCCTCCTAGCGTGTGACACCTCTATTATCTGCCCACTGCCTTCTTTGAGACCTTGGTACAAATATAAAAAATCTTCATTGAGCCAGGCATAGTAATGCATGCCAGTAGCCCCAGCTATTTGGGAGGCTGAGGCAGGAGGATTGCCTGAGCCCAGAAGCTCCAGTCTAATCTAAGCAACATAGCAAGACCCTATTGCTAAAACAGAAAAATCAAAGTCATCATTGGCCTTCAAGATTTTGAAGTTCACTTATATATAAAGGAAAATTATAGGCTGAACACCTTCCTATGTATTTTGTGTGTCTCATGTTTCCCTAGACCAACAAGTCTAGGGGTACCAATGGGGTCATGTTAACAGTACTGGCTGGGCACAGTGGCTCACACCTGCAATCCCAGCACTTTGGGAGGCCAAGGCAAGAAGATCACTTGAGCTCAGTAGTTCGAGACCAGCCTGGGCAACACAGGGAGACCACATCTCTACAAAAAGTAAAAAAATTAGCCGAGCATGATGGTATGCACCTGTAGTCCCAGCTACTTGGGAGTCTGAGGCAGGAGAATCACTTGAGCTTGAGCCCAGGAGGTCAAGGCAGCAGTGAGCTGTGATCGCACCACTGCACTCCAGCCTCGGTGACAGACAGAGACCCTGCCTCAAAAAAAAAAAAAAAAAAAAAAAAAAAGAAAAGAAAAAAACAGTATTAAATAATATTTTTCTGGCCCTAGTCATTTACTTATCGTCCCAACTGCAAAGTTCCCGCAGTATTTCTGGGAGTCCCAGGAGTGTGTCACCTTTTCTCAAAGCGAGGACTCTCAGTGAACTCACATAGTGTGCTCTTTATTCTCTCCTCTACAGAACTCCCTTGGGAAGCTCAACCTCAGCAGCCTAGGCCCCTCCCTCCACTAATGGCAGAAGGAGGCTCCCTGTTGCCTGGGCTCCCCCACGCCCTGTGGTGGGCACTGAAGCCGCCCCACAGGCCTATCAGGCACTCACTGCTGCAGGTACAGACAACTTTCCTGCCTTGCGTGATCAGCCCCCCATCCCTGCTGCAGGCCTCCTCTCAAGGACTCTGAATGGATTCCCCCTACTCTGAACCTGTACTGGTATTTGTCGTTACGAAGGTACCACCGCTGAAAGAGATGCTTAGAAAACCATCCCCATACACTGGTTGTTTTTTTGTTTTTTTTTTGAGACAGAGTCTTACCTCTGTTGCACAGGCTGGAGTGCAGTGGCTCAACCTCCGCCTCCCAGGTTCAAGCCATTCTCGTGCCTCAGCCTCCCAAGTACCTGGGATTACAGGCACGTGCCACCATGCCCAGCTAAATTTTGTATTTTTAGTAGAGACAGGGTTTCACTATGTTGGCCAGGCTGGTTTCAAACCCCTGACCTCAAGTGATCTGCCCGCCTCGGCCTGCCAAAGTGCTGGGATTACAGGCATGAGCCACCACGCTCGGACTTTTTTTTTTTTTTTTGAAACTTGATCTTGCTCTGTTACCCAGGCTGGCGTGCAGTAGTGCCATCACAGCTCACTACAGCCTCGACTTCCTGGGCTCAAGCAATCCTCCTGCCTCAGCCTCCTGAGTAGCTGGGACCACAGGCACGTACCACCACGGTTGGCTAAAGTTTTGTATTTTTGATAGAGATGGGGTTTTGCCACGTTGCCCAGGCTTTTTTTTTTTTTTCCTATAAAGAATATTCCTGTGGCAAACACTGGTTGTTTCTAAGACGTGGTGTTTCAGATAGTACTTTAACTTTCTTCTCTGTTCTTCTTCTGTTATTCCCTTTATTATTTTTATTTTTTAATTGTGGTAAAATATATGTAACATAAAACTCACCATCTCAATTATTATTTTTTTTGAGACAGGGTCTCACTCTGTCAACCAAGGCTAGAGTACAGTGGCGCGATCTCAGCTCACTGAAACCTCCACCTCCCAGGTTCAAGTGATTCTCCTGCCTTAGCCTCCCGAGTAGCTGTGACTACAGGCACGCACCACCATGCCTGGCTAATTTTTGTTGGTTTTTTTTTTTTTGGTAAAGATAGGCTTTCACTGTGTCAGCCAGGCTGGCATCTCAACTATTTTTAGTGTACAGTCCAGAGGTGTTAAGTACATTCACATTGTTGTACAACCATCACCACCCCCATTTCCAGAACTCTTTTCATCTTGCACAACCAAAACTTGGTACCTATAAAAGAATAACTCTCTACTCCCTCCTCCCGCAGCCGCTGGCAATCACCATTCAACTTTCTGTCTCTATGGATTTGGTGACTCTAGGTCCCTCATAGGAATGATCACACAATCCTTTTACTCAGCATAATGTCTTTGAGGTAGCACATGCTGTAGCACGTGTCAGAAATTCTTTCTTTTTAAGGCTGGCCTGACATTCTGTTGTATGTATATACCACATTTTTGTTGATCTACGCATCTGTTGATGGACACTTGGGTTGCTTCCACCTTTTAGTTATTGCAAACAATGCTGCTAAGAACACGGGCGCACAAATATCTTTTCAAGTTCCTGCTTTCAATTATTTTGGGTATATAACCAGAAGTGGAAATACTGGATCATATTATACTTTTCTTTTTAAGGTATTACTTTGTTTGTACTCTTTAAGCTATCAAGCATGAATCATCTTAATAAAAACAATGTAATTTTCCTTACCAAAAAATAAAAAGTATTTATTAACCAAAATAATAATTTAGTGACTTTACACGCACTATGCTGAATGTAACAGAAGACAAGATTTCCCATGCCTTAGCAGGGCTCAGATTCCTTCATTCGGTAGATAACATTCAGCATCTGGTTTGTACATGACACTACAATATTTGTACATGACACTATTCAAGTTTTCCATATTCTGAAAGAGGGGAAAAAGCTCAGTTTTCTTAATAAGCCAAAGGCCAACTCGGTGAACAGAGACTAGGTTCACACAACAAAGAAAACCAAGAGAAACTTGAACATGGGGAGAATGAGTGAAAGAGAAGATCACAAAGTTACGTAACTGAATCGGAAGAAAAGTTCCTTAGGCAAATAGCACACACATTAGTCCAGAAAACACTCCAATTCTGAGGAAGTGGCAGGGAGAGTCAAGGGAGGAGCTATACGGATAAAAAACAGATTAGTGGTTGCCTGGAGCTGGTGGTGGAAACAGATATTGACTGGAAACAGCAGCATGGGGTATTTCTGGAGTGACAGGAATATCTTAAAACTCATCTGCGGTGATGGTTGTAACTCAGTCAATTCACTAAAATTCACTGGATTGCACACTGTAAATGGGTGAATTTTATGGTATGTAAATTATTATCAATAAAGCTGCTTCTTGAAAAAGTCAAGGGAGACAAGCAGATAAGCCTTCAAGACTTGATGTATTATTTACAACCTCAAAAGAGCCATGTCCTCGCTCTGAATCAGTTAGCATGACTGAAGCCTGGGGGAGCCTGGTGAGCTCGCATTCAAAGACACACAGTCTTTGAAGAAGAGGAGATAAAGGGGACAGCATCGCCCATACTCAGGAGTTGCCTGCTTGCTGAATGAGCAGCGAGCAGGTCCAGTGAGCTGGGTTCAACTCACGGCAACAGAGAGTTATTAGGCAGGAGAAGCAGTATAGGTAGGATATGGGAGTGACTTAACAAATACACATGGGGTGCTGCAGAAGGGTTTTTAAAGGAAAAAGCATGCCCTGTTGAAAGGAGCTCAAGAAACGCTTTTTGAAGGAGGTGCTACTATGAGCGGGTCCTTTCCAGGTGAACAGCATATCCATCAAGGTCTGCAGTGGCAGGAGGAGAGAAGGGGGCAGCAGGGAGGGAGGGGCTTGGCTTGGACATGCACAGCCTAGACAAGCAAGGCCCCGGCAGCAGGCCCCGTCGTTGTTCACCAGAGTGACTGTGAAAAGGTCACAGTCAAGGCACCAACGGGGGAGGGAGGTAAGACAGCCATAGATCACAATGAATCACAAGGCAAGATGTTGCCCTTGGCCCCTCAACCAGTGAGGAGTGCTTGAAGGTTTTCGAGCAGAGAAGTGATCTCATGACAGCTGTGGCTTAGGAAGATTACTCTGGTAATACAGAAGTTGCTCTCTTATGCACTCTCTACTGAACATTTTACAGATAATCAATTCACCAAAATAACCAATGCACCCCATGTTTACAGGACACACTGACTGACACCCTTGGCAAGATGAACACTTTTGGCTGGTAGTCTCCTCTCTGGGACACCTGGGCACTCATGCTCCCATCATGTGGGTTGTCTTCATAGTAAGAGTCAAGCATATTTGTTCCCAAACCTATTTATGCTAGTTGTACTTGCAAATTTATTTCCATAACTTTGTACATTAACTAGTGAAATATGAGTACAAAGAGGGAGAGATATCGCTTCCTCAAAAGACATGCTGAATGGTTTGAAAAGACTCAATGAAGATGAGTCACTAAAAATGGCTGAAGCAATTATAATAGAGGAATATTTGCAAACATGTGAAAGGATTCAGTATCCAATCTTCCTCTTAAGTATTTTCGTTCTTTCTCATGTTTAAAAAAACTAAAACTGGAAATCATAGGAGATATAAGAATGGAAAGATGTTTAAAAAAACTTCAATCAACAAGACCACTGTAAGACAATGTCTTGGCTCTATAACTAAAGATGAGTGAACAAATGTGCAGTTATATGTTTTGGGTGAAAATAAAATGTTTAAAAGTATAGTTTAATTTTTTTAGGTTTCCCTGGTTTAGCCAACTTTTTCAATTGATGGGCCGAAAATGATCCTACTCACATAGGACGAGAGAGTAAGCATTAACCACCAGCAGCAACTCAAGTCAGGAAGCTACTGTGCTTTGGGTAAGAGATGCTGTGTTGGGTGAAGTCAGGGGAATGCAAAAGAAATAAAAAGAAGTGGGCTGGGTGCGGTGGCTCACACCTGTAATCCCGGCACTTTGGGAGGCTGAGACAGGCGGATCACAACGTCAGGAGTTCAAGACCAGCCTGGCCAACATAGCGAAACCCCGTCTCTACTAAAAATACAAAAAATTAGCCAGGCGTGGTGATGGGCACCTGTCATCCCAGCTACTCAGTAGGCTGAGGCAGGAGAATTGCTTGAACCGGGGAGGCGGAGGTTGCAGTGAGCCGAGATTGCGCAATTGCACCCTAGCCTGGGAGACAAGAGCGAGATTTCGTCTCAAAAAATAAATAAATAAATAAATAAGAAGTGTAAGATGCAACTGTAGATGACAATTACATGTTGAGAGAAAGGAAGTTAATAAAGATAACACTAGAATGTATCTGGAGGACTGAGAAATGCCACTTCAGTTAGGACAAATCCAGATGCTAGAGAAAGCAGTTAAACAACTCTATAATGAAACGAGGATGATGGGTTTGGTTAAGACATGTTGAGAATGAAATGTAAGATCCATGAGAGCAGGGACTTTTTTTGTTGTCGTTAACTGCTGCATCCCTAGCACCCAGAAAGATGCCTGGAACATAGTAGACACTAAATATGTATTGAAGGAATGAATGAATACACATGCAGAATATTCCCCAGACATTTTCAGCAAACAGTGGGAGGAGTGTTTCTGGAGTACAACGGGCAAGTTGGGATCCGAGATGCAGGTTTGGGAATCATCAAGGACTTCTGTCTATCTTGTAACCCAAAGGCTTGGAACAGAGCTTCCCACATGGGAGGATACAAGAAAATGTACCCAAGAACAGGTCTTTGACCTTAATAGCAGCCCCTTCAGGGTTGGAAAGGACTTTGATGAAAGTCTTCCAATCCTGTCACTCCATAGCTCCTCCACTTGTAGAGAATGAGTACCTCTCTAGCAAGCACATGGAGTTCCTTACTTCCTGGAGCAACATGCTTGTCTCTGAATTGCTGCAGCTAACCAGAATATTCTTTCATCTATTAGTCAAAATCTGGCCCTATTTTTACTAGTTGGAGCCAAAAATGGAAAAATTTAATATTGACCAAAAAAGAACTGGTTGATAAGTGATGGTAACTTGGGGAGAAAAAAACATGTCATCTTAAAGCAAAGCTTCACGAGTATTTATAGAAGCTTTATTCATAATTGCCAACACTTGGAAGCAACCAGGATGTCCTTCAGTAGGAGAATGGATAAATAAACTGTTGTACATCCAGAAAATGGAATATTATTCAGTGCTAAAAAGAAATGAACTATCAAGCCATGAAAAGACATGGAGGAAACTTAAATGTGTATTACTAAGTGAAAGAAGCCAATATAAAAGGTGACATACTGTATGATTCCAACTATGTGACATTCTAGGAAAGGCAAAACTATGGGACAGTAAAAAGATCAGTGGTTTCCAGGGACTAGGGATGAGGGAGGGATGAACGGGCAGAGCACAGAGGATTTTGGGGGCAGTGAAACTACTCTGTGTGATATTACAATTGCCGATACGTGGCATTATACATTCATTCAAACCCACAGAATGTACACCACCAAAAGTGAACCCAAACTTAAACTATGGACTTTGGGTGACAATGATCTGTCATGTCAATGTACCACGCTGGTGGGGGATGTTGATAATGGGAGAGGCTGTACATGTGTGGGGGCAGAGGGTGTATGGAAACTCCAAAAAAAAATTAAGACTCAAGCTAGGCCTGGTGGCTCATGCCTGTAATCCCAGCACTTTGGGAGGCTACAGCAGGAACATTGATTGAACATGAGTTCAAGACCACCCTGGGCAACATAGTGACACCCCATCTCTACAAACAAAATTTAGCTGGGCATGAAGGTGCCCACCTGTAGTCCCAGCTACTCAGGAGGCTGGGGTGGGAGGGCTGCTTGAGCCCAGGAGTTCAAGGCTGCAGTGAGCCATGATTGCACCACTGCACTCCAGCCTGGGCAACAGAGTGAGACCCTGTTGCATAAAAATAAAATAAAATAAAGGGCTGGGTACGGTGGCTCACGCCTGTAATCCTAGTACTTTGGGAGGTGGAAGGGCGGATTATTTGAGGTCAGGAGTTCGAGACCAGCCTGGTCAACATGCCGAAAACCCATCTCTAGTAAAAAATACAAAAATTAGCTGGGCTTGGTGGCATGGACCTGTAATCCCAGCTACTCAGGAGGCTGAGGTATGAGAATCACTTGAACCCGGGAGGCAGAGGTTGCAGTAAGCCAAGATTGTGCCACTGCACTCCAGCCTGGGCAATGGAGTTAGACTCTGTCTCAAAAAACAAAATAATAAATAAAATAAAGATTTAATTTTAAAAAAACCTTTTAAAGGAAATAAAAAAAGAAAGCAAAACTTGAAGAATCTTAAAAGATGACCAAGAGTCTAAGGCAGGTGGATTTTTTTAAGTTTGTTTTTGTTTTGCCATAATTCCTAAGTAGGATATTCTGTTAAAGAAGATTATTTGAGGGAAAAATCACATTTTATAAAAATATCTATATTTCAGTTTCTGCTCTTAGTTCTGCAGATGTGTCATTTCATTTGCTTGTCACAATTCTCTGTAATGGGCACGATTAACTCCATCTTATGGATGAGGAAACCAGCTGAGAGACACTAAGCAGCTTGTCCAACATCACACACGATGCTCCTCCAAGAGGCTAAGACATTCGCAGAATTGTGAGTCTGACCTCAAATGAGTAACTGACAGACTGAAGAAGAAAGGGGACGGTTCCTAAATAAACCAGTGTAACCGTGCAGGCGTTCTTGATGTGCTCAGGAAAACATGAGGGCATATATAGAAACTGAAAATAGGGCACACGGCCATGGCCAAACAGGAGTGGGCAGAAATCTCGGAAAGCAGTCTGAAAAGCTAGCCCTGAAAAGGAGCTGAGTGGTTTCCGATGGTGAAGGCAAACCCTCTGGATGCTCTTTCAGCTTTGTTTTTCTGTCTTCCCTCAGGCATATACATCCAAAAATGGTCTTTGCCCATTTGCAAAGTGTAGCTCAAACCTTAGTGGGAGGAAACTAAAGTCCAAGGAAACCATCTCATGAATGTAAATATCCTGGCCCAGGGAAATTAAACCCCAAACACGGAGATAACTTGGGAATGAGGCTGTGAACTGCTATCAGTAACCACTGAGAAATCATAAAACAAGTGCCAGAGAGATGGGGACCAGAACGAGGAGGTTCTTTATGGAATGATAGGAATGATTTCCAAAATACACTGAAAAGAGAAAATGCGCACGTGCAGAATGGTGTGTCCATTTACGTTACTATTTGCATACAGAAAGGTAAAAGGATATCCTTTTGCTTCCAGACACACTGAATAGTTCTAGAAAGATACCACATTCCCCACCACTGGTGGGTGAACTTGGTGGCTGGGCAAAGGGGCAGGAGCAAAACTTTTCACTGTAACCCTTTACATTTTGAATAAGTAAACTGTCTTACTTGTTCCAAAAAAAATGAATAAAACTTAGAAAATGTTTACCTGATAAAAGACTAGAGTTTGAAAAGACAGATTTTTTTTTTTTTTTTTAATAGATGGAGTCTAGCTCTGCCACCCAGACTGGAGTGCAGTGGCGTGATCTTGGCTAACTGCAACCTCCGCCTCCCGTGTTCAAGCAATTCTCCTGCCTCAACCTCCTGAGTAGCTGGGATTAACAGACGTGCGCCACTATGCCTGGCTAATTTTTGTATTTTCAGTAGAGACGGGGTTTCACTATGTTGGTCAGGATGGTCTTGAACTCCTGACCTCGTGATCTGCCTGCCTTGGCCTCCCAAAGTGCTGGGATTACAAGTGTGAGAAGTGTGAGCCACCGCGCCCAGTGCAATGGTTTGCAAGGAGACATAGTGATCCCCAGTACACAAAATAAGCCAAACTCTAGGACCCTTTCTACAGCAGGGTGTGTAGGCCCTTTCTACAGCAACATCCTAGAGTTTGGCTTCTTCTCAGTGATTTTTCCACTCCCACAGATTTGGCTCCTCCCAACAGAAGGAATGGTTGTAGTTGGTAGGTTAATTTGCTTAAGGTCACACAGCCAGGATGTGGCCAAGAGGACAGAACAAAGTCATGCCTATGCCCTCTCTTATACAGACTTTTCTTATGGTCTTCTCATTACTGCATTGACTACGTGCAAGTCTTATCTTCTGGTCCCCCACACATGGTTCCTAATGTAATTCCCTGCAATGTAGATTATTAAATGTATGTTGGGATCAGGCACAGTGGCTCACACCTGTAGTCCCAGCACTGTAGGAGGTCAAGGCAGGAGGATCACTTGAGCCCAGGAGTTCAAGACCAGCCTGAGCAACATAGTAAGACTCTGTCTACAAAAATAACAAATTATCCAGGCATGGTGGTGCATGCCTGTGGTCCATCCAGACTATTCCAGAGGCTGAGGCGGGAGGATCACTTGGGACCAGGAGGTCAAGGCTGCAGTGGGCCATGATCATACCACTGCACTGCATCCTGGGTGACACAGCAAGACCCTGTCTCAAATGAATACATAAACAAATTTGATTTTATTGCAAACTTCTTGGCTTAATGTTCCAAAACTAATTTTCACAGTATAAAACTACCACAAAGGGGCTGCCTTTTGGGATTGATCAAATAAGGATAAACGTCCCATCTAAACAGCACTGACAAAATCCCAGCAAGATTCCACTGTTGAGGGGGAAGAGGGAAGTATCAAGAGTACACACTTCTACTCTGACCATCTGTACTGTAATTTGCTTAGGAACAGTACTTTCACAGTATTAAACTACTTTTTGAAGTGGAAATCAATATGCAAACAAAGACAATTCAATGGCAAACTCAGTAACATGCACAAACTTTCAGGAAAAGAGAACACACAACACTGAGAATCTACTGTGTGTCAGCAGCCAGGAAAAGCAGCATAAGAGATCTGATCATGTTTTCCACTGACAAACTTGAACATTTCAGAAGGTCACACCCAAGTTCAAGGACTGGAACTTTAATATTCCATGAATTCAGTGGAAAGACCTTCAGCTTCCCTTCCATCCAATGTGATGATTACACAGAACCAGAAAAGCAGAACTTTCTTCTGGAACATAAAACTTGTTATATGGTGGGATCCTACAATTCTTTCCCTTTTCTCCTCTTCCATAAGGGAGTATGGGATACTGGAACCTGACCAAGTTACCTGCAGGGACAGCATTTCTCATTCACCCCCATTTCAGCATTTCTAGGCAACATGTCAGGTGCAGTGGCTCACACCTATATTCCCAGCTACTCTGGAGGCTGAGGCAGGAGGATGGCTTGAACCCAGGAGTTGGAGACTAGCCTGGGCAACATAGTGAGACCCTGTCTCAAAAAAATAAAACAAAACTTTCCTAAGCAATAAGAAGTACCTTTCTCAACAAAGAAAGCAGGAAATCTTGCTTTCTGATAATGCAAACAACTAGAAGTACGAAGCACATTTAATTGGCTTTATAATATACCATTTTTAAAAAGCTCCTGTGCCCAATTTTTTTTCCCTTCCCAGGGCAAGGGGTCAGCATGGGAGCTGAGTATGGGGCAGTGAAAGGATGTTATGGAGTCATGCAGAGGGGTGGGTTGGTCAGTGAGGCTGGAGGGTGGGGAATGGGGAGTTGGGTGCAGGTGGCAGGTGGGAGAAGGATTTGAGACTGGTTATATTGAGCAAATAGGTACATAAATTGAGGATACTGGCAGCCATGTTTCTCACTACTACCAGAGATGATGGTTACAAGCAGAGAAAGGGGCAAGGCTAGAAAGAACCCTGAGTGGTTGGATTGAAATTGGAGGTGTGGCTTTATTATATATACATAGGGAATATATAATATATATTTTATACTATATTTTGTTATATTTATATTACATAAATATATACATGTTTGTAATATGTTTATATTTAAACATATATAAACATTATATGAAGTAATACTTATATAATGTGTGAATATTCTATATGGGAATATATAATCTTGTAACCCTAACCATCAACTGTTATGAATAACACCATCTGGGCCCCAAGAAACACTTCACATCTCTTTTCCTTGTCCTTGAAACAAAAAAGAGTGCGTCTGAACGCTGTGAGGGTTTGTGAGTTGTACCACTGCCCACAGTGGAGACTGGTCTGGTTGGGAATACGGAGTGCAAAGCCGGGAGGGGCTTTGACAACAGATCACACAAAAGATTCAGTCTGTTAAACTGGTTTCAGATAGGATGAATACAATACATTCTTACACTTTGCCAGAGGTGCCAAGTTCCATTTTCCATTTTCTTTTTCTTTCCATCCCAACAGGTGGTTCTGGAATATTCATGAATCCCTGCAGTGTTTGCAACAGGAGCCATGGTGGCCGAGGAGTAGTTTGCAATACTAAACTATTCTTATTCCTCTCAAATTTATGTATATGTAAATCTAGACATAACATGAGTCAAGTGTGATTTTGAAAAAAAAAAGAAAAATCTTAAGAAAGCAAAGCCTGAAACACTGGGCAAGGTACACCACACTAAGGCAGGTAGATTCTTTTTTTTTAACTGCCATGATTCCTAAGTAGGAGATTCTATTAAGGGAGCTAGTTCAAGGGGGAAAAAAATCACATTTTACAAAATAATCTACACTTCTGCTTCTGTCCTAGGTACGTGTATTTGTCATTTCACTTAATTCTCACACTGTAGGAGATGGGTAAGACTAGCTCTGTTTTTCAGATAAGGAAATAATAAAGAAGAGCAGAACTCGGTGAAATGGGAAAAAAAAATAGAGAAAAACGAGTGAGACAAATAGCTGGTTCTGAAAAAAAATTATAAAATTGACAAACTTCTGACAAAAAAAGAGAAAGAATATACAGATTACCAATGGCAGGAATGAAACTGGGGATATCACTACAGACTCCACAGACTCAAAAAGGATAAAGGGGAATATAATATGAATAACTATACACACGGCTAGGCACGGTGGCTCACACCTGTAATCCCAGAACTTCGGGAGGCCGAGGCGGCAGGATCACGAGGTCAGGAGATCGAGACCATCCTGCCTAACACAGTGAAACCCCATCTCTACTAAAAATATAAAAAATTAGCTGGGCATGGTGGCGGGCGCCTGTAGTCCCAGCTACTCGGGAGGCTGAGGCAGGAGAATGGCTTGAACCCAGGAGGTGGAGCTTGCAGTGAGCCGAGATCACGCCACTGCACTCCAGCCTGGGTGACAGAGCGAGACTCCATCTCAACAAATAAATAAATAAATAAATAAATAAATAAATAAATAAATAACTACACATAAAATTTGACAGTTTAGAAGACATGGACCAACTGCTTGAAAAATACAACTCACTCAATATTAAGCAGGTAATATGAGTAGCCCTATAACAATTAGGGAAATTTGAATTTGAAATTTTTTTAAACTCACCCTTTCACACCAAAAAAAAAAGCCAAAAAAAAATGAAAACAAACAAACAAACAAACAAACTTCTAAGTAGAGAATATTTCACTCAGAATTCTACCAATTATTTAACGAAGAATTAACACAAACTTTACCTAATTTCTTCCAGAAAAAAAGAAAAGTTAGGAATACTTCCCAGTTTACTTTATGAAGTAGTATTATCCTGATACCAAAACCAGAAAATGTCAGTACAAAAAATGCAAACTACAGACCCTCATGAATACAGATTTTTAAATTCTTAACAAAATACTAGCAAATAGAATTCAGTAATATATAAAAATAATCATATACCACGACCAAGTGGACTTTAGAGGGTACAAGGCAGGTTCAAGATCTGAAAAATCAGTCAATGTAATCTACCATATTAACAGGCTAAGAAAAGTCACATAATCACATCTATCAATGCAGAGAAAACATTAGACAAATTCAAAATCCACTCATGGTAAAGACTGGAATAGAGGGACATTTCTCAGAAAAAAAAAAATCTTAGAAAAACTGGAATAGAGGAGAAATTCCTCAACTTGCTAAAGAGCATCTACAGAAACTCCCGAAAGCTAACATTACATAATTAATGGTTAAAGGCTGAATGCTTGGCCGGATGCAGTGGCTCACGCCTGTAATCCCAGCACTTTGGGAGGCCAAGGCGGGCGGGGATTGCCTGAGCTCAGGAGTTCAAGACCAGCCTGGGCAACACAGTGAAACCCCGTCTCTACTAAAATACAAAAAATTAGCCAGGCGTGGTGGTGCGCACCTGTAATCCCAGCTACTTGGAAGGCTGAGGCAGGAGAATTGCTTGAACTCGGGAGGCAGAGGTTGCAGTGAGCCGAAATTGTGCCACTGCACTCCAGCCTGGGTGACAGAGTGAGACTCCATCTTCAAAAAAGCAAAAAAAAAAAAAAAAAAAGAAGAAGACTGAATGCTTTCCACGTAGATCAGGAACAAGACAAAGATGTCTACTGTTAGCACTTTTATTCAATATAGTGTTAAACTTTCTAGCCAGTGTGATAAGACATGAAAAGGAAATAAAAGGCATACAGATCAGAAATGAAGAAATAAAACTGTCCTGGCTGGGCACAGTGGCTCACACCTGTAATCCTGGCACTCTGGGAGGTCAAGGTGGGTGGATCACTTGAGGTCAGGTGTTCAAAACCAGCCTCGCCAACATGGTGAAACCCCGTCTCTACTAAAAATACAAAAAAATTAGCATGCCTGTAATCCCACCTACTCAGGAGGCTAAGGCAGGAGAATCACTTGAATCTGGGAGGCAGAGGTTGCAGTGAGCCGAGATCATGCCACTGCACTCCAGCCTGGGCAACAGAGGAAGAAAACGACTCAAAAGAAAAAGGAAGAAATAAAACTGTACCTATTTGTAGATGACATGATTGTTTACATTGAAAAATCCCAAGGAATCTAAAACAAACAAAAAATCCTCCTAGAACTAATAAGCGACTTTAGCAAAGTTGCAAGGTATAAGGCAAACATATAAATATCAATTGCATTTCAATATACTAGCAATGAACACACAAACACCAAAATTAAAAATACAGTATCATTTACAATTCCTCAAAAATAAAAAATAAATACTTAGGTGTAAATCTAACAAAACAGGTATAGGATTTGTATGCCGCAAACTACAAAATGCTGATGAAAGAAATCAAAGATCTAAATAAATGGAGAGCCATACCATGTTTATGGATTAGGAGATTCAACATAGTAAAAACATGTGAATTCTCCCCAAATTGATTTACAGGTTCAACACAATTACTATCAAATCTCAGAAGATTTCTTTGTAGGTATATTTATATGGGAAGTCAAAGGAACTAGACTAGCTAGAACAATTTTGGAAAATAATAAAGTAGGAAGAATCAGTCTACTTGATTTCAAGACATTACAAAGCTACCATAATCAACAGTATGAGGCATTGTCAGAGGGACAGACATATAGATCAACAACACAAAATGGAGAACCCAGAATAAAAGTATGCCCAACTGATATTTTCTTTTTTAATAGAGACAGGGTCTCGCTCTGTCACCTAGGCTGGAGTGCAATGGCGTTATTATATATCACTGCAGACTTGACCTCCCAGGCTCAAACAATCCTCCCACCTCAGCATCTCAAGTAGCTGGGACCACAAGTGTGCACCACCATACCCAGCTAATTTTTTTATTTCTTGTAGAGACGGGATCTTGCCGTGTTGTCCAGGCTGCCATCCTCTGGCCTCAGCCTCCCAAAGTGTTGGGCTTACAGGTGTGAGCCACCACGCCCAGCCCCAACTGATTTTCACAAAAGTAGAAAAGCGATTCAATAGAGAAAGGATACCCTTTCCAACAATGGAGCAACTGGACATCCACAACAAAAGTAACCTTGACCCAAGTCTCACAACTTTTGCAAAAATTAACTAAAAATGAATAACACACTTAAATGTAAATGTAAAACTATAAGACTTTCGGGAAAAATATAAGAGAAAATCTTAAAGAAGTGGCTCTAGGCAGCTGGGCGCAGTGGCTCACACCTGTATTCCCAGTACTTTGAGAGGCTGAGGCAGGTGGATCACCTGAGGTCAGGAGTTCAAAACCAGCCTGAGCAACATAGTGAAACCCAGTTTCTACTAAAAATACAAAAATTAGCTGGGCGCAGTGGCACAAGCCTATAATCCCAGCTTCTTGGGAGGCTGAGGCAGGAGAATCACTTGAGCCCAGGAGGCAGAGGTTGCAGTGAGCCAAGATTGTGCCATTGCACTCCAGCCTGGGCAACAGAGTTAGACTCTGTCTCAAAACAACCAAACAAACAAACAAAACAACAACAACAACAACAACAAAACTGGCTCTAGGCAAAGAATTTTGACATCAAAAGCACAATCTATAGAAGGGAAAATTAGCAAGTTGGACTTCATCAAAATTTAAAATTTTTGGTCTGTGAAAGACCCTGTTATAAGGTTGAAAAGATAAAAGAGAGACTGGAAGAACATATTTGCAGACCACATATCCAATAAAGAACTAGTTTCTAGTACATATAAAGAACTCACAAAATTCAACAGCTAAAAAAAAAAGAAATCTGGCTGGGCGCGGTGGCTCACACCTGTAATCCCAGCACTTTGGGAGGCCGAGGTGCGTAGATCACGAGGTCAGGAGATTGAGACCATCCTGGCTAACACGGGGTAAAACCCCGTCTCTACTAAAAATACAAAAAAATTAGCTGGGCGTGGTGGCAGGCGCCTGTAGTCCCCAGCTACTCGGGAGGCTGAGGCAGGAGAATGGCTTGAACCCGGGAGGCGGAGCTTGCAGTGAGCCGAGATGGTGCCACTGCACTCCAGCCTGGTGATAGAGTGAGACTCCGTCTCAAAAAAAAAAAACAAAAAAAAACAAAACAGGCCAGGCACAGTGGCTCACACCCATAATCTCAGCACTTTGGGAGGCCAGGATGGAAGGATGGCTTCAGCCCAGGAACATAGTGAGCACCTGTCTCTACAAAAAAATTTAAAAAATTAACCAGGCATGGTGGCGCATGGCTGTAGTCCCAGCAACTTTGGAGGCTGAGGCAGGAGGATCGTTTGAGGCCAGGAGTTTGAGGCTGCACTGAGCCATGATCATGCCATTGCACTCCAGCCTGTGTTACAGAGTGTGACGCTGTCTCTAAAAATAAAAAATTAAATTAAAAAATTTAAAAATATGAAATATATTTCACCCTTTATATTGACTTTAATTTCTATTTTGAAGAAAAATTATTTTAAAATTATATTTGAATATCATTAATTTTTTTAACCTTTGAGAAGAATTACAAATTTCAAAGTGATAAAAATGAGAAAATACTAAAGTAGAACTTGGGGGAAGCTGGGAAGAAAAAATAAAATTCACCACACAAAATTCACCCATTACTGATTAAAAAAAAGATGAAAATGAGTAAGAAAATTATTGTCATTAGATCGACAAGCTACCAGGTCATCTGAAATCCCTGACACTTGATCTCCTTTACTAGAATATTTAATTATATCAGAATATTGTGAATAAACAGATGGCCCCCGCTGCACTCTTGCCCCAAGCCTTGCAAATATGAGGGGCACGCCTGCTTCCTGCTTCCTGCTCCCTCCTTGTGATCTGACAGCACTCCTGAATAGGAGAACACAGTTATAAATACCTACATCCAGAATCTAACTCTGTTTTACAGAGAAACACAAAGCAGTTTCACACAGCATTGCTATTATACACTGAATTTTCTAGGAATGCAACTATCATGTAACTTAAGGAAAGACAGTACTTTGCTTTATTCAAAATGTTTACCCTGAGCTGTCAACATTTCAAAGTCACTGATGTCAACACGCCTGGTATTTGAATTCTCAACACTGCACCCATGAGTCAGTCTCATTTGTAGCATTCAAGCTTAAGGCAGCAATCTCCACTAATGTACAAGCATCTGTCTTCTAGTGGAGTCAGGCTCCAGCACTTACACACTGATATGTCACTTCATTAGAAATTATTTGCCTTTTATTTCTTCTCTACATTATAGGTACAGCATTATATTGATTTTTTTCAGTAATGTATATGGACTGGTGAATTTCATTTTAGGATATTAAAGGGCACATTACAGAATCGTCATCATTTAAAAGGGTAACTGGACTACTAAGTTGAGGCCTCTGCCATGAGCAGCTTCAGAAGGCCTGCTAGTGTTCCCTTCTCCTTGCCTGCATGCACAGAAGGCCACACAAGGGAAACAGCCATGGCCAGCTGATAAGAACAGGGGCCATCATGCAAGCAGAAGGGGAGGACAAGGCCACCTTCCAACAGGCACTAAAGTAACAATGAGAACAACAAAAACAAAATACATAGAAAAGAAAAAAATGGCAAAATTGCACTTCAGGCTTTAATGCCCTCCTTACTTTCACCCCAGATAATGCAAAAATTTTTCCTCTTCCTTCGACAGAGCGTAAATGATATGACCTGGCTGGGCGCTGTGGCTTACGCCTATAATCCCATCACTTTGAGAGCCTGAGGCAAGAGGACTGCTGGAGCCCAGGAGCTCCAGGCTACAGTGAGCTATGGTCACGCCACTACACTTCAGCCTGGGCAAAAGAGTGAGAGTCTGTCTCAAAAAAAAAAAAAAAAAAAAAAAGATGACCTGATAACCACACATTCTCCAGTAGTATCCCTCTCAATTTCTGATTTTTGGACCAATACTAGCTTCCCTCTGTAAAGATAGGTGATCACAGAAAACTCTCTAGATCTATCTGGAAAGCTCTGGCAGATCATAAAAGGGGGAGCAGCTGAGGATTCCAAGTAAATATGCACCTATGAAACAAAGTTACTGGTAGAAATGGGAGATTTCAAAAAAATCTGCAATTTGCATTCTCATTTGAAATTCAAGATTTGATAGCTATGAAAGTTGAGCAAGAAGTCATGAAGAAATAATTTGAAAGCACAGAAATCAGACTAAAGATTAAAAACATAATAGTTGAAGAAAAGAAACATACAAAGCAAAGCACATTAGATGATAAACTTTGAAAAATCAGAGCATGAATGAAAGTGATCACAAGAATCAGAGATAACATATGTGACATGGAAGAAATACCCAGGAGACCAAATACACACATACTTTAATTTCCTGGAGGAGACTCCAGGGTAAAAAGAGAAGCAATAATCAAAGTAATAACAGCATGCCTAGAAGGCATTTAATAAAAGCCATGACCAAATCCTAATAACTCAAAGGAATATAGGAGGAGAAGACTTAACATGTAAAACAAAGCCCCAAGCCAACTTTCTGCATCATATTTAATCAGAAAACACCAAAATCACCCACAGTAAAGTGAGAGCAAGTCAAGATGTCACTAGCATTTAACACAACTGGGGTCACACATGCACAAAACAGCAAGAACCAGAAATAAAAGAATAACTCCTGGAATGGAGGAGACAAAAGGCATTGTTATCTGCAGCTGATATGACTGTCTGCTTGGAAGACACCTGAGAATCAACTGAAAACCATTAGTGCTAAGAAGAGAGGATGGTAAGGGAGCGAGCCAGTTCCAAACTAAATATTTTTTAAAGTATCTAATTAGAAAATATAGTCAGTGACAGTGCTAATACCAAAACTGGAATGATGCAGAGAAGATTAGCATGGTTCCTGTGTAAGGATGACATTCAAAGTCGTGAAATAGTCCATATGTTAGAAAATAAGAACAAAGTACAATGAATAAAGAATCCCATTCACAATAGGAATAAAAGTATAAAACAAAGGCATAAACTCAACAAAAAGGAAGGAAGGAATGAAGGGAGAGAAGAAGAGAGGAAGGGAGGGAAGGCATAAACAAAGGTATAAACTCAACAAAAAGGAAAGGAGGAGAGGAGAGCAGGGAAGGAGGGAGAAAGGAAATAGCAAACTTCAGGGGAAGAGCCCAAATAAAAGGAAGAGAGGACATGGAGAACTGGAGAGACAGCCAGGACCTGGATGGAAAGAGTTGGCAAAGATGTCAGTATTCTTCGGGGAGGTGCAGGGAGAGCTCCCCACTGTCTATACCACAGGCACCCAGGGAGGACCCAGGAGAGCTGCCATCCCCAAACCAGCACTGCACCTTGTGCCAACAGAGAAAGTCACAGAAAACCCTTGGCCCCACTCCAAAGCCCTGACTAAATCATGTACTCCCGGGAAACGCAGGGCCACGACACCACCATGTGTGTCCTCAAGCTTAGAATTCAGCACCTTAACTAGTGCAGAGTTCATAACATCCTCACAACTGGGTTTACCTCAGACACCACCAGAAGCTGAAAGCCAGTCTGGTCCATCCATGTATGATGGATAAACAAAGTGTGGCTATCCAGACGATCGAATATTATTCAGCCTTTAAAAGGAAGGAAACTCTGACACATGTCCCATTGTGGATGAACCTGAAGGATACTATGCTAAGGGAAATAAGCCAGTCCCAAAAGGATACTGTATGATCTCACTTGGATGCAGAATCTCAAACAGTCAAACTCACAGAAACAGAAAGTTGAGTGGTGGCTGCCAAGGGCTGCAGACAGTGCGACAGGGAGTCGTTCAGTGGGTACAGATGCGTAAGCTTGAGGGACCTGCTATGCAGCATTGCCCCTGAATTACATGCTTAAAAATGTGTTCAGAGGGTAGATCTCCTACCACAATGTGAAAATGAATTAAATGTAGAATAAAATAGAAGAAAATGAAAATACAGACAGTTCCGAACTTATGATGGTGTGACTTACCCTTTTTGACCTTAAGGTGATGCAAACATGACGCGCATTCAGTAGAAGCTGTACTTCAAGTGCCCAGACAACCATTCTGCTTTTCACTTCCAGTAAATTAGGTTGATGGAAAAGTAACTGCAATTTTTTTGTTTTGTTTTGTTTTTGTTTTTGTTTTTTGAGATGGAGTCTCGCTCTGTCGCCCAGGCTGGAGTGCAGTGGCGCGATCTCGGCTCACTGCAAGCTCCGCCTCCCGGGTTCACGCCATTCTCCTGCCTCAGCCTCCCGAGTAGCTGGAACTACAGGCGCCCACCACCATGCCTGGCTGATTTTTTGTATTTTTAGTAGAGACGGGGTTTTACCGTGTTAGTCAGGATGGTCTCCATCTCCTGACCTCGTGATCCGCCCACCTCGGCCTCCCAAAGTGCTGGGATTACAGGCATGAGCCACCGCGCCTGGCCTGCAATTTTTAAAATGGCAAAAATCACAATTACTTTTTTGCACCAATCTAATACAATAAATTATGTAAGATATTCAACACTTTATTATAAAATAGGCTCTGTGTTAGATGATTTTGCCCAAATGTAGGCTCATATGAGTGTTCTGAGCCTGTTTAAAGCAGGCTGGGCTCAGCTATGATGTTCGGAAGGTTAAGTGCATTAAATGTGTTTTCAACTTAGCATATTTGCAGCTTATGATGAGTTTATCTGGAAGTAACCGATGAAGTAAGTGGAGGAGCATCTATACCGAATCTGAAATTTTTTTTATCACAAAATATACTCATTGATAAATGACCTCTCTAAAATTATGAAAACAAGAACAAACTCATTCCTGGCATTCTGTGATTTTCCAGGTTCTCATCTCCAAAGCGATTCAGCCCCACCTGCCCCAGGCCCCTCCCTTGAGTCCCCAACACTTCTTCAGGGCCCTTCAGAACTCACAGTGAAATCAACATTTCCCATAGGCTGAGCTCTCTGAATGTCCCCTCACTTCCACAGCTGGATGAATCCCACCACTGCCTTCCCAAGGCCAGTCTGTTCATTTTCTCACATTTCCCAAACTGAAGGTCTCGCTGTACCTCATACCTATGACTGTTGCTTCCCCCCGTCTGTTCCCCTCCCCACTGTAAACAGACACCTTCCATTTCTGCAGTTCACACAGCAGGACCTGGCATCCTCTTCCCCTCCCTGTTGCCATCTACACATCCCCACCCCATTCTCCCCATTCCCTGACATCCCTGGCTCATGGCCCTCCTCCTTCTGTGGCATCCAAGAAACTGACCCACCCACCTTCCGGCCTCTCAACTCCAAAACTTCCAACATCCCCTTCCTCCACTCTCACCCCAGCAAGCCAACCCATCCATGGTTTTCTTTCAGCCCCTGTTTCCTAATCTGCAAGTCCTGGTACCAATATTTATATCCCATGGACTTGGACAGTCTGCTTAATCTCTTTATGCCTCAGTCTCCTGATCTATAAAATGGGAATGATAATAAGGATACTATTTCATAGGGCTGTAGTAAAGACTAAAGGAGACCATATTCATCGCACACTGAGAACAGTGGTTAGCACATAGTGAGCAAAGAATGCTAGTCACCGGTAATAGTAATTCTACAACAGGTAAAGATGATGAGGGAAGAAAACAAGTCTCCCTACCTGAGACAAACAGAGTAGCAGAAAAAAGAACTCTGGAGTCGGACCTGGGTTTGAATTTGGGAACACTACCTATCCTGGAGCTTTCGCTTCTTCACATGTCAGATGGGGATAAGAATACTTACCTTCCATGTTAGACGAGTTCCCCTCCTCATGTCAGAGAGGACAGAGTTATTCCCTCCTCATGTCAGAGAGGACAGGTGTCTCAGGTTGGAGCCTCAGGCATTACCTGGTTGTGATGCAGGTAACTGGGAGCATGCAGGGGTCCAGGTATCAGCGAGGACACTGACAGTTTCTTGGCAGTGAGCCAATCACGACTGCTTGCCCTTACTGATCACCATCTGAGATGTCTGAGATTCTGCAAGCATCAGAGTTTGGCCACAGTAAAACTAGCCCTTCACATTTATTTTGCCTTTTAGAAAACACTGATATCAGTTTAAAATAGTGACATGTCTTTGGATCCCACGTGTGCTATATAAAGAAACATCTAAATGGGCACTTCCATGTCTCGTGGTTTTAAAAATGTTTTAAATGTGGCTACATGAACCTCCTTCTAGCCGACTGCTGTCTCCAGAAGAGATCCACGTTCACTCCTCATCCCTTGGGAAGGCCCATCAGATTTCATCTCACTCATCCCACTGCTAACATGAGCAGAAATCTTACCCTACACCAACTTTACAATCCATCAGGAGAATCCAGCAATCCCACTTCCAGGTATATACCCTCAAAAAGTCAAAGCAGTGTCTCAAGGAGATATCTGTACACCTGTGTACAGAGCAGCATTATTCACAATAGCCAAAAGGTAGAAATAGGCCAAGGGTCCTTCAACAGGTGAATGGATAAAGAAGATACGGTATATCCAGACAAGGAAATATTATTTAGCCTCAAAAACGAAGGAAATTCTGACACATGCTACAGTGTGGATGTACCTTGAGGATATTATGCTGAGTGAAATAAGCCGGTTGCAAAAGGACAAACACTGTGTGATGCCACTCCTATGAGGAACTGAGAGCAGTCAGATTCAGAGACAAAGAACAGAATGGTGCTTGCCGGGAGCTGAGGGAAGGGGAATGGGAAGCGAGTGTTTAATGGGGACAGAGTTTCACTTTGAGAAGATGAAACAGTTCTGGAAATGGAAGGTGGTGATGGTTGTACAACAATGTGAATGAACTTAATGCCGCTGAACTGTACACTTAAAAATGATTATGTGTATTTTTCCACAATTCAAAAACCAGGAAAGTTGAGAGCCAGCTGGCTCTCCCCTTCAGAATATATCCAGACGCAGCTGCTGTTCCCCGGTGCCATGGCTGCCAGCCCAGCCCAGGTCACTTCTTTCCTAGACCACAGCCCTAGCCTCCAAGCTGGTCTGCTTACCCCATCTGTCCACTCTCAACAAGCAGCCCAAAGCAGTCCTTTTAAAATGAGGTTGGGTCATATCACTGCTCTGTGCAAAACCTTGCAAAAGTTCCCCAGTGGAGTCAAGAGTAAAAAATCCAAAGTCCTGACAGTGACTCGCAAGCTCCCCCATCTTTCTATCCTCCTCCCCAACTGCTTGTTCACTCTGCTGCGGCCCCACTGGTCTTCCTGCCACTCCCTTGACGTGGGGGACACGGGCCAGCCGTCATCTCTGCCTGGAATGTCCACCACTCCAGCTGTTCACCTGGCTTTCTCATCTCTCCCACGTCTTGCTCATGTACCTTTATGAAGGCAGGGATGTTTGTCCTGCTCACTCATATAGTCCTTTTGCCTAGAACAGTGCCAGGCACATGGTAGCCACTCAAAGATATTTGTTGAATTAATCAATAAATACAAGCATTGTTTCTAAAGTCAGAAACATTTGTCAGAACCAGAACTTGTAGCAGAGGAGAAGGTGGGTGCTTTTGACAAGGCTGCCACCTAGTGGCTGGATTCCTTGACAGCCTTCTGGGGGTTCCACAACCTTTCACTTGACCCTGGGGCAGGCAGGGAGGACCCTGCACACAAGGAACCTCCTCATTCTCTAAAAGCCACACCACTGTGTAACATGAGATACACACAAAGGACACCTCAGGGAGAAAAAGAATAATAAGAACTGGAATCCAGGCCAGGCGCAGTGGCTCATGTCTGTAATCCCAGCACTTTGGGAGGCCAAGGCAGGAGGAGCCCAGGAGTTCAAGACCAGCCTGGGCAACATGGCGAGACCCCGGTGGTGTGCACCTGTAGTCCCAGCTACTCGAGAGCTGGGGCAGGAGGATTGCTTGAGCCCAGAAGTTGGAGGCTGCAATGAGCTATGATTGCACCACTGCACTCCAGCCTGGACAACAGAGCAAAACTCCGTCTATAGAAAAAACAACAACAACAAAAAAAAGAATTCAGAATTCTTTTTTGGAATTCAGATAAGTGAATAATATTAATGAAATAAAACCAATTAGAAAAAGTGGATGTTCCATATGGAAACCTGTGGTGGGCACGGGAGAGAAAAAGTAAAACTGGTTTGACCTTTCCAAAGCCAAGGTTCCTGGTCTAGATAAAATAACCATGCTCTTCCTATGGCTATTGTGAGCATGAATAGAGACAGCAGCTCAGAGAAGCCGGCACAGTGCAGGCAGGTGGCAGGGCTCAAAAATAGAAGCCCCTTTTGTGATTTTTGCTGTGTTCTTGCTATTGTTGGAGCAAACTTTGGCATAGCCCCAGAGAACAGCATAAGGCCTGGAAACCAGAAACTGGAAATAGTCTTGAAAAGAATGAGGAAGCTCATGCCTCCCCATTCAAGCAGTTCCAATACCACCCATGACAGATGGCAAGTTGGCGCCCTAGGCAAGGCTGAGACAATAATATAATTATTACGACCAAAAGATTACATGATTTCTCCTGGAGTAGATTTCAGGGATTCTCCCTGAGGACAGATCAGCTCCCAGGAAAGGGTGCAATAAAATATAGGCTGACTATAGATTTAATTCTTGTAAGTTCAAAATCACAACACTGTATTAAAATTTCATGACAAAAATCTTTCTCAAAATTAATACAATTGAAATAAAATATAGATAATACCATGCTATGCATCGTAGAAAACTTGTCCCCAAGTCAAAAGTACAAAAACTAAGTCTTGCATGGCATAAAAAGAATTCTGCCCCCTACAAGTCTAATATATAGTTGATTTCCTGTGAAAAGAAATTTC
The DNA here is from genome assembly GCF_000001405.40 of Homo sapiens. NCBI lineage: Eukaryota > Metazoa > Chordata > Mammalia > Primates > Hominidae > Homo > Homo sapiens. The sequence continues at coordinate 20,120,552 of NC_000017.11, read as the reverse complement.
CTCTGAAAGGAAATCAACTATATATTGCCAGAAGTCCCCCAATTTCCTTTAATTTTATTCTTTTCCTTCACAGCTGAGCCTATAGAAAATTGGTTTAAGTCCAGTGAACATCTAATTTCTAACACACTAAATAATTTCCATCTTTGTATCAACTGTATTTTTTTTTTGAGACTGAGTCTCACTGTGTTGCCCAGGCTCGAGTGCAGTGGCACAATCTCGGCTCACTGCAGCCTCCACCTCCCAGGTTCAAGAGATTCTTCTGCCTCAGCCTCCCAAGTAGCTGGGATTACAGGCACCCGCCACAACACTTGGCTAATTTTTTTCTATTTTTAGTAAAGAAGGGGTTTCGCCATGTTGGCCAGGCTGGTCTCCAAATATCTCAGGTGATCCGCCTGCCTCGGCCTCCCAGAGTGCTGGGATTACAGGCATAAGCCACCCCACCCGGCAGTACTGAGATTTTAAAACCCAAGCTTATTACTACAGGGTGAGTATCCCTTATCCAAAATGCTCAGGACCATAAGTGTTCTGGATTTCTGATTTTTTATTTTGGAATATTTGCATTATACTTACCAGTTCAGCATCTCTAATCCAAAAATCCAAAATCCAAAATGCCCCAGTGAGCATTTCCTTTGAGCATCATGTCAGTGCTCAAAACATTTCAGATTTTGAAGCATTTGGGATTTTGAATTTTTGGATTTGGGATGTTCAGCCTGTACAACTAGTTGCTGTAATCCCAACCAGCACTTTCATTTTCCTCGTTTTCACGCATGTAAAATAGACAAAATGCAATCAAATATTGAAATGATTACCGAAACAATACTATACAACTGTAGAGGTGATAACACCTGCAACAGACAGGCACTGCATACCACTGCTCCTAATGGTCTGTCCTAATAGACTGGTATTCACCTATTCCAAATGAGGCAGTCTGGGGACAGCATGACAATGTACAAAAGTATCAGCTGTCCAAAGGTGCTACAAAAATGTTGAGGACTACTGACATTTAAAAATAAAAGCTCTTGGCTGGGTGTGGTGGCTCACGCCTGTAATCCCAGCACTTTGGGAGGCTGAGGCAGGTGGATCACCTGAGGTTGGGAGTTCAAGACCAGCCTGACCAACATGGAGAAACCCGATCTCAACTAAAAGTACAACATTAGCTGGGCGTGGTGGCGCAAGCCTGTAATCCCAGCTACTCAGGAGGCTGAGGCAGGAGAATCACTTGAACTCAGGAGGCGGAGGTTGTGGAGCGCCATGGCACTCCAGCCTGGGCAACAAGAGCGAAACTCCGTCTCAAAAAATAAAATAAATTTAAAAAAATAAAAGCTTCAGAAACAAAATGTAATTTTCAAATTCAACCCTATTAACTCAAATAATTTAATTTCACTTAAATGAAGTAACTGACAAACAATTTGTATAACTAGGAGAATAATAACTGTCACTTACTTTTCATTACAGTCTATATAAATTATTCACAGACCTTTTTCCCAACATCACTGTATAGTAGATATGTAGTTATTTCCTTCCTTTGACAAATAAAGGATGCCAATGCCCCTTGGGGCATGGGAACTTGTCTACTTTAGGAGCCAATATGAAACCAAGGTCTTTTCCTAGAATCCTGTGCAAAGGAGCAGATGCTATAAGCAAACAATAAAAAAAAATCCACCAACAAATGGCTAAAGAACACTACAAAAGGCAAGTAGAAGAGGAAGGATTTTGTGAAGGCAAAAAAAAGTTTAGTTTATATTTATATTGTCTAAATTTATGTTGTATTTACCTTGTTTTTAATTTTGTATAGCAATGTATGCATATGTTTAAAATGTTCAAACAGCACAGGAAAATCTAAAATGAAAAAATTTTCCTCTGCCACTATCAATTCTGCTAACTCTCCTCAAAGATAATCATTCTGACATCCTTCCAGGAAAAAAAAGTTGATTTTAATAATTAATATATACTTCTAAAACCAAAACCAAATTAAGGTTATACCATATGCACCATATTATTTTCCCCACTTAGTAATGTATATTGGAAATCTTTCCCTATCAGTACACACAAATCTACTGTATTCATTTTCATGCCTGTATACTATTCTACTGCACCAAAATCACATTGTTCAACCAGCCCTGTATGAATACATACTTAGGTTGTTTCCCATATTATACTATTATAAATAATCATGCAACTGAACTTGCTCATACATGTTGGCATCCTTTTCCAAGAATATCAGTAACCGTTAAGTGCTAAATAATAGAAATGCTTGGTGAAAGATTAAATTAAGATTTAGATAGATATTACCAACTTGTCCTTGTGCATCAACCATATGTGGCTCTTTACACCCTTAATGACACCAGAAATGATAAACTGTTTTAATTTTTGCTAATGTATTAGCGGAAATTATATATCTAATTGTTGTTTTGCTTTATTTATTTATTTATTTATTATTTATTTATTGTGAGACAGGGTCTCACTGTTGCCCAGGCCGGAGTGCAGTGGCATGATTTCAGTTCACTGCAACCTTCACTTCCCAGGTTCAAGTGATCCTCCCACCTCTGTCTCCCAACTAGCTGGGACTACAGGTGCACGCTTCCATGCTTGGCTAATTTTTGTATTTTTTGTACAGACAGGGTTTCACCATTTTGCCCAGATTGGTCTCGAACTCCTGGGCTCAAGCAATCAGCCCGCCTCAGCTTCCCAAGGTGCTAGGATTACAGGCGTTGAGCCACCGCACCCAGCCTTGCTTTACATTTCTTAAGTAAGGCTTAGTATCTTTCCACTAGCCATCTGTATTTTTCATGGGCGCTATATATATTTCTATTATATTATTTTTCCTTTTCTTTTTTTTTTTTTTTTTTGAGACAATCATCCCACCTCAGCCTCCCAAGCAGCTGGGACTACAGGCACGCACCCAGCTAATTTTTATTTATTTATTTTTGTAGAGATGAGGTCTCACTATGTTGCCCAGGCTGGTCTTCAACTCCTGGGCTCAAGCAATCCTCCCACTTTGGCCTCCCAAATTGCTGGGATTATAGGCATGAGCCACCACATCTGGCCTATTTTTCTTTTTCTTATTGATTTGTATAAACTCTTTGTAAATAAGCATTTTGTTACATGTATTGCAAATAATTTCTTCTTTTTGCAAAGAAGTTTCTTATATTTATGTAAGTACATTTTTCATCTTTTCCTTTATGGCTTCTGTGTCTGTTCCTACTTAGAAAGGTTCTTCCAAGGCCAAGACTACAAATTAATTCTCTGATGCTTTCTCTTTGTAGTCTTGCAGTTTCATTTTTTAATATTTAAATCTTTAATCCTCCTAGAATTTATTTTGATGGGAGGAATGAGATAGGGATCCAGCTTTATTCCTTCCTAAATACTTACTCGGTCACATTTTTGAGTGAATTATCCACCGTGATATGAAATGCCACCTTTCCCCTGTACTAAATCTTCCAGTGTATTCTGCACTTTGTCCACCGTTCCACTGAGCTGCCTAGCACCTCTTCAGTTCCAGAATGCCTAAGGTTAATCCCCTGATTAGTATTGTCAGAATTTTCCTGGTTACTCTAGAATATTTATTCTGCTAGGTCAGGATTTCTCAGCAGCAGTACTGTTGACATTTTTGGGCAGGACACTCTCCACTGCAGGGACGGTCCTGCGCATCCTAGGATGTTTAGTATCTCTGGCTTCTACCCACTAGATGGCAGTAGCAGCCCCGAGTCATGACAGCCAAAAAAAAAAAAAAAAAAAAAAAAAAAAAAGTCTCCAGACACTGCCAATTGTTCCCTGGGTTGGAACTGGGGGACAAAATCGTCCCCCATTGAGAACAACGGGTTTTAGATAAATTCCAGTTATTTTATTCAGGTTTCCACTCCCAAATTCCCACTGAATCAAGATGAAAAGGAATTCTTAGAATAATTCAGACATCCTTATTACATTTTATATCTTGTACTAAGTTTAATCTTAATTCTATTTAATCTTCCTAAGAATCACATATATGCTTTCACTTATTTATGTCTTCTTTGAAGGACATAAGACTTCTCCTTCAAAAGAGTTTTAAGATTTTTTTTATAGATGCTCACACTATTTCTAAATATTTTGCCCTTTCATTCCTTTATAAATAGAACTGTTTCTTACATTATTATCTTTTCTAGTCACTGGTAAGAAAGCTACTGATGGCCGGTCATGGTGGCTCATGCCTGTAATTCCAGCACTTTGGGAGGCCAAGGTGGGTGGATCACGAGGTCAGGAGATCGAGACCATCCTGGCTAACATGGTGAAACCCCATCTCTACTAAAAATACAAAAAATTAGCTGGGCGTGGTGGCGGGCACCTGTAGTCCCAAGCTACTCGGGAGGCTGAGGCAGGAGAATGGCGTGAAACTGGGAGGCGGAGCTTGCCGTGAGCCAAGATCGCGCCACTGCACTCCAGCCTGGGCGACAGACCGAGACTCCATCTCAAAAAAATAAATAAATAAAATAAATAAAAAAGAAAGTTATTGATATATTATAGTCTACAACTAGCCACATACAGAACTCTTATTGTCTCTAATAGAATTTCAGAAAATTCTAAGACAATTTTCAGGAAATTCAAAGCATACAATGTTATTATCTGATTACAATCATCATTTTGTTCCCTCATTTCCAATATTTATGTACTTCTACATCTCTCTTATCTTACTGCCTTGGTTAGTATCTACCGAAAATTTTAGATGACTGGTGATAGTAAGCAACCTTGAATTATCTTTGACTTTAATGGGAATCGCTGGCTTTTGTTTGTGACACATACACATCATTAAAGAAGTCTCTGCACATGTATAGTCTATCAAGAGTTTGTTGTTAGAAAGATTGTTAATTGTGTCACATGTATGTTCTGTATCTATAGAGATAACTACAGTTTTTCTTCTTTGGCCTGTTAATATGGTATGATAGATTATATTCCAAAATTTCTTAATATTCATCCATTCTTGGGTGGCATAAATTCACTTAGTTGTGATGTACACTACTGTTCTTTTAATTTATTGTTGAATCCTATGCACTAATATTTTGATCTCCAATTTTTTTTATTTTTATTTATTTATTTATTTATTTATTTGAGACAGTCTTGCTTTGTCACTCAGGCTGGAGTGTAGTTGCACGATCTCGGCTCACTGCAACCTCCACCTCCCGGGTTCAAGTGATTCTCCTGCCTCAGCCTCCTGAGTAGCTGGGATTACAGGCACCCGCCACCGCGCCCAGCTAATGTTTGTATTTTTAGTAGAGATGGGTTTTCACCATGTTGGCCAGGCTAGTCTTGATCTCCTGACCTCATGATCCACCCACCTTGGCCTCCCAAAGTGCTGGGATTACAGGTGTGAGCCACCGTGCCCGGCTGATCTCAAATTTTTATATTAATATTTGATCATGGGATCAGTCTTTTTTTTTCCTTTTCCACACTTTACATCATTTATTAATGCAGTATACATTAGATCTAAAATCTGCAGTTTCTAAACACACCATGTTATATCTTTCGGATCCTTCTGCAGTTTTAGGTTATTTCTACAGAGGTACCTTTAAGTGAGTGAATAACACATTCTATAATTCCTGAAAATATAGTACAAAGTGAAATGATTTAAATATAATTTAGGCAAATGTTGATTATGAAAATAGATAATCTCTCAATACAATACTTCTCTGTCTTGGTAAAAATAATAAAGCAAAGAAAATAATTCATTTCTGAAGTTGCTTTCCTTCACTTGTAAAGGTCTGATCTTCTCCCACTATGCATATGTGCCCTTTACTGTCAAAGAAAGCTTTGCATATGTAGATATAGAAGAATACACTACATAAATACTAAAGATGAGTCATTCTCCCAAAGGAGACAAAAGTGGTTTTCAATGATTCCTTGCCTCATGTTGATGAGTCTGTAGAATTCAGAACCCTGTGGACACAGCTAACATCCCTGCTCTTGGGGTAGATGTAAGGACACCAGGTCATTGGTAGGGAGATACAGGCCCTTCCTCTACTGTTGCAGAGAGAAAATGACTCAAGAAAAACAGGCTAAATTTCACTAAAAAAAAAAACAAAAAAAAAAACAGGCTGGGCGCCATGACTCACGCCTGTAATCTCAGCACTTTGGGAGGCTAAGGCAGGTGGATCACAAGGTCAGTAGATCAAGACCATCCTGGCTAACATGGTGAAACCCTGTCTCTACTAAAAATACAAAAATTAGCTGGGCGTGGTGGTGTGCACCTGTAGTCCCAGCTACTCGAGAGGCTGAGGCAGGAGAATCGCTTGAACCCAGGAGGCGGAGGTTGCAGTGAGCCAAGATTGCGCCACTGCACTCCAGCCTGGCGACAGACTGATACTCTGTCTCAAAAAAACAAAAACAAAAACAAAAAGTAAAAAATGTAAGTAAAAGAATCATAGGTGCTGACTGATTGGTGTTACATCTTGGACCAGCCAAATGCCTTTATTTTTACTTTCTTTATATATACTTTTTTGGTGGCTGTAATCAAATATATGTTTAAAATTCCTCATTCCCCACTGTAGGGTTCTAGCAGCAATTATATTACATTGCCTTTTAACAGGCAACTCTACCATATTCATTCATATTGTGTAAGCTTTGATTGCAGTAGATCTGGATTTAATATCTATTTCTAAGATGGCCCTATGTAAAACTATTTGGTATTTGAATTAAATGAATATTAATGGTGCACCTTGGTTTTTTGGTTTTGAAGTATCTTCCTATGCTTGTGCTGATTGTATGAGAAAACTAGGCTAATAGTGTGAATAGACAGAATTGCTTGGTCTGGTGTTGAGTGGAACTTGCCTAGAATGACATTCTGAGAAATGCTCATTTATAAGTGTTGTAGTGATAGGTAAGTTCTTCCTCCATCCGGAGTTCCACTGTACCTTTGGAATGACAGTGATGTACAACGATGTCTTTCTTTCCACTCTGTCTCAATCAGTAAGAACTGGATATTACTGTAATTTAGCTACTGTTTTGTTCTAAAAAGTAAACATTATAAAAATGAACCTGAAGAGTCTTAGGGAGTCTGATCTTACCATATTCATATGCTGTGACAAGTATTTAAAGAAGGAGGCATCACTAAAGCTATTTATAAACCTGAACAACCTTTTCCAAGTTTTCGTAAAGTTTTTACAATTTAAATATCCATACTGCATCTAGTATTCAATAAATATAAATTGCATATGTTGTGCTTTCCATAAATTAAAATCCTCAAATGCATCTCAAACCAAGATGGTATTTCCACATCATGCCTATTTAAAAGCAAATGTAATAGATACTATTCCTGGTCATAAAACCAGGTAAACCCCCCTACCCTGTTCAAAAGGCAGCAATATCTAGTTTCCCTATATCTATTAAATGAGTGCTTTTCTGTTAAAAATCAGAATATGGAAAAAAAAGTCAATTTTTTCCCTTATGCACCACTGAGAACAAGCATAATCCTCTAAATTTTTTTTTAACTTCCTTACAGTGTTATTTCTTCTAGACAACTGAGCGGGTGGAGAAAGAAAAGTGATAAGGAAAACATTTTCATCTTGTACATGTTCCTCCAGCCCCTAAAATTCTCATCTAACACTTTGTGACATGTGTAGTGGTGTTAGCATCTCTTCAAATCTAGCTCCCTTCATGTTGGACCCTCTCAGGTTGGCTTCTTGAAGATCACACCCAGACAGATCACAATTCTCTAAATCAGTTCCTGCCAGAGTTGCTCCTCTGAGGTTACAGTTCTTCAACTTTGCATTTTTTAAGGTAGTCACTCTCAGGTTAATTCCTGTTATCTGACTTCCTTCCATATCCACACCTTTCAGGTTAGCACCTTCTAAATTGGCTTTAAGACCGGAAGGATCCTCAAAATTACACAGTTTCAGGGATGCTCCTTCTACATTAGAACAGAGTGTCTTGACTCCCTGAAGATTTGCACAGTCAAGCACTGATCCAGAGAGATCAGCTTGTTTAAGATTTGCACAGCAAAGATTTGCATGTGCAAGACTGCAGCGGCTTAAACTGGCCATTTTGAAGTTAATGTTTCAAAGGTCCAAATGAGAAAGATCAGCACCACTGAAGTTCAAACCTTGGCATCGCAGTTCTGACTTGATTGAAGTTGCCAGCAAAAATCAGACAAATTCCTTTCAGGATATTGGTGAATGATCCTCCGGTGGTTTAGAATTCTTTATTGCCATTTCTAGGTGTTCAATCAATGAGTCAATACAAAAAATCTTGCTTCTTCTAACATATCCAATAAATTAATGCCATCATGTACAATAAGCTCTCCATGACACAAGTAGTTCAAAATGGGTTCAAAGTACTCAGGACTTCGGTCAATTAAGAAAGCTCCTCTGTGATCTTGCTTATTTCCCAGACATCTTTGTCCTTAAACATGTGGGCCAGCATACTATCAGGTTCTTTATTCACTAAAGTGCTCTGTGTGGTTGTAAAGTACCGCCCCTCCAGCATTTAATGTTAGCCAGTCTATGTGGAATCCTGACAATCCCTCAGGTGGTTTAGAATCTGTCAGGATCAATAAATGGCTCTCCTTCACACACAAACAAAACATCATCATCCCTGATCAAAGCAATATCATCAATCAGTCCACCTTTGCCATTATACACACTGGTGGCTTTTATGCCAAGTTTACCACTGGCCACAGAAAGCAAATCAGATAAAGTTCCACATACAGCAACCACCTTTCCCTTCTTGGGGCTGCCGTTCAGGAACAGGGCCACCCACCTCATCGCGCTGCCCCCCCCCTGGGTCCTGAGTGAGCCACCACCCTCCCACCCGATCCTCCTCCCACCTTTTTCTCCTTCCGCCTTTCCCCTCCCTCCACCCACTGGGATTCGCCTCCTTTCGCCACCTTCCTGCTTTTGGGGACACACCACACACACGCAATTTGTCCCACACCCGGGACTCGGCTGGTCCTCATTCCCACCCTGCCCCTAGGCTCCTCCCAGTCTGTCTTTTTTTGAGTGGGGCTTTATTAACTTTTGGGATCACTGTTAGGCTGGCTTGATAAAAATAAATGGTACTTTTGTTTATTGTATTTTAAAAACCAAGTGTGTGTGTATGTTTAATACAATATCAGTATTTACAATGGTAAAGCCATTATATAGAAAAACCAGGCCATTCCCTTTATATCCAAGAAAAGAATACCTTGTATGGTTTTCACAGATTCAACTTTTTAAAAACTGATAAATTAAAATATACCTTTTGAGATCTAGCCTGAATGTGACTTTTACGAAAAGAGCACAAAAATTATAAGTGCCCCTTCAACACATTAAAAATTAGTAACGATGTATTTCAGTTATTTTTCCCGTCTTAGACAATTTAGCAATACACTGAGGGCTGCACTGTAAGAGTTAGGCCATGAAAGCTTAAGAGTTATTATCTATATGCACAAAGAGAGAATTAAATAAATTCTTTGATATTTCATGTTTCACATGCTCTGAACTCAAATATAATGATTGAAAAACCCTTTTCTGATTCTTAAAAAATGAGTAACACTGAGAAGGTTCACAGCTTCCTGTTGCCACTGCCGTCCAAGCCACTCTGAGCAGCCTTCCACAGCTGCTGGGCGAGGCTCTTCCCAGCTTTCCATAGGGTTCAGTACAAATATTAGACACCCACCTTCGCAAGGGATCAACAGGGTTCATTCATTCCTCTAATGCATTCTGTATCAAGACAGCCCCAGAACATATGCCGCCCTGCTTGGATGTCAGAAGGATTTCACACGTGCATGGTGACAAATGGACCTCCGAAGGGACCAAAGAAACCACAGCACGCCCAGTTACCTTTTGCTTCTCATCGGTCTCCCCACTCTATAGATGTAAACTCCCTGTGGGCAGCGACATCGTCTGCCTAAAACAGTTCCGGCCCAGGGTAAGTGGTCAAGAAATATTTCACGAGGGAAGGAATGGATGGGTCATGGGTCACTGAAGTGCTTCCATGCGGCCAGGACTGATGGCCTGCCGAGCCCACCTGCCCGGTCCCTCCTACCTGTGCCGCTCCTCAGGCGGCTCTCCGTGAGCTCCGAGATGGCTCCGGCAGTGGCGGTCTTCTTCAGGCGAACCACCCCCGATGCAGCGGTACTTCCTGGCTTGTTGAGCGTGTCCTCACTGCTGGCCCTCTTGAGCTGAGAGAGTTGGAAGGAAAGAGAGAGGATGAAGAGGTGGTTTTCAGGAAGGAGCGCTATAAACAAGCAGAGCATGGGAGCTGGGCTATGTGCCCAGCAGTCAAGATACAATAACAGCACTTTGAGTAGCATGATAGAGTGAAGTGAAAAAATGCAAAGCTACACAAACCTGTTTCTGTCATAACAGGTCCGAGTATGATCTCCCATGACTGTTTCAAAGAGCAGTGTCTAAGACTGTGCGTGAAGAATACCATCAGGTCACACTTCAAGTAATGAGCCTTAAAAAATGTGGCTGGGCACAGTGACTCACGACTGTAGTCCCAGAACTTTGGGAGGCTGAGGTGGGAGGACTGCTGGGCTCAGGAGTTCAAGACCAGCCTGGGCAACAGTGAGACTCTGTCTCGCTAATATTTTTTTTTAATTAGCTGGGCATGGTGACACCCAGGAGGCTGAGGTGAGAGGATTGCTTGAGCCCAGAAGTTCAAGGTTGCAGTAAGCTATGATTGTGCCATTGTACTCCAGCCTGGGTGACAAAGTGAAACCTCGTCTCTAAACAAAAATTTTAAATAAAAAATAAATCTGCTCTCCTGGTGGGGGAAAAAAAGAATGGGAACCAATGAAAAAAGAACTGGGAGATGCACAAAAGGCAGGGTAGGGCAATGCAAAAGAAATTCCAGGACAACAAAAAAAGGCTCATGACATAGGCCAGGAGGAGGTGGAGGGAGAGAAACAATCTGAGTATCTGCTGTGGCCTCACCACCAAGCATTCTGTAGATGATCTGACACAGAAAATGTGTTCAAAGGTGAGAAAGGAAATCTTGGAGGCTGGAAGACAGAAGAAAGCAGCGCCCTCTGTTCTGGCTTTGCTTTCTTCCCTGTCATGGGACAAACATTTGCTAAAAGGTGCTGAAGTCTAAGAAAGGAGACTCCTAAGTGATCCACACTTCAGGCCCAGATAGATTACATTCAACGTTAATGAGAAAAACCACAACTGAATTCTCTCAACTACTGTTGGGTCTTCATGAAAGAAGGCTCTGGAGAGGAACAGTGCCGGAAGACTGGAGAAGGCAGCTGCCCAAAGCTGTCTAATGTATCTGACATCCAGAGCACACAGTAAGGAAAAGCCCTTAAATCAATGTCGATATGCAGTGGGCGAGCCCCGCCCATCACACAGGCTGAAGGGAAAAGCCCTGCTCCATCCTACTCCACTGGCTTTGGGGTCATTTACTGAGAGTTAGAAGTTTAAATATTTGCACAATTTTTTAAAGTTTCCATCTTTGCATCATTTAAATTTCAGGGTGTAACCACCCTCACCCCACCATAGTTTGAAAGTGAATAAACACCAATACCAAGTGTTGGTGAGGCTGTGAAGCAACTGGAACACTCATGCCCTGTGAGTGGAAGTGTAAACTGGCATAACTGCTTTGGAAAGTGGCAGTATCTACTAACGCTAAGGCTGGAAAATAGAAGAAAGCAACACCCTCTGCTCTTGCTTTGCTTTCTTCCCTGTCATGAAAGGGGTAGGACAAACATTTGCTGAAAGGCAGTAAGTCGAAGAAGGGAGACTCCTAAGTGAGCACGCACAGTTCCCTGTGACTCAGCAATCCCATTCCTAGATCCGCACCCAAGAGAAGCAAGTACATAGGTCCCTCAAAAGAATGTTCATAGCACCTTTTTTATAGCAGCCCAAAACTAGAACAACCCAAATGTCCTTCAACAGAGAGGATAAATGCAATGAGAACCACACAGCAAATAGGAAAAAAATGAATTACTGATATACTAATAAATGGGTGGCTGTCCCAGGTATTATGCTAAGTGAAAGAAGCAGACACAAAAGAGTATATACTGCCTGATTCCACTTGTATTAAGTTTAAAAGCTGCACAATCAAATGATGGTAATATAAGTCAGAATAGTGGTTACCTCTCGGGGAGTTACAACCAAAAAGAAACCTTCTGGGGTGCTGGAACGTTCAACATATTGACAGGGTGGTGGTTACACAAGTGTAAAAAAATATAAACATGCAATGAGCTTTATAGCTAAGATTAAGATTAGTGTACTTTATGGATTTTATTGTAAATATGCTGTGCTTCATTAAAACAGAAAAAGAAAATTGGAGTGAAGGAAGTTTGCAATTTAGGCAAAGTCCTAGTTCCACTCCTGCAAATACTAGCCTTCTGGGTTTTTTTTTTTTCCTTTTTTTTGTAATTTTTAAAACTTTACTGTGCTAAAATAAGCATAATATAAAATTCACCATTTTAAGTGCACAATTCAGTGGTATTAAATACATTCACCATGTTGTACAACCATCACCACCATCCATCTCCAGAAATTTTTACCATCACAAATAAAGTCTACTCATTAAACAGTAACTCGCCATTGCCTTTTAACAAGAGGGATGACGGTAGAAGTCTTTTTGTTTTTTTAGAGACAAGGTCTTGCTCTGTTACACAGGCAGGAGTGTAGTAGTTCAAACATGGCTCATTGCAGCCTTGAATTCCTGGGCTTTCCTGCCTCAGCCTCCCAAGTAGCTAGGACTATAGGTGCACAACACTATGCCTGGCTAATTTTTTAAAAATATTTTTGTAGAGGTGGGATCACATGGTCGAGCGCAGTGGCTCATGCCTATAATCCTAGCACTTTGGGAGGCCAAAACGGGCAGATCACCTGAGGTCAGGAGTTTGAGACAAGCCTTGTCAACATGGTGAAACCCCATCTCTACTAAAAATACAAAAATTAGCCAGGTGAGTTCGAGATGAGCCTGGTCAACATGGTGAAACCCCATCTCTGCTAAGAATACAAAAATTAGCCAGGTGTGGTGACACATGCCTGTAATCCCAGCTACTCGGGAGGCTGAGGCAGGAGAATCGCTTGAACCCAGGAGATGGAGGTTACAGTGAGCCGAGATCGCGCCACTGCACTCTATACTGGCAAACAGTCTATCCATCTCAAAAAAAAAAAAAAAAGAAAAAAGAAAAGAAAAGAAGAGACAGGATCTCACTATGTTGCCCAGGCTGGTCTTGAACTCCTGGCCTCAAGCAATCCTCCACCTCAGCCTCCCAAATGCTGGTATTATCGGTATGAGCCACCACTCCCAGCCTGATGGTGGATGTCTTCATATTAGCCATGCAATCTTGGTCAAGATTTCAAAACAAATTATTAACTTTAAAAACAAGTAATTCACATTAAAAGGATGATTTGTGTGCAACTCCAGTTACTAGATGTCAGCATAATCACATTTTCTTTTGTTTTTCTTTTCTTTTTTTTTTTTTTTTTTTTTTTTTGAGACACGAGTCTCACTCTGTCGCCCAGGCTGGAGTGCCGTGATGCGATCTCGGCTCACTGCAACCTCTGCCTTCCTGATTCTCATCCTCCCAAGTAGTAGTTGGGGCTACAGGCGTGTGCCTCCACACCTGGCTGATTTTTGTATTTTTAGTAGAGACGGGGTTTCATCATGTTGCCCAGGCTGGTCTCAAACTCCTGATCTCGGGTGATCCACCTGCCTCAGCCTCCCAAAGTGCTAGGATTACAGGCGTGGGCCACCACGCCTGGCCCACGACCACATTTTCTGAACAACAGCACAGTCCCCTAATTTAGCAACTGGACTGTATTAGTCTGTTCTCATGCTGCTAATAAAGACATACCCAAGACTGGGTAATTTACAAAGGAAAGAGGTTTAGTTGACTCACAGTTCCACATGGCTAGGGAGGCCTCACAATCATGGTGGAAAGCAAAGGAGGAGCAAAGTCACATCTCACTATACTCTTGGTAGGCAAGAGAGAGCATGTGCAGGGGAACTCCCCTTTATAAAACCATCAGACCTCCTGAGACTTATTCACTATCATGAGAACAGCAGGATTCAATTACCTCCCACCAGATCCCTCCTGTGACATGTGGGGATTATGGGAGCTAAAATTCAACATGAATTTTGGTTGGGGACACAGCCAAACCATATCATGGACCAAACATGACACTTGAGTTAATCCAGAAGTTACACTACTACCCTTCTTAGAGAACTCTGTAATGGTCTTTCCACTTCCCATCTCAGAGTAAAAAGCATCCCTTCACTCAAGCTCTCCAACCTCTCAAACCATCCATCAGGTCACCTGTATAATACATGTTTAATATTAAATGACCATAGTCTATAATGTTGGCAGCTTTTTCTCAATAGAGAAAAACTATTACTCACTCTTCCAAGAAGCACACTCAGGTGCCTCCCTGGTCCCCAAATGAAAATCAATTCTGGTTTGAAACTTTGAAAACTCCCTAGATGACTTCTCAAATGAAAAAGGGAAATCACAGTGGTTAAGGGAATTCTTAACGCAATAACGCAAGCCATACACGGTGGATTCTGCTTTTCCCCTATCTGATTCTCTGACATTTCTAAAATCTGCAAGTCTGACTCAAAGTACAGAATTTTCAAACTCTACAGCAAAGGCCAAGAGAGGAAGGGCTCTCTGAAACCCAGAATAAACCAGGAAATCCAACAAATGAGAGCACTCCTACTGGGAACAGAAGTGAAACCCCCTCGGAGATCCCACCACAGCCTCCATCCCCAGCCACCACCCCAGAGCAGCAGAGGTAGAGCTTGCCCTGCCCCCTTCCATAAGGGGTTGGTTCCTGGGACTCAAGGTCTTGGTGAGATGACAGCTGGAGGCAACACAAGACAGCAGTGCGCAAGCAGTGGGAGTTTTGCCTTTGAGGCACTGCAAGAGGACCTGGCATGGTAACATAGGTGGCGCCAGTCATGATAAGAACAGGGGTGAAGCAGTAGCAGTGACCGGGGGGAAAGCACAGGTAGCTGCAGCACCATGCTCAGGGCTGGGGGGTCTCTGGTGAGGAGTCAGCAGTAAGTGCTGCATCGCAGGGTTTGTTTTTGTTTTCAAGGGTGGGGAGGGAGTGGGACATGCAAAAGAAGACTTGGGATCTGGGATCTCTATATAGGAGGTTCCCTGCAATCACACAGGAAGGAGGCAGCCCAGGGAGTGGTGAAGGGAGCAGCGCTCCTTCTTCCTACCTATATGACCCAGGTACTGATGCTGCAGTTCCTCAATTCTAAAATGGAGAAAACATTTGAAGGCCAAGGCAAGACAATCACTTGAGGTCAGGAGTCCAAGACCAGCCTGAGCAACATAGTAAGACTCCATTTCTACAAATAATCTTTTTTAAAAATTAGTGGGGTGTGGCACTGCGTGCCTGTAGTCCTAGCTACTCAGGAGGCTGAGGCGGGAGGATCGCTGGAGTTCGAGGCTGCAGGGAGCCATGATTGCACCACTGCACTCCAGTATGGGCAACAGAGCAAAACCCTGTCTCCCGCCCCCCCACCGAAAAAAAAAAGAGAAAGCAGTTGGCGTATCTCTAGAGTTGTGCCCTTAGTTAAAAATTTAAAGCATTTTATTAAGAACATAAATGTTGGAGGCTCTCATCATCTTCAACATCATCATTGCAGCTGTTTTCCTAGTGGCTCTCCATGGTGGTTCTCCAGGCTGGCAGCAACAGAAGCATCTTTAGATTTACAAACAAAATCTAAATCCTCCTTTGGAAGGAGGGCATGAAGTACCATGCTGTATTAGGAATCGGGCAACCTGTGAGCCATGGAGCCCTGGAAAGGTTTGGATCTGGTAGCTCAGTCTCCTCACCTCCAAAAGAGAATTTTTTTTTCTTTTTTTTTTTTTTTTTTTTTTTTTTGAGACAGTCTCACTCTTTCACCCAAGCTGGAGTGCAGTGGCACAATCTCGGCTCACTGCAACCTCCGCCTCCCAGATTTGAACGATTCTCCTGTCTCAGCCTCCCAAGAAGCTGGGATTACAGGCACGTGCCCCCACACCCAGCTAATTTTTGTATTTTTAGTAGAGACGGGATTTCACCATGTTGGCCAGGCTGGTCTCAAACTCCTGACCTCAGGTGATCCACCTGCCTCGGCCTCCCAAAGTGGCGGGATTACAGGCATGAGCCACCGTGCCTGGCCAACAAAAGAGAATTTGAATCACCTAAGATCCTTCTCCCTGTTTATGTCCTCATTGCTATGAGACTGCATATGCTTATTAGGCTTAAAGAGTTTATTGATCAGTGTCACTGCATTTTGTGCACATGTACTCAGAGCACAAACAGCAGAGAATACAAAAATACCCCACACTGTCTGGGCTGATTAGCTGAAGAAGGAATGTGCTGATGCCTTCACGATCCTGCACTGACTGTACTCATCACGCCTTCTGTTTAGTACACATAGTGGCTGCTTTTTCACCCTCCTTACATCAGAAAAACTGCACCATTAAGGGCCCAGGGTAAATGTCAAATATCGTACTAACCAACTGATTGTAACCTCCACTTCAAACATGCTGATTTTTGTCCACTGATCCTAAAACAGACTTTATATTCATTCCACAAACATAGAAATGCCACCACTCATAGCCTAGGGCCTGGATGCAGCAACATTTCACACGGAAAAGAATGTGAACAATGGGTCCTGAGCAGAGGGTGGGGCTCCCTTTCTCGTCCCCCTTCTCCTCTCCCCTTCTCCTCCAGCCAGCTCACCCACAGTAAAAGAGCCCTTAGAATATGGGAACACCTAGTATGTTAGCTGTAAAGGCTGAAGGGGATTCCAGCCATCCAACAGCCTTTCAGTGAATCCTGCAGTGAGATAAAGTCCAGATTTCAGTGCCAGGAGGAAGTGGACGGGGGATGCGGACGTCCTGGGGAGAGAGGGGGGCACTCCTCCTGGGATGCCATGCTCCTAGGGAGACTGCAGCAGCCCTCCACATGTATGTGGGAGAGGGAAGGGAAGATCGGCAGGAGAAACAGCTCCAAACCCCTCCCTCCCTTCTTGTCACTTTGCCAGGGCTGCTTCTGTCGGGCTTGTGGCTTCTCCATTCCTGTCCCTCCCATTCTGAACACTGTAATTCAGCTAAGCTTTACCAAAAACCCACTAGAGGCTGGACGTACATCTTTAGCCTACGTCCACTTAGAAGATCTGTATGCTGTGCATATGGCATGAATGTCAAAGTGAATCAGGAGGCCCTGCCGATCAGAGTTAACCACCTAAAGAGGAGGTTCCCATATAACCACACAGAACACACTGAGGACAGCACTAAGCTGCAGAGAAACGAATGTGGAGAAAGCCCAGGAGGGGCTGGGGGAGTCCCAAGACCTCACAGAAGAGGCCATGATTCAGTTTTTCTCAGGCAGAGAGGGCAGGGAGGCATTCTGGAGGGGTGGGTGTCTTCCACAGCAACACCAGGCTGAAGACCAACAGGAGCCAGGAGGTCCCCATCCCACGTCACAGGGGTTGGGAAAAAAGCTATGTCACGTGGCAGCACAGTTTAGTGGCCAAGGGCTGAAAATACAGACCACCTGGGTCTGAATCCTGGCTCTGCCAGTGCTTAGCTGTGTGACCTTGGGCAAATCACGTCCTCTCTGTGCTTTGGTTTCTTCACCTAAAAAGTAAGTATGATCATGGTACCCACTTCAGAGTGTTGCTCTGAGGATTAAACAAGTTAGCCATGCAGTGTGCTTAGGATAACAGTGTCTGACACAGTATGCATTGAACAGACACCAACTATAACGATAACAAATGAAAATCATCATTATTGTTTTTACTATTGTTATCCTGTAAAAACTAAATTCAAATTAAGGCAAGGAGGAGGAGGGAGGAGGGGAGTGTTTTTAGGAAAAATGAACGCAATGCAACGGGGATTCCAGAGAGTACAATAGAACATCAAGCAAGTCATCAACCTCTCTGAACCTCAGGCTCTTCTTCGGTAAATCCATCCAAGAACAATATTCAGTAAAAATGCATAGTGTGCCTGCCTGTGATGCACCAGGCACAGCTAGAGATAACACACATCAGCTATTGTGTTCCATTTTGTGAGCCAGCCACACTCAGCTGACTCTGTCTCCTCTTGGACTAGGGGATTTTATGCTGCACTGTGGGTAGATGTGGTCCTGTCCTTCCCAGACAACAGGATAAGTATGATGTGCTGCAGGCCAGTGCTGTGCCACCTCCCTCCCATAGGGCATGGAGTTTGGGTAGCAGCAAAGCTTTCAAGGGGAGCACTTCATTTCCCCTGCACCTTCCACGAGGAATTCCATTTGAAAAAGACTGGTAGCTTAAAAGGTTTCCTGGGGGTAGGACATAAAGACAAAAAACTGATCCCACGTGTCCTTCAAAACAAACAGCTGAAGGTAGCTACTCTTACTTTGTCACTGCTTTTTGGATGCAACATCAAAAGGAAAGCTACCAGTCTCAGTTACTAATTCTTGCTCCTTCTCTATTCACCACTGCATTTTTTGCTTTGTTTCCTGGCCACAGCACCACTTGAGATTTCTGGCTTGCTCCAGAAGATCCTATGAAGGTGTGCACTTCGGTGCTGCTTTGCTATTTAGTAAGTATCTTCATTAACAGCTTCACTGATATTTAAGCTGCCAACCACCTGTATAAGAAAGTATATAAAAGGAAAAAGTTCAAATGCCTCACAGATTAAAGTAACTAAGAAATTCCTCTCAATTCCACAAAGATGTAGAAAAGAATTCACAGCCCTAAAATCATCAGACATAACATAATCTGGTCGTTACTGGTGGATAACATGTTATGGTTGGACACCGCTTCTCAAACTTGAGCAGACATCAGAGTCACAGGAAGGGTTTGTTAAAATGCACCTTTGTCCCGCTCATAGTGACATGGGAGCCTTAGGATCTGCTCAGTACATTCCTTTTCTGCTGAAGCAAGCTTAAGCCAATGTTTCATCATTTGCAACCAAGAGGACCCCAATTAATAGACCTGGGCCTCGCAAATGACACTGCAGGTTCTCTTCTTTCTGGGCTGTGCTCAGATACCACAAGGAGGATTTACAGGAGTGTATGCACCCTCCCTGAGTGTCCACGTCCCCAGCCTCTGCACCCTGCTTTCTTTCACTGCTCCTTCAGTTCAGGCCAATGTTGAAAGTCAGGTATTTAGACACTTCTCAAAAGAAGACATTTATGCAGCCAACAAACATGAAAAAAAGCTCATCATCACTGGTCACTAGAGAAATGCAAATCAAAACCATAATGAGATACCATCTCACGCCAGTTAGAATGGCGATCATTAAAAAGTCAGGAAACAACAGATGCTGGTGAGGCTGTGGAGAAATAGGAATGCTTTTACACTGTTGGTGGGAGTGTAAATTAGTTCAACCATTGTGGAAGACAGTGTGGTGATTCCTCAAGGATCTAGAACCAGAAATACCATTTGACCCAGCAATCTCATTATTGGGTATATACCCAACGGAATATAAATCATTCCACTAAAAAGACACATGCACATGTATGTTTATTGCAGCACTATTTTCAATAGCAAAAACTTGGAACCAACCTAAACATCCATCAATGATAGACTGGATAAAGAAAATGCGTCACATATACACCATGGAATACTATGCAGCCATAAAAAAGAATGAGTTCATGTCCTTTGCAGGGACATGGATGAAGCTGGAAGCCATCATTCTCAGCAAACTAACACAGGAACAGAAAACCAGACACTGCATGTTCTCACTCATAAGTGGGAGTTGAACAATGAGAACAAATGGACACAGGGAGGGGAACATCACACACCCGGGTCTGTTGGTGGGTAGGGGGCAAGGGGAGGGAGAACATTAGGACAAATACCTAATGCATGCGGGGCTTAAAATCTAGATGACTGGTTGATAGGCACAGCAAAGCACCATGGCACATTTATACCTATGTAACAAACCTGCATGTTCTGCACATGTATCCCAGAACTTAAAGTAAAATTTTAAAAAAATAATAATTCGAATTAAAATTTAAAAAAAGAAAGTCAGGTATTCAGTTCTACTTTCAGTGGATTTGTCTCAGTGTTCCTGTTTTGACCAGTGAAACCCTATCTATCCATTTCCTATAAAGCAAATATAGTGAGATGCTAACTGTAGGACCTAGGTGGTGGTCTATGGTGTCTGCTGTGGGATCCCCTGTACTACTGTAGAACCTCCCCGTGTGCTTACAAATTGTCACAGTAAAATATTGGGAGGGAAAATTACTTGCTTTTTTGTCCACCACCATTTCCTCTTTCTCTCTTCTGCTCTCTGACTTCCTTTTTAGTATTTTTCTTCTTCCCATACCATAGGTGGAAAGATTAAGGTCAAATCAGAGGAACAGAACCAGGGCTGGAAAGGTCAGGCGGGCTACATTTCTTTCTGCTGCTCCTTCCCTCAAGCCCTATCATTTTCCTGCACAGAATCAGGCCTGGAGAGGACAGGAATCGGGAAGGAGAGCAGAAGGCCCCTAATATGCGCATGGTACCAAGTGCAGAAAAAGTTATTCAAAACATTAATTTTAAAAATTAACAATACAACAATAAAAAAATTTAAAATGACACAGTATAACAACTATGTATGCGGCAGTTACATTGCATGAGGTATCATAAGTAATCTAGAGATCACTTAAAGTATATGGGAGGATGTGTGTAGGTTATATGCAAACACCCTTTATATCAGGGACTTGAGCATCCATGGATTTTGGTATCCACAGTGGGTCCTGGAACCAATCCCCCAAGGATACCAAGGAATGACTGTATTTGCTTTTCCCTGACATTTTCTCTTTGGAACAAGTTTCCAAAACATGAACCTATCAATGGGAGAAGTGTCCAGCATCTCATTCATTGTCCTTTAGAAACATTCCTATGCTTCTTCCGGCCTTATTTTATATATTTTGTGGGTTTTTTTTTTTTTTTTTTTTTTTTTTGAGATAGAGTGTCACTCTGTCACCCAGGCTGGAGTGCAGTGGTGCGCTCTTGGCTGACTGCAACCTCCGCCTCCCAGGTTCAAGCAATTCTCCTGTCTCAGCCTCCCAAGTAGCTGGGACTACAGGACTATGCCACCACGCCCGGCTAAGGCTAATTTTTTTTTTTTTTTTTTTTTTTTTTTTGGGTAAAGACAGGATTTCACCATGTTGGTCAGGCTGGTCTTGAACTCCTGACCTCAGGTGATCCATCCACCTCAGCCTCCCAAAGTGGCATAAGCCACCCTGCCCGGCCGAGGCCTTATTTTAAACACTGCTTTTAAAAATATTTCCGTATTCCAGCAGCTCTAATGATCTGTTATTGTGGAATGTATGTATTCATTTAAAAATCTAAGTTTATATGTTGCTTATTGGATATAGAAAAAATAATAATAAACATAAAAATCTAAGTTTAAAGTGTGCTGTTGGGTTGAAAATAATAAAAACAAAAATAATGGAAATGATGTTTCAATCCAGGATAATAGAATAATAAACAAAATTACACATAGGATGCTTTACCCACATTTACTCCTTATGACAAAGAAGGTGTTACCTTCATCTGAAAGACAAGGAAGCACAAGCTCAGGGCAGCTACACAGCTTGCCTGCAGCTTCACAGTGGGGAAGTGGCAGAGCCAGGATTCCAACTCAGGCCAGCCCCACGCCCCCAAGCTCCTCTTGTTCCATCAGACCGCCAGAAAACAGGTGTGCTCATCATTCAATAAATACTGAGTGCCTACCAGGTAGCAGGTGCTCTTCTAAGCACTAGGGACAGAGCCGAGTACAAAAAAGAAGCATACAGTCCCTGTCTGCAGGGGGCTTACTTTCCAGCCATGAGAAGACAGACCGTAAACAAGCAGGTGTGTGCAATGGCATCAAGAGCAGAGAAGGAAAACAAGGCAGCAGGAGGAGGAGGATGGAGGTCAAGGACACTTCCTATAGAGGCACCAGGTGCTTTCCGGGCAGAGGGAGCAGCAAACACAAACACACTGCCGCAGGAGTGCACCTGGCAATCCGAAGGACAGCTGTCACCAAACACCAGCAGAACGTGTGGCTGGAGCTCCAGGAGCCAGGGCACAGAGGAGCGAGACCACACCTGAGAGGCAGGGGACAGGGTTGGGCCCTGAGGGCATCGCTGGCCATTTCAAGGACTCTGCTTTTCACTCTGAGTGAATGGGGAGAGCCACTAGAGGGTTGACGCAGAGAAGTGACATGACTCAGGTGTTCCAAGGACCAGGACTAGGGCACAGAAGGGTGGGGGCATGACCCAACTGGTCACAAGGGAGGCAGTGGGAATTGGTTGGAGTTGACACATATTTTTAAGGTAGAAGTGATGGCATTTCACTGATGGACTGTGAGACATGAGAAAAGGAGGGTTTAAGGGTGATGCCACTGGCTGTGGCCTGAGCAACCAAGAAGATGGAGTTGCTATTTACACAAATGGGAAGATTTGGGGGAGCAGGTTAGGGGATGGTGAGAGAGATGGAGAGGAAGGCATTGAGATTCGGTTTTGGACATGTTACACTTTTGGACATCCAAGGGTGATGTCACAAAGGCAGTTAGAGGGGTCCCAGCTGGAGATGCAAATTTGGACGTTATCCACTTAGAGTGTTAAAAGCCATGAGAATGGACCCGTCACCTAGAACAATGGTTCTCAATGGGGACAGGGCTGTCCCTCAGGGGATGTGTTGAAAATCTGAGGGCACATTTTTGGTTGTCACCATGACTGGATGTGTTACTAATATTTAACGGGTAGGAGGACAGGAAATTCAGATGTCCTAAAATGCTCATGACAATCTTACACAAAGAACTGCTCCACGACCCACACACTTTCCACATATTCCGCAGGCACTGACACAGGTGGAACACCTTTTATTATTATCTGAGCCTAGAGCCTCCCTCCATTTGACTCATAAAAACAATGTGCCCCTTGCCTAGCTCTAAGAGTGTCTTCACCAAGAGTGTCTGCTCTAAGTCCAAAAATACTAAAACAAAGGGAGCCGGCACCATGCTTGGTTCAGAACTTCACCAAGAGTGTCTGCTATTTCAAAACAATCCCGTCACTCCTTCTGCAGCAGCCTTCACCGTAGTTGAGTCATCAACACAATTCAAATCAGTCTGCATCTCAAATCCATCTGCATTGTAGCTGTCACGCCCGTGGTGCTTTAAGGAGCATCTCAAGGCCTTTAGCACAGCTGTGCAGATGGAAATCCATGCTAATATAGAAGATCATATTGACTTTTCTAAAGTATTGCATGAGGTAGGTGCTACTGTCTATGAATTCATCTCAGGGCAGCTAAGGAGGCACTAGGCTTTGCACGGTGAGAGCCTCTCATGTAAAGAAATGAATGCAGCTAGAAAAGAGATGAGTCTAGGAATGTGGCATGGGCCCACCCAACCTTAGAGACCAAAGGGATGGGGGGAGGAGAAAACCAGAGGAGAACGCACTCCCTCATGAAGGGCGTAATCAACAGCGTCCATGCTGCTGCGGGGTCCAGTAAGAGGGGCTTGAAGAACTACAACTGGATTGTGGGGGGCTGCAAAGATCGTGCATGACCTCGACCCCTATCCAGGGCCGTGCTTGGGGCAAAACTGCCGGGATGTCCATGCAACCCAGGGCAGAGGACCTTAATTACTGTGTTAAACACTTTGCAGACCTCCTTTCTGGACCCCAGAGGGCCCCCACTCCCACCCGCTAGCTCTATTCCTTCATGTCCAGGCATGCTGGTCCTCCTGCGACCCCTCCTTGGGAGCCTCCTTCCCTGCCCCGAGAGGCCACTGGTTTGCTTACTGCCCTCTTCAATCCTCCCAACCCAGGGTATCCAGGCGCTCTGCCTGGCCCTGTGCATTTTGATCCATACCCTGCTGAGTCGGGACTCAAAAGCCAAGGAAGTTGAAGACTTAGAACTCTTCATGCCGGAAGAGGCTGCAGGCAGAGGCCGCACCCGGTCTGGGCCGTGGCCCCCTGCTCTGATGGCTGGGTTCCAGGGCTTGGCTGCACTCCGCATGCTTGACTTCGTGGGTCTGTCCTGCAAAAGAGCAGAAAAGAAAAACATGTCTCCATCACTTGAACCTGCTGCATGACATCATCACACTTTACACCCCACATACCACGTCACCATGAACTATCACAGAGTAGGAGCACCTATGATTTGGCTGGAAATAGAATATTCCTAAGATGGGTTTATAGGCTTTATACTAGGCTAATTTTTACAACTCCATAACAGCTTTTACCAAACTACTGAAACATATCCACATTACTGATGTCCTGACATCACTTTTCAGCAGAATGACCTGAGACAGCATTCCACCAAATACCCATACACTATGTATCTGTATCTCACACCCAGATAAAACAGGTCAGCCAGAGTCAACCAATAAAATGCCCATAAGCTTTGTGGCTTTAGGGTTGACAAAGGAACAATATACTTATTTTTAAAATAAACATAAATGAATTACTTGAAAGAATTCACAGAAGCACAAAATGACTTTTTTCTTCTTTTGGATAAAAATGGGTATCATAAAAAATTAATGAAGCATATTTTAATTGGTCAGACCCAACACTGTTGGGCAGAGTGACTGCCCTAACTACAATATTTTATGAAAGGAAAATTGTTCAAACCAGCAAGATACAGCTGAAGACATCAGGGGAAAATCCACACAGAGATGTGGAAGGCAGCCCGAGACTGGCCAGCAGGGACCGGCACTGTGATTCCTGAGCAAGGAGCGGCCTGGTCCATCCCTCACCCTCTCAGAGCCTCTGTTTCTTCTGTCAATAACATAACAGGACTGGATTAAATGCCCTCTCGGTTCTCTTCCAGCCCCAACCCTGACTCCGCCTGTCCCCATGGACTCAGGGTGTGACACAGGGCACCAAACCCATGATGTTCTGTCCTTTCAAAGAACATCAGAAATGCACTTTACAAAACACCCACAAGTGACAACCAATTCTAACTGCCACTCTCACAGTGCACAGGGTGGGGGCAGGGTGGGTCTCACTAACTGCCCCCGGGGGATGGCGGCCAGTGCTAGCGTCCCTGGCTGCCTCTCCCCTCACAGCCCGTTAGCCAGCCACGAGAAGAACCACAGGCAGCATCCTGCTCAGTCTGCGACCTTGTTTCTCCTGACAATGTCTCTCTAGTTCCCGACCATCTAGTTCCCGACCCTATTGAAACAGTGACCAGCTGGTGGCGTGTGTCCAGGCATGCATCTGACTGAGCTCACGCTGCAGAGCTGATGGCAGCGGCTCTGTGAATGCTGCTACCAGTGGAAACACTCCTTTAAAGGCGGCGTAATTTGTTTTCCACAGTGTTTCCAAGGAAAACTATTAATGATTCAGTTACATAATTAGTTCAGAACCTTATGAGTCTCAGCTTTGTTCCAAGTATGATGATTTTTTTAAAATTCTGGATTACAGAAAGCAAGTTAATTATCATGTATTTTACAGATGTTCAGCACCGATTATTTTTCTTCTTCAACCCACGATTTTTATTGCTTGTTTCCACAGCAACAATGAAAGAATGCATAGGTTGAGACCTATACAGTAACTAATTTCATGAGGACCTCCTCCCAATATAAAATGAATGAACAGAGCCGGAGTGACTCTTGAAGAGAATTACTGATGAATTTCACCAATTACTGCAGAATCAACCAGCAACCTGTCAGTCTGACTGACTCATGGAGATGACTTAATAAAGTATCTGTTTAATCAAGACACCCTTTTATGTTATGATTAGAATTACTTAGAAATGACTATTACAGTCCAGGCACAGTGGCTCATGCCTGTAATTCCAATATTTTGGGAGGCCAAAGTGGGAGGATCACTTGAGTCTAGGAGTTTGAGACCAGCCTGGGCAACATAGCAAGACTCTGTCTCTACAAAAAATACAAAAATTAGCCAGGCATGGTGGTGCACACCTGTAGTCCCAGCTACTTGGGACAGTGACAGAGTGAAAACCTCTCTCTAAATAAAAAAAAAAAATAAAGGACTGGATATTACAGGGCTTACTTTATGAAAACATAGGATGATTTTGCAATCTGTCTACATTTTCCAAAATCTGCCCAGGTTACCCCTGAAATGAAATGCCTTTTATTTATTGCCCACCACCACACCACCACAAAAGAGAAAAATATAGAGATGAAAAACAGCAGGAAGAGGGTGGATGTTTTCCCTGTCAACCTTTTCCCCAACATTTCAGGAGTCTAAGTCCTTGGTTAAAGAAAAGAAGGAAAAGCCACCTCAGTCAAAATTAAAAGATCTAAACTTCTCTCTTAATCTCTGGCAACAAATGCGTCGATCCTGTGGATGGTGCCCCTGACGAACACGCAGCCTCCTTTCCAGGGTTGGCAGGTGGCCCGCTCTGAGGCAGCACTGTCCAGGCCCATGTTTGTTGCATCAGGGTCCCTTTCTCTTGGACCCTCTGAATTCAACCCAACTACTCCCACATGACTGCACCCAGAAAATGCT
This sequence comes from Homo sapiens, assembly GCF_000001405.40. Classification (NCBI taxonomy): domain Eukaryota; kingdom Metazoa; phylum Chordata; class Mammalia; order Primates; family Hominidae; genus Homo; species Homo sapiens. The sequence continues at coordinate 20,094,192 of NC_000017.11, read as the reverse complement.
CCTCATCCATCCCCCTCCTGCTGCCCACACTCCCTTTCCTGAGCATCTTCGGCTTCATTCCCATCATTGTTTTCCTGGGCAAGGCCTTCCATTTTGTACCCACCCATCAGCCATACACTGCTCCTCAAATCCCATCTTCTTCTCAAATTTAAAATATACAATATAGGCTGGGAGTGGCTCACACCTGTAATCCCAGCACTTTAGGAGGCCAAGGTGGATGGACTGCCTGTGCTCAGGAGTTCGAGACCAGCCTGGGCAACATGGTGAGACCCTGTCTCACTAAAAATACAAAAAATTAGGGGGACGTGGTGACACACACCTGTAGCCCCAGCTACTTGGGGAGATGAGGCATGAAAATCACTTGAACCCGGGAGGCAGAGGTTGTAGTGAACCAAGATTGAGCTACTGCACTCCAGCCTGGGTGACAGAGGGAGACTCCATCTCCAAAAAAAAAAAAAACAAAAAACAAAAACAAAAACAAAAACAAAAAACCCACAATATGGTGCCCTCCGTCCACTTGCAGGAAGGACTCCTACTAGAAGGGGAGCAGGTGCACCCCTAGGCCCACTCCAAGTTTCTTCAGGTTTCCTCCCAATCCACTTCCCACCACTTCTACATCCCTCCCGTCATCTCAGCCCCTCAGCCTGGCTCTCTGAAGCCAGTTCATTTACATAAATGCTGTCATGAGCTGAGAGCAGCTATCCTATTTCATTCTGAGCCTGGCAAAGCACTGCTAAATGCTCTATGTAAATAGCTCAGTAACCCTACGAGGTAAGGGTCACCTCCTGCTATGATCTGAATGTTCTCCCAGAATGTACATGTTGGAACCTAACCCCCATTGTGGTATTAGGAGGTAGGGCATCTGGGAGGCAGAGCCCTCATCAATGTAATTAGTGCCTGAGGGAGCTTGTTTGCCCCTTCCACCAAGTGAGGGCACTGCAAGAGGACTCCATCTATGAACCAGACAGCAGGCCCTTGCCAGATACCAAATCTAGTGGCACCTTGATCTTAGACTATGCAGCCTCCAGAACTGTGAGCAATAAATTTCTGTTGCTTATAAGTCACCCAGTTTATGGTATTTCTCTTACAGCAGCCTGAACAGACTAAGACATATCCATTTCACAGGTGGGGAAACTTCATTTCCCCAAGGGAGGTTAAGCAACTTGCCCAAATCTCAGAGTTTATCTTGGAGCCAAGATTCAGATCCAGTTTAAATTGGTTCCAAAACCTACACACCTAAACACCAGGGACGGATGGCCTCTCTGAATAATCTTTGCTCCCTGGAGAGCACCAAGGCTATAGATCAAATGCACCTGGTCCAAATTCAGCTCCACTGTTGACATTGTGAACTCAGCCATGCTTTCTGAACATGATTCTCTACATCTTCACCCAATAAGATGGAGTTATCAGTGCCAACTTCATAAAACTGTAAAGATGAAAGGAGAACAAGTCCATCAGGTGCCAGGCACACAGAAGGCTGTTGACAACTATGAGCCGCCCTCTCGACAAAAACTGTTGATGGTGTTCAACGGAGCGCTGCTCTGCCTTCTGACTCAGCAGCACACAGTGATGGGTCAATTAAATGTGTGTTCAGGGCAGGAGGCAGACAGACATATCAGATCCAAGGAACACACTCTTCTACACAGAGAAGACTATTTTCACTTGGAAATGTGAAAGAGAGAAAGAAGCGAGGGAAACACACCTGCAGGGAAGACACTTCACAGCAATTAAAATTGCCCAGGGCTTAACAAATCCTGGCTGCTGAAAGATAAACACAGGTGGGAATGCTAGCTGAGTAATCGTTTTCTTATGGATATGAATTAGCCATACAAAATAAACAGGCTCCAGCCAAGTACAAGACAGTGAAAAGAAGGTTTCTATTATTAATCTCATGATTTCCTAAAATCCTCATGAACACCACAAAGGATCACATCGATCAAGGAATTACAGTTAAATCTAGGACCCCACACCCATGGTGGGGTGGGGGATGTCGTTCCAGGGGTGTTTTCTTTAAATTTGTCAAACATTTTATTTTCTTACCAAGTTTCTCTCCTCTCCAGAATAGTGTAGGACTTAAACTGCAACTCTTAAATTTCACAGTGTAAAGTAGAAGAGAAAGGAGGGAGGGAGAAAAGGAGGAGAGAGGGAACCCCTATTTAAGGAATACAATTAGGCGCTGGGCAACAGTTAAAGTCAGAGTCCACACGTCTCCTGCTCCCTGAAAACACGCTGTTCCGCCACTAAATTGCTGCCTTCGGAGCCTGCGTTGGAGAGGTTATCTCGGGCCTCAGCTTCATTATCCTTTTAAGGCAAGAAATAGAAAGGCAACTGGGAAACCATTCTGGACAATCAGAAAATAATGACGAGTCTCCAGGAGTGGGAGAGGGCACTCAGGGCTCGGCTACAAGCACAATAAGCACTGGGAAGCGGAAGAGGCCAAACCATTCAAGTCTGAGAACCAACAAAATAAGAATGTGCACATAGCTCAATTGCCAGGGGACTCAGCAGGAAATAGAACGTAAGTGAACCACATGTTGAAAATACTGAGCTGGAGCTTTTTGGAACATGGGTCGAATTTGCTCCTGACCTCTTCTACAGTAGTAGTTCTAAGCCCAATGGGCACGTGGCAATGTGCAGAGGCATTTACGGTGTCACAACTTGGGGTGCTACTGGACAGAGCCCAGAGATGCTGCTAGACATCGGTAACCCAAAGGGGAGCCCTACAACAAGGAAGCATCTGGCCTACAATGTCAGCAGTGCCACGGTGGAGAGACTTCCAGAGGAAGAATGAGAGCCCTGGGACACTGGCTCCTAGACCAGCCGGCACATGACATATCTGCTTAGCCTCACCACCTAACATGGAAACATTAACACTGAAAATCTGGTTGGGGCGCAGCTGACGGAATCCCAGACTTCAGCAAATGGCCACAGGAAATGCTTCAAAGCTGATTATTTCCCACAGTCTTGAGATGAAAAATCATCCCAATAGCCTCAGATTCTTTCCCAGTAAATAAGGAAAAGAACAGATTTCCATACAGCATCAGAAGAAAAATTCCAAAGTAAAATTCATTGATCCCATCAGCAGAAGTCACTGGAAAAAAAGAAGTGATAAAAACAAAAACTAAATGGAAAAGAACATTTGTACATCGCTAACCACACCACCTCAAACCTGAAAACAAACTTTGATAGTGGAGTAAGAAACTATGGACTCCTGCCAGAAGGTGAAGACCCATAAAGAATAGGGTGTAATCTGGAGACCCATAAGGAATAGGGTATAATATGGAGACCCATAAGGAATAGGGTGTAATCTGGAATAAGAAACAGAGGCCGAGGCAAGTCCCAAATATGAAATGCAGACCCAAGAGAGAGGCTATAATCTGGCAGCTATATTGAGACCAAGAGCTCACAATCACTGGTCTGTGACGTCCTTCTGTCTCCAAAGCTGCCTCAAGCAACCAGCATCCCAAAGAGCTAAATGACCACTAATAAGTAGTTATTCCCTTACCTGTAACATGGCTTCCATCAAAGGATTAAAGTGAATGAGCCAAGGCAGTAGGAAAAGGAGATGGAAATAAAATAAGAGCCCTTTTTTTTTTTTTTTGGAATAGTGTAAAATGGTCTAGTGCAAAGTAAACAGAATAAAAACTACAGTATAGGAGGGAACCAGAGACTTTCATATCTATCTAGGCTGCAGCATCTTGAGCCATATTTATCAAGTCCTGGCTCCGGGCCTTTGCACATGCAACTGCCTCTGCCTGGGACGCCAGCTGGGGAACTGAGGTGAGCTGAGAAAGGAAGTGTTTACAAAGGTGTGGGCAGGGCTTGTAATGAAAGGGAGAAGCAAAACGGAAAGTGCAGCACCCCAGAGCTAGGAAACACCTCATACGCATCCTCTCCCTCCCTCCAACCTGACAGCCAGTGCTGCCCACAGGCTCAGGGAAGGCATGGGACACAGGTACAGTGTCTACGGTCGCCTGCGCTGGTGCAGAGCTGGAGGAAGAAGACAGAGATGTGGTGTGGCAAACAGGAGGCCCAGGAAACCTGCCCAGCTCCCATGGCCCGGCTAACTTCAACACCACCTTCCAAAGTGTGCTCAAGTCTCTCCGCTCCAGAAAATCTTCTCCTAGTCTGAGACGGTCTCATACGTATGCCTCTCCTTGTTGGTAAGCCCTTCCCAGGGGCAGCCTCCTGGCATCTGCCTGTGTACAGCCAGCCTCAGCCTGGGGCACAGAACAAACCCTGAATAACCAGCTTCAGCCCGGACTTCCCTATTTCTGTCATCGGCACAGCCTTTCTCTTGCTCTTCCAGACTCAAAACCTCAGTCATCTTGGACTCCTCTCTAGGGCGCCCATTTCTCAAATTCACGGCTGTCCAGGCCAGCAGATCAGATGCCTGCAACATTTCCTGTAGGAGCCCTGCCTTTTTCTCCAGCACAGATTGGCATTAAGGCCCTCCTGGGCTCATCCGTTCCACATATTCAAGACAGATTTCTGAAAATTCAGCTGGGGTCAGTCATTTTCTGCTCAAAATCCTGCATTTTATCTTATTTACTCATTTATTTTTTTAGAGATGGGGTCTTACTCCATTGCCCAAGCTGGAGTGCTGTGGCATAATCACAATTCACTACAGCCTCGACCCCCTGGGCTTAAGGGATCCTCCTGCCTCAGCCTCCCAAGTAGCTGGGACAACAGATGTGTCACCACGCCTGGCTAATTTTTTTTTTTTTATATAGAGGCGAAATCTCACCTTGTTGCCTAGGCTGGTCTCAAACTCATGGGCTCAAGTGATCCTCCCGCGTCAAGCCTCCCAAAATGCTGGGATTACTGGCATGAGCCACTGCACTCAGCCCATTTTACTGTATTTTTAAGCTAACATTTAGCAACACCAACTAAGAGACTGGCACCATGTTCATCATTTTCCTTCGTCTTCTTTCATGTTTCTGACTACCCTGTGAGGTAGCTGCTGTCATCCCCATTTTATAGTTCAGCAACAAGGGAATGTCGAGGAGTTTGCTAACTCCCCCAACGGGACCCTCAGCAATGCCACTTCAGGCTGTGTGCCTAACCCTGGCCTACTGCTCCCCTTACACACCGTCTGAGTCCATTTGGGTTCCTACAACAAAAAACTGTAGACTGGGTAATTTATAAACAAGGCAAACTCATTGCTTACAGTTTTGGAGGCTGGGAAGTCCAAGGCAAGGCACCAGCAGATTCAGTGTCTGGTGAGGGCTCACTCTGCCGCACAGAAGGTGCCTTCTTGCTGCGCCTCACATGGCAGAAGGGGCAAGGGAGCTCCTCAAGCCTGTTTTGCACAAGCACAATCCCATTCATGAGGGTGAAGCCCTCATGGCCGACTTCCCAAAGGCCCCACCTCTTAATCCTATCACATGGGGTTTTAGGTTCCAACAGATAAATTTTGGGGGGTACATCAACATTCAGACAATAGCATCCACCAAATTAAATGACGGCTTGCCTGAGCTCGGCTGAGCCACGCTGACCCCTTACCCTGCAGCGTAGCCAAACAGGACTCTTCTCTGCACTTCCAATGAAACTTGCGGTTCTCATCTTGGGGTATTCACCAATCTGAGGGCCTCCCTGTATGAATGTTTTATCCCCTCCTTTTAGGCTTATGCCAATCAAGACTTTCTTGCAAAAACCTTTCTGATGAGATACTCCCAGCTCTAAACCTCCAGAAAATCGTCTCTCTTCTGGAACTCCTAGGTCTGTGACCACTGCCCACCCCTTGGGCCAGCCCTGCCTCTCACCCGGGTGCTGCAGCCTCCCCTCACTGGCTCTTGGCTTCTGCTCTTGCCCCTTCTTGCCTACCACTTAATGCCCATTCAGCAGCCACAGGAGTCTTTTCAAAACACAAATCATGAACTGTCCACTTAAAAATGGTTAAGATGGTAAATTTCATGTTATGTGACTTTTTTTCACTAAAATTAAAGTTTCAAAATTAAGACACGTACACAAAAATCAGATCACATCACTCCCTACACAGAACCCCCCAGTGGCTTCTCACTGCATTGGGAGTGAAAGCCCAAGGTCTTTGTCCCAGCCCCAAGCTCCTAGGCTTCCTGGCCCTGCCCACCTCCTCGCCTAGCTCTGATCACTCTCCCCTGCTCACTGTGCTTCATGTGGGCCGCTCCCAGCTCCCTGAGCATGTGCAGCTAGTTCCCAAGGAAGAGCTCTGACCCTGCTGTTCCCTCTGTCCAGAATGTCCCCCCAGCTCCTCACACAGTGGGCTCCTTTCTCCTAGGTCAGTCTCTGCTCCAAGGTGCTTCCTCTAGGAGGCGTCTTTCTTATACTCTCTAGAGTAGCTCTCCCACCCCACCAAACAGCCCCTGGTTTATTTCTTCAGAGCCTTTATCACCAAATGAAGACTCTCACTGCCATCGATTATCTGCCATTGATTTTCTGTCATGGGTTATCTGCCTTCCTGTGCTACTAGGGAAGGTCCGTGATAGCAGGGCCTTTACCTCCCTTGTTCACCATTGTGTTCCTGGCACATAATAAGTGTTCAACAAATATTAGTTAATGAATACTTAGATTCTGGCTTTCACTGAAAACATGCATATGGGTGCCTCCCTGGCCCTGCCCCACCAGCCAGGGAGCTTCTACAAAGGTACACAGTCCCAGCAGGCAGGAGCCACTCACTAAATAGGTGCTGAATTAACGGGCAAGCACAAAAGAGAACTGGAAGGCAATGACAATCCTTCTCCCATAATACTTATAAATATCTCTAAATGGTTGAAAAAAAATAATAAAGTCCCCAGACTGCTTTCAGGATGAGAGCCCCATGGATGTGAATATAGAGCCTTCCAGCACTACTACCTTGAAAACATTCATGCTGATGTGTAAGCATCAGTGTTATAAAACTTAATATTCTTAACTCACAGTCATGCTTGAGAAATAATTCCTAAATTTATTCCTGAGGGATGGCTTTTAAAACTTTTGGTTTACACCCTAGTTTCACAGAAATAGTAAACAATACTTTACATTTCTATGGTTTCAGATTTAACCAGGCATCTTCACAGAAACATAATAAATGAATTTATGTTAATAAATGCTTTGTAAAGTATGAACTGATGGTAACCATAGACTTAGGAACTTGATAATTTAAAGTATCAAGTCTGAGTACCTTATCTTTTATCCAACCTTTTCTGCTTCTTTGTTCCTAACTTAGGGGCCCCTAAGCCAAGCGGGGATATGGGCACAGCCCTGTGATGTCAGGAGAACAGCTTCCCAGGCAACAGGCAGGCCAGTTCTGTTGCATTCTATTCTATTTCCTCTGGAAACAATGCAAGAACTGCAGGGCATGCTGCCCCACCCACCCAGCAAAACCTCTGTGTGCTCTACCAACATGCTTCCGTGCATTTGAACGATGAGGACCTGGGAGGAAGGGGACAAACCCTCTTCCCCCGCACTGCTGAGCACAGACGCAAAAAAGGGACCCTCCATAACGAGAGCCCCCACCCATGGATGGAGAGGTCTGGCCCCTCACCACGTCCACTGCCCCTCCCTCTGCTCACTATACTTCAGCCACTCTGGTCCAGAGGAAGATAAAATCAAGGAGGAGCCAGCCCAGCTCTGCAAACTCAGGAGAGGCAGGCTACACATGCCACATGCCCCTGGTGACACATACTGGCTGTATGGGACCCAACAAGAGAAGCCAGAGGGTGATCTCATAAGTCCCCTAGTGGCTTAATTCAATGCACAGAAGCCTTAAGTCATGAGCAGCAGGGTCTCAACTGGACCCAACCACACTGAGTGCTGTGGCCTCGGCATGTGAAGAGGCTGGCTGAGGAGGGTCCCTGGCAGTCTGTCTGTCTGTCTGTGGAAGTGAAGGGTCTCCTGGGATAACACTTGGCCTAGGGGGAGAGACAGGAGGTGGGAACAGGGCCATCAAGGCAACATGGAAAGAGCTACTTCCCCAGGAAAATTCTGAGGCCTCCACCATACTCATCATGGCTTCTGGGGCGTGCTGAAGACTTGGCACTATGGCACCTCACAGCCACAGGGCAACAAGGCAGCAGTGGTGCCCAGGGTGGCGGAGGCAGCAGTGGGACTGCAGGCAGCAGAGGCCTTCAGTGTCATGGACATGATGGCAGCAGCCATCCCAGAAAGTGCCTGGCCAGGTAGAGAAGGGAGAGAGAGATGGCACATTAGCTAGGCCTATTCATTTGCTTCACTCCTTGGGGACATCAGGAAGAAAAGAGGGGAACACAGAACTTTGCTGGAGCTTCTCTAGTTGCAGAGGATGCAGGAACAAAACCTGGATCATCGCCGCATGGCCCTAACTCACATCTGCATCCCGCCGTGGGTACCCAGAGTCGTGGTGGATATCCCCTCCACTGAACAGGGAATATCCATCCACTCGCACATGCAGCGGGAGTCCGCCATTGCTCAGAGCACCGTGAGTTCTGGATTTCCTTATTGTTGCCAGATTAAGTTAAATCACTGAATGTGGCTGATTTCTTTTTTGTTCTCGCATTCCTGAGATTTTCTTTTCTAACCCACAGGCTTTAGCAATATTCCTGCAGTGCCAGCTGGCTAATGAAAGCAACTGCTGTGCTTTGCAGGGTTAATTTATTCAGTGCCTGGAATATGCCCTATCCTTCGTCAGCATCAATCGCTTCTAGCATTGTGTTTTAAATATACACAGGAACCACAAATACGACGGATAATTTTGCAGGCTGCTCCTGGGATTACCTTGTCATTACACGTTCCTTGCACAGGAGTAAGTCTACAAGGAACAGCAAGTACAGCAACTGCTGTGCGATCTGTTTCCAGCGTGAGGGACAGAAACGGTTATGTAACAGCACTTCCGCTGCCCCCTATGGATGTGCCCTTTATGACACAGACACATCTGACTTTCAAAATAAAGAGGGACAGTTACCCCCGACCCTCAAAGAGCACAGCCTGAGCCATGCCATGAAGCCACCTCCACCTCCTCTTTGTTGGAGGATAAGGCACACCAAGTGCTCAGGCCCCTGCTCCCTTCTGCCCACTCCTGCCAGCTGTCTTGCACTTTGACCCCAGGCACAGCAAATGACCAGCAGCTGCAGGGATGCTGAGTTCTATCATCCAGCCTCCAGGCCTGCCCAAGGCCACTCTAAGCCCAGAACAGGCTTCCCAGCCTGAACTCCTGCTTTTCACTTACCCTCTACTGTCTGGTAAACCTCAGTTCACAGCCCCTTGTCTGGGCACAGACCTGCTTCCACACCACAGTGTGTCCACAGCACCCTGGACCCAGGCTTATCAGCAGGCCTTACACCAGACAAAGACTGTTTCCCTGTGTGACTCCCACCCCCACCTCCCTTGCCCAGATGGTCCCTGAGTGAAGGGCTCTGTCTCATTCCTCTGTGGTTCCACACCTGTGGGCCCAGTGTCTGGTCCACATTAAAGACAGCCCATTGACCTAAAGGTGAAACCTGAAACTAGAAAACCTCTAGAAGAAAACAGGAGAAAACTGTTGTGACCTCGAGTAAGGCAAAGATTTCTTAGTTACAACACCAAAAATATGAGCAATAAAATAACTAAGATAAAAAAACAAAAAAACCCACCTGATTAATGGGATACTGTCAAAATTTAAAACTTATGGTCTTCAAAAGACATTGTCAACAAAATGAAAAGACAAGCCATCAACTGGAAGGGAAATATCTGCAAAACACAAAACTGATAAAGGACTTGAATCTTGAATTCTTGAATAATAACCATTTTTGTTATTATTTGTTACTTTTATTTTTTATTTATTGAGACGGAGTCTTCCCCTTGTCGCCCAGGCTGGAGTGCAATGGCAACGGCACAGTCTCGGCTCACTGCAACCTCTGCCTCCCAGGTTCAAGCAATTCTCCTGCCTCAGCCTCCCGAGTAGCTGGAATTACAAGTGCCCTCCACTGTGCCCGACTAATTTTTATATTTTTAGTAGAGACAGGGTTTCACCATGTTGGTCAGGTTGGTCTCAAACTCCTGACCTCAGGTGATCTGCCCGCCTCGCCTCCCAAAGTGCTGGGATTACAGGCGTGAGTCACAGTGCCCAGCCTCTTTGTTATTTTTGTTAAAAATAACAAATGATGTCCATATTAATAACAAATAATAATAATAAACTGCACAAGGCAATAAAAAATGACCAAATATTTAAATAAAAACTTCACCACACAAGATATTTGGATGGCAAATAAGCACATGAAAAAATGCTTGACATCATTAGTCATTAAGAAAATGCAAATTGAAACCATAAGAGCTATCACTACACACCTACTAGAATGGCTAAAAATTTAAAAACAAAACAAAACAGTATCAAGTGCTGGCAAGGATATGGAGCAACTGGAACTCTAATACATTGCTGGCGGAAATGCAAAATGGTACAGCCACTTTGCAGTGCTGAAGTTTCTTAAAAATTAAACATATACAATCCATTAATCCCACTCTTCAGTATTTATCCAAGAGAAATAAAATTTGTATTCACACAAACATCTGTAACACTAATGTTCATGGCAGCTTGATTTCGTAACAGCAAAAGTCAAGCAACCTAACTCTCCCTCAACAGTGAGTGGATACATAAACTGATGCATCCCCACATTAGACTAGTACTCAGCAATAGAAAGAATGAACTCAGCAATAAAAGTGAATGAATAGCACACACACAAAAAGGATGTATTTCAAATGCACTATGCTAAGTGAAAAAAGCCTAAACTCAAAAGGCCACCTATCTACACAAATCTTACCCATCTTTAAGTCCCAGATCAAATGTCAGTTCACCCTTGTAGTCTTATCTGCCATCTCCCCACACCTACAAAGACAAATGTGATTTGGTGTTGCTCTAAATTCCAAGCATTTTGTCTATGTCCTCTCTTGTATGACTGTATATGCCAGTTATGTCTCTCCAACTAACTGGAAGTGCCAACTCTGATTCGCCTTTGCATTTAAAAGGAAAGGCAAATCAGTGGCCCCACCAGCAGCTGGCTGGCATTCAGACCCCTTCTGCTGTGCCTGCTGCCTAGCATCTGGATCAATGCCTTACATATGAGAAGTGTTCAGAAATTTTGTTTGATGAATTAACAAAAAATTAAATGTCCCAGGTGACCTGTGTCAGATATAGTTGGTGTGGTCAGGACTCAAAGAATAATACAGTCCAGGAGTCTGGACTAGATGTCTCTTAGTACTATTTTTAGATGGATGAATGAACGAACGAACGAACGAACGAACGAACGAACGAACGAACGAACGAACACCAAAGGACACAGCAACCAGTGCTAGAAAGAAGCCCACTAACAGGCTATGGTGTGTGAGCACAGTGGGTGCTGGAGGGGAAAGTGGCATCTCACTGAGACTCTAGTCATGGGCTGAACTGTGTCCCTCCCCGCCACTCCCTTCCTATGTTGAAGCCCTAACCCCTAATGTCTCAGAATGTAACTGTATTTGGAGAGAGGGTCTTTCAAGTGGTAATTAAGGTGCAATGAGGTCATATGGTTGAGCCCTAATCCAGTATGACTGATGTCCATATAAGAAAAGATTAGGACACAGGCACACACAGAGGGATAACCATGTGAAGATACAAGGTGAATATATATATATATACACACATATAGTTTGAGACAGGGTCTTGCTCTGTTGCCAAGGCTGGAGAGCAGTGGCATGATCATACCTCACTGAAGCCTCAAACTCAACACTCAAGCAACCCTCCCACCTCAGCCTCTTCAGTAGCTGGGACAAGGTGCGCACCACCACGCCTGGCTAATTTTTTTCTTTTTTGAGAAATGGGGTCTCACTGTGTTGCCCAGGCTGGTCTCAAACTCCTGGGATGAAGCAATTCTCCTGCCTCAACCTCCCAAAATAACACCTTGATTTTGACTCCAATGTCTGCTTCCAGTACTGTGAGAAAATTAATGTCTTTTGTTTAAGACCTACAGTCTGTGTTACTTTGTTGTGAGCGACCAAGCAGACTAATACAACTCTGAAGGATGGGTAGGAGGTTGACATGTGAAAACTGGAGGAGAGGGCATTCCAGGTGAGAAGAGGAGCACCCCCAAAAGCAGGCAAGGAGTAGTGCTGTTTGGCCACAGCGCGCGAGCACGGTGGAAGTTGTGCAAAATGGCACTGGAAAACAAGAGTGGCGGTGGATGGCGGAGGCCCAGAACGGCAGGTTGAAGAGCTGAGGCTTTGAGGGTGCCTTTTCCCTGTCTTGACTGGTAACAACTCAGTATCATCTGTGATGGAAGGAGGCAGCGGGAGCAGCAGCAGGAGTCTGAACGGCCAGCCAGCTGCAGGTGGGGCCACCGTGGCCTCAACTGGCACACATGGGCCCCAGGGGCTCCTGGGGTGGCTTTGGGGGCAGCAAAGGTTTGTTGATTGAAAAGTTGTGTGTGTGTTGTAATGTGGGAAACTCAGGGCCCCAGCATAGCTCACCTGTGAAAAGTTACAGCACGGATCAGAGCAACAAACACATCACGGGATCCTGACGCCCAGAACGCTGCACCCGTGGGCTCTACATTCCGGACAGATCCCAGTCCAGCCCAATCTTCCAGATGCCACCACCCCTCTAATTCACCTCCATCCTCTCCTCAGCCCTCTCCCTCCACCTGGCTAATCTTTCCACACTAACCACAATGATCCTTTAGCAATGTAGGTCAGATCCCATCACTCCTCTGCTCAAAGCCCTCCAGTCGGTCCCTGTGTCCCTTGGAATAAAACGCAGGCTTCCTCCCATGGTTCACACGCACACCCCACATCCCCGCTCCCCAGGCCCTCCTCTCCCCTTCATTCCCTGTGCTCTGCTGCACTGGGAAAAAAAACCAGGCCCAAAACGAGTCGTGGGAATTCACTCGTTTACACAAACAGCTGGGGACTGTCTCATTCATTTGTTTGCTCAAGAATCATTCTGGAAGCACCTCCTGTATCTAGGCACTGCAGTAGGCACCAGGACACAGGATGGACAAAACCAAACACCACCCCTCCCCACCTGGGGCTCACCATCCAGTGTAGGGAACTATCAAATGGCCTTGAAAATACCAGATATCAATTGGGAAAATGCTACTAAAAAGTCACACAGTGACAGAAGAGCTTATTCAAGGGGCACATGACCCAGCAGGAAGGAAAAGACCCTTTGGTGACCCTTCCAGGATAAGAAGCATGAACTAGATGACAAGAGGGAGAGAAACTCACAGGCACAGGGAACAGCAAAGCAAGGAGGAGGCATACTGGGGCAGGAAGGAGAATGCAAGTTTGGGGCAGGGGTTTCAAGTTCCTGCAGCTACAGGGGTGACGCCGGCAAGAAGGACCACAGGAGGGCCCCAGTGACCACCCCCCCCTGCACTGATCCCATCATGTGGGCCTGGCCCTCCTCAGGATGGCCAAGGGATGCCCAAATCTCTCAGCATCCCAAGCCAGTTCAAAAAAGCTGCTGTACCGCCTTCTTGTCCTGGGGCTCCTCCCATGCAGTAAGGGCTCGCAGGCAGCACAGGTGAAGCCAGGAGGACTTCCTTTCCCTATGTTCGACCTCATCAGTAAGACCCGGAGAGGCCCTCAAGCTCCTAGACTCAAGACAACCCGAGACCCTCCCCACGAGAGTCTCATTCTTTACCCACTGCGAAACCTCCCCGAGACTGCCTTCCCCAAGAGGCAGCAAGGTAGGCCGCTTGTTGCTCCTCTGCCCCAAGCCATTTATGTCGGGCACTTGTGGCTCTTCTCGTTATAAGGAGGCCCGTTACTGTAGCAACCAGATGTGGCTCCCGCAGTCTGTCTCAGAGGGACCCTCTGATCCCCCGGGTTGTAATGTGTTGCTGGCTTATCTCACGCTTGTAATTAAACAAAATAAATAAATGCTCTGCAGTCTCTCCCTCTTTCTGTCATCTCTTTCCTACAGTGTCCTCCCTGAGTTCACTGACAAGAGAGTCCCCCTGCCAGCTAAATATCTAATCCTAATACATTCCCTTTCTCCCATATAAATAGCATCCCTTTGTGATCAGAGCAACCCCATGCATGCCTTCTAGACCACATTCAAGAGTTCTGCCTTCATTACCTATCATCCTAACTTTTAAATTTAGCATCATTTCATTTTCATTGTTTCTCACTTGCGGTTAAGTCCTTTCAAGATACATTAATAATGTTAAGTCAGTTTTAGGAACTGTAATAAGTAATGGTAGTTGACAATGGCAACAACTGTGAAAAGAGGCATTAAAGAACTAAAATCTGGGAAACAGTGGTCCCAGTGAAAGGAATGAAGACATGGCGGTAGGGGTGCGGAGAAAGGGATGGAATGGGAGAGACTGCAGCGATGCAGGCTCTCCTCAGAGGACCCTAGTTTCCTTGCGCCTCCTGCCCACCCAGGGAAAGGATCCCTCCCTCTGTGACTCTCCACCACAGCCCCCAATGGCAGCTTCGCAGCCACCATCACAGTGATATAATTCATCAGTGTTTACTGTCCCTCCTCCCCAACCCATGCGTAGGTCCCTGGAGGCTGGCACGTTCTCTTTTGCTCACCCTTGTCTCCCTAGGGCCTAGCACACTGCCAGCTCAGACTGGGTGCTGGATGTCTGCTGGGTGGATAATGGATGAAGGGCTTATTTTGAACCTCAGATGACAATCTTTTAAACTAGAGAGGCCAGGCACAGTGGTTCACGCTTGTAATCCCAGCACTTTGAGAGGCCAAGGTGGGAGGATCACTTGAACCCACAAGTTCAAGAACAGCCTGTAGTAAGCCTCTATACCTACAAATAAATAAATTAGCCAGGCACGGTGGTGCACACCTGTAGTCCCAGCTACTCAGGAGGCTGAAGTGGGAAGATCTCTTGAGCACAGGAGGTTGAGGCTGCAGTGAGCTATAATCTCATCACTGCACTCCAGCCTGGGTGACAGAAGAGACCCTGTCTCTAAAAATACATACATAAATAATAAATCAATAAACCAGAGATAAGGAACACATGTTGGAAAAGAAAGTGAGGAGCACAGTGCCTCGGGGGCGTCTACGAGCCGTGTGTGGGGACGCAACTGCACAAAGCCTGAAAACAGGCACAGGAGATGGAAGAGGTCGGCGCCCATCAATAAAGCAACTTTTCCTCCATGCCTCTTGGGTTGCTTCCTTTTCTAAAACATAAGTTAAGACCTTTAAGCATCTTTAAATACTGCCACCAAATTCTTGTTCTTCCCAAAATCTGTCACTCACTTTCCCAACCTTGAGCTTCTACAGCTAGCATCCTGCTCCCAAGAATCTTCTTGCCTGTGGGCCCGGAAAAATGCCTGTTTATTTACTTTATACAAATGCACAAATTCAGACTCATGAAATATTCAAACACAGAAGTATATCTAGCAAGAGGAAAAAGCAACCTGGCCCTTAGTCTACTTCTCTCTCCAGAGGTGACACAGGAAACAACAGTTTGATATCACACATCCAGTGCTTTTTATTAAATGAATTTTTATATACATACAAATAAAAATATATAGCTTATATTTTTAACATACAATTTTTAACATAAATATGTTTGTATTGTTTATGCTTACTTAAAAACATGTACAGTGTTTTTCTAAGACAAATCAAAGGTATGCATATTTTACCTTTTGATAGATTTTATAAATTTGCCATACAAAAAAGCTTTACTAATTTTTGTTCCCATTGGTTATGATTGCCAGTTCCCATCTTCCTATGATTCTCTCTATGCTGGAACATTATTCATATTTTCCATTTTTGCCAATGTGTTGCATGGGAAATGACACGTCATGAGTATTTGAATTTGCATTTCTATGACTATTATTGAGGTTGAACATTGCATGTTTATTGGCCTTCTATATTCCTTTTTCTAGGAATTGCTTTTTTATAACCTTTGCCCATTTTTCTTTGGTGTCTGTTTTTTCTAGTTGATTGCTGGGATCATTTATTATGAGTAGTACTCTTTGTGGTATGTGTGCTGCATGTATTTCTCTCAGCCACACGCTTGTCTTTCAATGTACCAAGTTTTTTGCATATGCAACTCAAACGTGTCATTCTTTCCCTCTGTGGCTAAGACAACCTTTCCTGTCTCCCAAGATTACATGAAAGGTTGTCTTAAGCCATAGAGGGAAAGAATGACATGTTTGACTCTATAAAAATACATATGTCTTTTTATGTATATATGTAATATAATCCATACTCATGTATATAGAGTCATCTATATATGCTTCAAATACTTTCTCTACACATCTACCTACATCAAATACTTTTTCAGTGTGTGTGTGTGTTTTAATTTAGCTTTTGTTTCCTCACTCCAACAACCCTATGGAATAGAAACTATTATTAATTTTATCCCCATTTTACAGATAATAAGACTGAGGGACAGAGAAGTTAAGGCTGAGCAATCTGCCTCCAGTGCCTATGGGCTTAACCAGAATCTTATGTTGCCTCAGTATTACTCCACACAACTCATTCTCTCTACATATCATAAAAGCAACAGGCTAGGTGCGGTGGCTCACGCTTGTAACCCCAGCACTTTGGGAGGCCAAAACAGGTGCATCACCTGAGGTCAGGAGTCCGAGACCAGCCTGGCCAACATTGCAAAACCCCACCTCTACTAAAAATACAAAACTTAGCCAGGCGTGGTGGCGGGTGCCTATAATCCCAACTACTCGAGAGGCTGAGGCAGGAGAATCGCTTGAACCTGGGAGGCAGAGGTTGTGGTGAGACGAGATTGTACCACTGCACTTCAGCCTGGGCCACAGAGCAAAACTCCATCTCAAAAACAAAAAAACAAAACAAACAAACAAAAAAAAGCCACAAAAGCTATCACAGTGCGATAATGGCGTAGAAACAGATTGCTCCTATAAATAATCAAATAATCCAGAAAAATCATATAATAGAAAAGCTGGAGGTATAAAAAGAGAAAATCATAAAATATTAGAAAACATAAGAGTTGCTCATAAATGATATTGGAAAAACTGGTTAGCATTTTTTAAAGCCAGTTTAAATTTACTTTCACATCATCCATGAAAGAAAATACTAGAAGAACATAAATGCCTTAAAAGCAGAGAACTTAGATCTCTAACATAGAAGACTTACGAAAAAAATGAAACCAATTTGACTACATAAAAATGTTAAATGACTGCATGTTTTTTAAAAATTTTAAAGAGGTAAACAATAGACTGGGGAAAATAACTGACAAAAATATGGCAAATAAATCTTACCCATATAAATTGGCCCCAAAAAGCCAGCATTACGATCCCATAAAATGATCAAAAGAGAAAGTACAACTTGTAAACAAGCATGTAAAAAATGTTCAGCCTAGCTGTATTAAAAGAAATGCAAAATACCATAAAGAGGTTCTGTTTTTCTTACTCTTTTTTCCCTGTGATACTGTCGGCTGGTTCTGTTTTTCTTACTCTTTTTTCCCCATGATACTGTCAGCTGGTGGAATGGATGAAATTAAACAAGTGCTCCCCCACACTGTGTTGATATAAAGTAATTTAGCAACACACACCAAGCACCATTAAAATGGTCATGCCCTTTTACCCAGTAATCCCACATCTGAAAATCTACCCTACAGATACAACCCAAAAACATAAGGAAAGTTCCATGGACAAAGACGGTTACTAATCTATTACTTATAATAGCAAAACACAAAAAAGGAAAAGCAACCTAATTTTAAAAAACAGGGAATAGTTAAATAACTTATGGACCAATCACTTAAGAAAATATTTTATGCCATTAAATATTTGTCAAACCAGGCTGGGTGCAGTGGCTCATCCCTGTAATCCCAGCACTTTAGGAGGCCAAGGCAGGCAGATCACTTCAGCTCAGGAGTTCAAGACCAGCCTGGGAACCATAGTGAAACTCCATCTCTACCAAAAATACAAAACTTAGCTGGGCATGTTGGCACACGCCTGTAATCCCAGCTACCTGGGAGGCTGAGGTGGGAGGATAGTTTGAGGCTGGGAGGCAGAAGTCACAGTGAGCTGAGATCACGCTACTGCACTCCAGCCTAGGCGACAGAGTGAGACTCTGTCTCAAAAGAATAATATAGTAATAATTGTGAAACTATGTAACAATTTTAAAGCCTTATGCTATAATATCTAGTTGTACAGGTAGAAAGAAATATATAATTTTTTTAGAACAGGGTCATACTCTGTCACTCAGAATGAAATGCAGTAGTGAGATCATAGTTCATTGTAACCTTGAATTCCTAGGTACGAGTGATCCTCTGGAGTAGCTGGGACTGCAGGCATGCAACACCACACCTGGCTAATTATTTATTTACTTATTTTAATTTTTAGTTTTTTGAGACAGGGTCTTGCTATGTTGCCCAAGGTGAAATGTAGTGGCATGATCACAGCTCACTGTAGCCTCAACCTCCTGATTTCAAGCGATCTTCTTACATCAGCCTCCTGAGTAGCTGGTGCTACAGGTGCACATCGCCACACTTAGCTTGTGTTTTGATTTTTTTGTAAAGATGAGGTATCACTATGCTGCCCAGGCTGGTCTTGAACTCCTGAGCTCAAGCGATCTACCTGTTTCAGCCTCCCAAAATGCTGGGATTAGAGGCATGACCTACGACGCCCAGACCTGGCTAAATTTTTTTACAAAATTTTGGAGACAGTGGCCTTGCTATGTTTCCCAGGCTGTTCTCGAACTCCTGGTCTCAAGCAATCCTCCTTCTTCTCCTCCTGAGTAGCTGGGATTTCAGGTGCAAGCCACTGCACCCAGCAAAAAATCCAGAAATTTTAACAGTTGCTTTAAAGTGTGGGATTAAGTCACTATTTTCTCCAATTTCTGAATTTACTGAAATGCCGTATCAGAGCATGAGCTCTGGATTGAGACAGACTTGAGTTCCCATCCTGGCTGCACCACTCACCTACCTGCCCACCCATCTCTCTGACCTCTCTAGGCCTCCACATCCTCAGCTATTAAGTGAAGACCAAAAAGGTAGCTACCTCATGGGGCTGCTGGGAGAATCAAATGAGATGATGTTGTACAGTGAGAGCTCAAAATTACTTAGATCATTTAAAAAAATGTTAATGTATTGGGGCCAGGTGTGGGGGCTCACGCCTATAATCCCAGCACTTTGGGAGGCCAAGGCAGGTGGATCGCCTAAGGTCAGGAGTTTGAGGCCAGCCTGGACAACATGCTGAAATGTTGTCTTTACTAAAAATACAAAAATTAGCTGGGTGTGATGGCATGCGCCTGTAGTCTCAGCTACTCGGGAGGCTATGACAGGAGAATCACTTGAACCTGGGAGGCAGAGGTTGCAGTAAGCCGAGATCAAGACACTGCACTCCAGCCTGGGTGACAACAGCAAGGCTCTGTCTAAAAAAAAAATAACATATTGGAAAAATAAAATTGGAATGAGGAATGATACTTCACAGGTGGTGGTTTATTTCAAATTCCAGGTTTTCAAATGAAAGTTTAGTATTGCTTATTTTGCACCCCCTCTCCTGCCTTGGGGGCTCCTCTGTTTAGACAGGCTTCCATGTTAACTCACTTGGTAAAGGAAAGGTTAAAGGAAGTGAAACACGGCTACTCTAAAACAGAACCACAGAGACACAGAGTCCATGGAGCTGAGCTGTAAAGGAGCAGAAGCAGCCACACCAGTGAGTTCTGCAGCTAGAGCAGCACCTTAGCATTCTATCGAGAAGGGGTGGAAGCCACATTTCCCAAGAAAACTTAGTGTGGACCTTCTGCACCGCTGAGCTAAACATTTTATACCTATAGGAAATTAGAGTCAGTGGGACAAGGAAATAAAAAGCAAAAACTTAATTTCTAGAAAATAGAGTGGGTAAGAGAGATTTTAAGGTATCTTCAGCCCTGTGATGGGATGTGGGGGAAAAACAATCTCAAGTAACCATATAATAAATAACTTCCCAGAAAAGCCACCAACTTTATCATATTATTGCTTGAAACTCTGCCATCTGGGCTTCACAAACATCTCATTTCAGACCCTAACACAATGTATGTATTGCCCAGATGTTGAGCATTGCGACATTATCAGACCCTCTGCCAGACGACAGGGCACACTACAGTGCTGATCTCCTCCAAGGGGAGATGACTCGAGAACGTTCCAGGGGCTAAGCACTAGTCGAGTGGGCGGTTCTCTCCACAGGACCTTAGACATCCCACACTTGGCAAAAGGAATGCACAGAAGCAGCCCTATTCACCCTGGATGGGAAAATAATCTCCACGCTGCTACTAATTAGTACCCACAGGGCTTCTTTTCTAAAGAACTTCATATATTAACTTGAAGTTGGCATTAATCATCCTTTCCTTGCAAGATAAAACAAGTGAGAAAAGATCATTTTCTTTCAACACGTCAAAAGGTGGGTTTCAAATCCTTTTTCAGCCCCCCAAAATCATGCATGTGGCATTAACTTATCCAGTCCATGCACCACGGGAGAATGTATTCACACTGCCTTAGTCACACCAAGATCCACTGGGTCTGTAAGACATTGTACCTAAAGCAGAAGCACCTCTTCCCCAGCTATCCTAAGATTTTCCATCTCTGTCTTAAATAATAACCAACGATGTACTTACTGCAAAAACTCTGCTTCTCCTGCTTCTCGGGAGCTGCCGACCTCAATCAGCAAGTCAGCCACTCTATTCTGGGTTTGGTGCTGGCCTGGGAGGAAAACCACACTCGGAGGGGGCCGGGCAGAGAGCGCTTGAGCAATGCTTCACTCAGGAAGCAGGCGGGCTCTGCTCTCCCCAAGTTCTGATGGCCTCTCCCCGTCTCTCTCCTGCCTCTCACAATCTCTCTCTCTCTTCTCTTTCTTACATGCATACATGCACAAAGTGCAAAATCATATTTCCATCCTACTTGGTCCTCAATGCTTAATTTGTACCTCTCCAAAATGTAAGGGTTTCAAGATGTAGGCTGGCTAGCTGCTGACTGCTCCCTGAGATATCAAACAGATTTAAAAACAAAAACAAAAACTCAGTCTGCTCTTCACAAATGGATTTACCCTGAAGCTTCAGCCACGCCCCACCACCTTGCCATGACCCTGTGAACACTGTGAGTTCTAGGTGGGAAGGGGAAGTCGGGCTACAACCAGGAAGCATATCACAGCAGGGGCTTCTGGTGAGCCAACTAAAGGGATCTCAAAGGTAGGCATCGGAAACTCCTAGGCTCCAATAATTTGTTGCAATTTTTTTTCGTTCTAAATAAATCTTTTCATACTTAATTTTGAATTCAGGGAGCTCCAAAATGATATGGGCATCCTCACAAAGCCTGGGGTCCACGTTCCCTGCTACTACGGATGGCCTAGAGTAAGCCCCAGTGACAATGGGATCTACTGCAACAGGGACCAAATACACTGCCCAGAAAAAAACACCGAAGAAATGTTGTGAAGGTAAACAAGCAACATGTGTTATATCCACAGGCACCAAGAACTCTATCAGCGGGCCTGGGCTAAGCTTAGTCATTGCCACAAGCTGCATTTTAATTGCTATTTTACTGGATAATAGGTGTGGAAGGCAGCCAGTCTGCTCTTGCATGGCAGAGAGCTCTTATATAGCAGGTGGCATGGGTTTGCAGAGCCTCTGTGACATAGAATCCCCCATGTTCACTATAATTCTAACCTCCATACTCAGACTCTGTCATTCTAATGGACAGAGTGCAGTAAGGAGTTCAGAGCCGGCCTGGCCTGGCACGGCAGCCCCATGCCCCACCTGGCCAAGGCTGCTGCCTCTCATGGCCATCCAGCTTTGCCTTGAAGGAGACAACAGGCACAATGCACTGAACCTGCTCTTACTGAGGAACACCCACTCTCCTGGGGGGCAAGGGGCATACAGGGTCCTAACTCATCTGGGTGACTCCCCATGTGGCACCATGGCACAGACACAGGAGGTGGTAGTGGTTGGGACTCTGCAAATGACAGACACCTAACTCAATTTTGCTTAAGCAAAATGGTGAGTTTGTTGGCTTTACTGATTTAGGAAAGTCTAGGATGAATTCAGGCTGGCTTTAAGCCAGCTCTAGACCATGAGGTCCAATGATGTCATCAGGAATGGTTTTGAATCACCTCGTAGCTTCACTCTCCTAAGCTGGTATCATTCAAACACAGGTGCTCTGAGGATAGGAAGGCCTTGCCCAGCAGCACTGCAAGACTAGAGGTCTTTAGCATTTGAGATTCCAGATTAGAGAGTCTCTCCCAGAAAAGAGCCTGAGGTGATACACTGTCCAACCCATTGGCCGTGGAGAGGGACCTGGATGATTGGCAGCTCCACTAGTTATGGGAAAAGCAGTTTCCAAAAGGAGAAAAAAGGCTAGGCAGAAAAAAAGTACAAGCTAGTCACTCAATAGTGTCTCAGATTATTAAGCCTTTCATGTGATCATGTCTTACTTCCCTCATTAGACTGTAAATCTATTAATAGAAAGATACACACAAAATGTTAACAGTGCTTATCTCTCAGACTGAGTGTCATTTACTTTTTAAATTCACATTGTAGCTTCTAAATTTTCTAAAATAAGTATGTATTCAACTGTATAATAAAATAATATACCTAAATAAGTTATCACGTTAAAAAAAATCCTACTTACAATAGCATCTATAAATAAACCTGGTAAGAAAGTTACAGTCGCCCCCCAAATTCATGCTTTACTGAATGACAAAAAAGAAGACTGGATGAAAAGCATACCATGCTCTCCCAACGGATATTCATTCTCTGCAAACAATTTTATAAATGTGTTGTAATTCCAATAAAAATTCTAATCAGATTAGAAATATGAAGAAAATTATTTATAAAATTGTCCTGAAATTCATCTGGTAGAATAATTGATTATTCTCTACAGAAGCTATCAAGTAACTTGATTCTTCTCTAAAGGAGAAAATTACACACACACACACACACAAACACACACAAACACAAACCACTTGTACTACCAGATAGTAAAATAGATCAGAAAAATAAAAAATTACAATGGCATGGTTCAGGAATAGAAAGATGAGCACTGGATCATGGCAAAGCCCAGAAATAAGAATTCAGATTATGACAAAGATGGCATGACTAATCTAGGATAAAGAATGGATTGTTTTAGCTGAGCACAGTAGTTGGTGTGAGCTTGTAGTCTCAGCTACTTGGGAGGCTGAGGAGGGAGGATTGCTTGAGCCCGGGAGATCAAGGCTGTAGCGCACTATGATTGTGCTTGCAAATAGCCACCGAACTCCAGCCTGGGCAACACAGTGAGACCCTGTCTCAAAAAACTGAAAAAGAAGAAAGACCACACGTCAACCTGGGCAACGTAGTGAAATTTTGTCTTGAAAAATTAAAAGAGAAAAAAGAAAGAAAATATAGGAGATTATCCTGAATAAGGTAGGAGAGGCCTCTCTGAGCCTATAGGCAAAGGCAGAATACATAAAGAAAAAACAGATGTGACTTACCTGAAAATTAAAAACCTCTGAAAAAAAAACCCCACTATAAACAACTTGAAAATGTCAATGACAAGATGAGACAAACATCTGTGCATAACCTTTGGTTCCATTATTCCATTTGTAGGAATGTATCCTACAAAAATAATCATGAATGAATACAAAGCTATCTGAGCAACAGTGATGAGCTTATCCTTGATTATAACAACAACAATGGCAAGAAAAGAAATAATTTAAAGTCTAATTGGTTAGATTATGGTATATCCACATAATTAAGCCTTATGCAGCCATTAAAAGTGATAATAGATGTCATATAGATAAAATATATAGATAAGATATAGAAAAATCCTCAACAAAATACTAGCAAACCAAACCTAAAAACATATATAAAGGATTATATACCATGACCAAATGGAATTTCTCCCAGAAATTCAAAGTTGGTCAAAATCAATCAGTATAATTTGCCCTAGTAATAGAATAAAGGACAAAACCACATGATCATCTCGATAGATGCAGAAAAAGCAGTAGACAAAATCCAACAGATTTTCATAATATAAACACTGAACAACTAGACATAAAAGGGAACTTCCTCAACTTGATAAAGGGCAAGTTCAAAACACTCACAAACTAACATTGTACTTTACGTGAAAATCTGATAGCTTTCTCCTAAGATCAGAAACTAGACAAGGGTGTCTCTCTGCTCTCACCACTTCTTGTCAACATTATACCAGAGGTTTTAGTCTGGACAATTAGGCAAGAAAAAGAAAGAAAATGCATCCAGATTGGTAAGAAAGTAAAACTATCTCTAATCACAGATGACATGCTCTTATATGTATAAAATCATAAGGAATTTACAACAAAAAAACCTCTTAGGGCTAATAAAGGAGTTCAGGAAGGCTGCAGAATACAAGATCTTACAAAAATCAATTGTATTGCTATATACTTGCAGTGAATAATCCAAATATACTCAGAAACCAATTACATTTATAGTAGTATCAAAAAGAATAAAATATTTATGTTTAACTATAAAATATTTATAAATGTTAATTATAAAATATTTATCAATATGTATGAGTAAGTGGAAAGTCTACACACTGAAAACTACAAAATGTCATTGAAAAAACTAAAGAAGTCAAGTAAATAAACAGACATCCCATGTCCATGTAAGACAGTCATATAGACCAATGGAATAGAATTGACAGTCCAGAAATGAACCCATAAATTTATGGGCAGTTGATTTTCAACAAGGATGCTAGGACAATTCAATGGGAGACAGTCTTTTCAACAAATTATGCTGGAATAACTGGATATCCACATATAAAAGAACAAAGTTAGACTCCTACCTCATACTATACACAAAAATCACCTCAAAGTACAAGAGCTAAAACTTTGTAATTCTTGGAAGAAAATATAGCTGTAAAACTTCATGACTATATTAGACAGTATTTTCTTAGAGATGACATCAAAAGCAGAAGTAAGCAAAGACAAACTAGATAAAGTGGACTTCATAAAAATTAAAAACCTTTTGCTTCAAAAGATACTATCAAGAAAATGAAAGGACATGCAGCCATAAAAAAGAACAAGATCACGTCCTTTATAGGGACATGGATGGAGCTGGAGGTCATTATCCTCAGCCTCCAGCTAATGCAGGAACAGAAAACCGAATACTGCATGTTCTCACTTATTAGCGAGAGCTAAATGATGAGAACTCATAAACACAAAGGAGGAAACAACAGACACTTGAGGGTGGAGGCTTGGAGGAGGGAGCAGAAAAGGTAACTGTTGGGTACTGGGCTTACTTCCTGGGTGATGAAATAATCTGTATAACAAACCCCTGTGACATGAGTTTACCTATGTGATAAACCTTCACATGTACCCCTGAACCTAAAATAAGTTAAAAAAAAGAAAATGAAAAGATAACCCACAGAATGGGAGAAATCATTTGCAAATCCTATATATGATAAGTGTCTAGTATCTAGAATGTGTAAAGATCTCTGAAAACTCAATAATAAAAAGACAAATAACCCAACTGAAAAGTGGGTAAAGGATCTGAACAGGTATTTCTCCAAATAGACTATACAATACAAGTGGCCAACAAGCACGTGAAAAGAAGCTCCACATTAGAAAAATCAATCATTAGGCATTATGCAAACCAAAGCCACTGGGAGATGCCACTCCACATCGACTGGGATGGCTCTAGCCAAAAGAACAGACATTAACAAGTGCTGGTGAGGATGTGGTGACACTGGAACCCTCATACATTGCCTACGTAAATGTGAAAAAGTACAGCCACTGTGAAAAACAGTTTGGGGAGTCCCTCAAAAAGTTACACCCAGTTACCATTATGACCCAGTAACTCCAGTCCTTGGTATATATCCAAAAGAATTGAAAACAGAAGTTCAAACAAGAACCTGCAGACAAATGTTCACAATAGCACTAATCACAGTAGCCATAAAGTAGAAAAAACCCAGTGGCCATCAGCTGTTGAATGGATAAATATAAAGTGTACATCCACACAGTGAAATATTATCCATCAGTAAAAAGGAATAATGTACCGATACATGGATGAACCCTGAAAACCTTATGTTGAACAAAAGGAGCCACACAGGCTGGGCATGGTAGCTCATACCTATAATCCCAGCACTTTGGGAGGCTGAAGCAGGCAGGTCACTTGAGCCCAGAAGTTTGAAACCAGCCTGGGCCAACATGGCGAAATCCTGTCTCTACCAAAAATACAAACCAGGGGTGGTGGTGTACATCTGTGGTCCCAGCTACTTGGGAGGCTGAGGTGGGAGGATGGCAGAGGTTGCAGTGAGCTGAGATTGCAGCACTGCACTCCAGCCTGGGTGACAGAGCAAGAACCTGTCTCAAAAAAAAAAGAGAAGCCACACACAGAAGACCATCTATTGTATAATTCCACTTCTACGCAATGTCCAGAAGAGGGGAATTCACACAAACAGAAAGTACTTGAGTGGCTGCCACAGGATGAGGGAAGGAGCGATGGAAGGGTGGTAACTGCCCTGGGTTTTCGGGGCGGGGGGGTAATGTTCTAGAATTTGACAGTGCCAACTATTGTATAACTTTGTGAAGATACAAACAAATCACCATATTGTTCACTTTTAAAAGTATGAATTTTATGGCAGTGAATATAAGTGAATACATGTTATCTCTATAGAAATATGATATATACTATAAATGTTAAAAATATTATAAATATGTAAACATTTATATAAATGTAAATATATGTGAATTTATGGCATCTCAATAGAGAAAGTGATACTACAAAATATCCAGTGATATGGAACAATGACGACAATATATTTTGGTGGAAAATACAAATTGTAAAGTGTATGCAGTAGGAGCTCATATTTACATTTAGGCATATAAAAAGACTGAAAAAAAAATCTATATATTAAGAATGGTTAGGTTGGGCGTGGTAGTTCACGCCTGAAATCCCAGCACTTTGGGAGGCCGAGGCGCATGGATCACCTTAGGTCAGGAGTTCAAGACCAGTCTGGCTAACATGGTGAAATCCTGTCTCTACTAAATACAAAAATCAGCTGGGCGTGGTGGTGTGCACCTGTAGTCCCAGCTACTTGGGAGGCTGAGGCAGGAGGATCACTTGAACCTGGGAGGCGGAGGTTTCAGTGAGATGACATCATTGGAATCTACATCTCCAAAAAAAAGAAAAAAGAAAGAATGGTTATCTAGGTGGTGGAATGATAGGAAATTTTAATTTTCTTTATGCTTTTTACATTTTTCTACACTGTCTACTATGAACATGTAACAGTTTTGTAATTTTTTAAAATCTATTTAAGGCTGGGCATAGTGGCTCACACCTAGAATCTCAGCACTTTGGCAGGCCAAGGCGGGAAGATTACTTGCATCCAAGAGTTCAAGACCCGCCTGGGCAACATAAAAGCCCTTATCTCTACCAAAAAAAAAAAAAAAAAAAATTTGATTAGCCAGGTGTGGTGGTATGGCACCTATAGACCCAGCTACTTGGGAGGCTGAGATGGGAGAACTGCTTGAGCCCAGGAGGTTGAAGGTACAGTGAGCAGTGACTGTGCCACTGCATTCCAGCCTGGGCAAAACTCTATCTCAAGAAAAAAAAAACTACTTAAGCATAACAACAATTATGTATCCTGACAGTATCAGACTCTATTTGTAAATTCATGGCTTATATTGCAGAAAGTAAATACAATTCCACCTGAGGAAAGCTTTCTTATTCGTAGAAATAATTAAACCCTGCCCAAGACATCCTTTGCAGGAACTCTCCTCCTGGATTCTGTAAAAACAGAGTAAGATGACCAACTATAATGGCATGCTGAGGTGTTCATTTGCAGGGAGACCGGGAAGTATCAGGGTAGCCAAGCTCCAGGAGCCGGATGGATGACTCCAGACCAATGCTCTTCCACTGAAGGAATCTCCGTGCAGGCTAAGTTCCTAAGTGGGCATCCAGCCAGCTCTGCACAGAACAAGAATTCCTAAATGCTAGCCAAAAATCAAAGCTTAAAAATGCTCTGTTTGCTCTTGGAAAACAAATTTATCAACCCTAAAAATAACTAGGAGAAAGGCAAAGATGAAAATGACTCTGAGTGAGTTTCAAACAGATGTTTGGCTAATTTTTGCAAAGGCTGTTAGAATAAGAGTCCTCAGAGAGGGGTACCTAGGAGACTCTAATGATTCAGGATGAAAGGGCACACTCCCATTTGTAAAAAAGGTAAAAAGCTTCATGAGTTTCCGAGTTTCACCTAGCCAGCAACAGATCCAGTTTTTATTATCAGAAAATGGGTATGGATAGAAATTGTTTATCTGATGGTATGTTGTTATGATTGACTGATAGATAGATATAGATACAGATATAGATATACATATAGATAGATAGATATAGATAACAAATTATAACAAGGACTATGGGCATTAGAACCGGTTCCTGGCTCCTGATGCCTATAGTCCTTCTTATAATTTCAGGGCACTTTAGGCCTCAGGAAACAGAATCTCTCTCTCTCTCTGAACTTCTCCTGTCCTTTCACGTGCCCAAGACAGGACCCTTCTCTAATTATGGGTCAGGAGTCCCTCAAACTAGAGAGAGTCCTAACTATACCCTAAAGGAAGGAATGTTACACAGAGAGACCAAGAAAAGTCTTGAAGAGACAGGCATGCTAGGTTTAGATCATGTACTTTTTGTCCAATCACATTTCTACATGGTTGTGGTGCCTATGCAATGAAGCCTCCATAAAAACCCAAAAGGTCACAGTTCAGAGAGCGTCTGGACAGCTGAACACCTGGAAGTTTCTGGAGGGTAGTGCACCCAGGGAAGGCGTGGAAGCTCTATGCCCTTCCCCATCCTTTGTCCTACACTTCTCTTCATCTGTATCCTTTGCGATATCCTTTATAATAAACTGATCAATGTAAGTTAGTGTTGCCCTGAGTTTTGTGAGCTGCTCCAGCAAATTAGTTGAACCCAGAGGAGTCATGGGAACCCCAACTTGAAGCCAGTTGGTCAGAAGTTCCAGAGGCCCAGACTTGAGACTGGTGACTGGAGAAGGAGGCAGCCTTGGGGCCTGAGTTTTGCCCTGTGGGATCTGATGCTCTCTCCAGGTAGACAGCGTCAGAGTTGAACTGGAGAACACCTAGCTGGTGTCCACTACTTCTATAGAGAAACCCCCATACATTTGGTCACAGAAGTCTTTTTCCGTGTTGATGACTGTTGTTGTGGTGTGAGAGCAGAGGAAAAACCCAGTTTGAGAGGGTTCTTCCAAAACAGGTGGGTTAGATCATGATTAATATACAAATTGTTAAACAAAATCTGAAATTTGACACAAGCATGTAGTTTAGAAATACATTGCTCTTCTTTCTAGTATCTATAAAGTCTGACTATAACTGCTCATTTCTACTAAGAGGAACTTGACTTCCATGATAACCAAACCATCTCTTTAGATGACTTTTTAATTTTGTTCTGAAGCATGACATTTTACCATAAGAAAGTACACAGGGAGAAGTAATTACAGAGGGAAACATACCACACCCGGCAAGGAGTGGTTAGTGAAGTTGGCCTTCTCATGAGCTATAAGACAAGGTTCATCATGCCCTCCCTGTGAAAACATAAAGGCAAGGGCTTTCTGTAAGTACATGGCTAGAAACAAGAAGTTTGTGGGCTTACAAGTTACAATACGCTGGTACATTTTCAGTTTTAAGAACAATACTGTGGTGCCAGGTGAATTCATATGCCGAAGGTCATGTAGCATGACCTTGAGAGGTCCCGTAGGGATGGAAGACGTCTGGCGCTGGGACAGATCCTCCTGCTGTCCTCCCACCCCAGCACTAAACACCCTCTGCTTCTAGCGTCATGTACCTGCCACCCACACTGTGCTTCCCTCCCAGGCTGTGTGAGGATACAATAAGGCTATGCATACATTTGCATTTGTTTAATTAGCCAGAAAGAGAAAAGCAGTTACCCTTTTGATTCCAAAGCAGATGTTAAACTAATTTGGGGAAAGAACAAGAGTCCCAGAGAGTCTGAAGAATGACTCATCGTCAATCCCCCACAAGTTTCATCACACTTGGTGGTGTGCCCGTTCTCTGACTCTCCTGCCATCAGGGTTCTGGATGTGCAATGCCCTTCTCTGGCCCCCAGCTGCTCCTCTTTTGGCTGTCCCAGCATCACACTCCCTCCGAGCTGGGTTTGCATGCTCACAAGAAGCTGAAGCCCCGACTCCTGTCTCTTCGTGGTTTTTTCCATGCCCTGCTGGTCTCACTTGCCTCACTGACTAGTCTGAAACCCCAAGATCACCTCCTTCTGCCAACTCTGGCCCTGCTTACTCAGCCACCAGCCAGAGACTGCCAACTCATTTTTCTTTGTTCCTGATCTAGGTCTCCAAACAGAACTGAAAAACCGAACTGCCCTGAGGCCATTTGGCCCTCAGCACCTCTAAGTGATTGTTTTATTCATTTCCAACTGTCTTCTTTTCAAACCTCTCAAAGCGTTTATTCTAAATGCCTTATTCTGTTGGCTAAGTTTAACTCAGAGGGAAGGGTTACTAGCCTGACTGTGATCTTAGGTCAAGCACTACTCTCTACTTCAGCCTTATTAACAAAGCTGATAGTCTGATTCAGTCTGCCTGATTCCTGACTCATTTCTTGATGGATTCTGAACTGCCTGTGTTTGTGATGGCAGTTGGGAGTGAGGAGGTGAAGGAGAATGATGCCAACAATTGTTTTCCTGACCCTCGACAACTATCTTTGAACCTTTGTTCCCACCTTCCTCTACATGAACGGGTCTTCTCTGAGTCCACAGAAAGCAGGATGAAGAATGAATAAAGATAAAAACGGCAATTAATTAAACAGAAAACATTTTTTAAATGACCTTGAAGATTAATAAAATGAAAAGCTGATGCTTTGAAAGGACTAACAAGATAGAACCTCTGGCAAATCTAATCAAGAAAGAAAAAAGGAAGGTACCCAAATTAGGAACAAGAAAGAGAACGTAATTACATATAAGGATTTGTAAACTAGGCAAAGCAGATCATTTTCTAGGAAAACATAGAATACCAAAATTAACTCAAGAAGAAACAAACAGTCCAACAGAAAAAAGGCAAAGGATATGAAAAGGCAATTCACAAAAATCCAAATGACTGCTAAACATAAGAAAAGATGCTTAACCCATCTAATAGCAACCAATATGAGCTAAAGCAATGAGGTATTTTTAAACCCATCTTGCAGACTAACATTTTAAGAAGAGATAAGACTATTAGCAAAAATATAGAAAATAGTCTCTTTCATGGCTCTTGAGAGGCAGTTGGGATGGGAATTATAAGGAGTGACTTCATATTTACTCTATATCTATATATTTGGCTTTTTATAAGAATGCGTTTCTTGGCTGGGCACGGTGGCTTATGCCTGTAATTCCAGCACTTTAGGAGGCTGTGGTGGGCAGATCACTTGAGGTCAGGAGTTCGAGACCAGCCTGGCCAACATGACGAAACCCTGTCTCCACTAAAAATACAAAAATTAGCCGAGATGGTAGCGTGCACCTGTAATCCTTGCTACTCGGGAGGCTGAGGCAGGAGACTCACTTGAACCCAGGTGGCAGAGGTTGCAGTGAGCCGAGATCCCACCAGTGCACTCCAGCCTGGGTGACAGATTGAGACTACATCTCAAAAAAAAAAAAAATGTATTTCTTGTGTTATACGTGAAATTTTGACCTGGTATGGTGGCTCATGCCAGTGGGGAAGCACTTTGGGAAGCTGAGGCAGGAGGATCACTTGAGCTCAGGAGTTTGAAACTAGCCTGGGCATCATAGCAAGGCCCCATCTCTAAAAAAAGTTTTTAAAAATTAGCCAGGCACAGTGGCACATGCCTGTAGTCCCAACTACTTGGGAGGCTGAGGTGGGAGGATCACGTGAGCACAGGAGTTCAAGGCTGTGGTGAGCCGTGATCACACCACTGCACTTCAGCCTGGATGAAAGAGGGAGAACCTGTTTAATTTTAAAATAAAAATACCTGAAATTTTTTGGATGGAAATGTTAAGCGTTTTAATGCACAAAGGTTAATGCTACGACTGTTACGGTATGTTTAGACTGGAGAACAAAATTTTTTTTTTTTTTTTTTTGACGACAGAGTCTTGCTCTGTCACCCAGGCTGGAGTGCAGTGGCGTGATCTCGGCTTACCTCAAGCTCTGCCTCCCAGGTTCACGCCATTCTCCTGCCTCAGCCTCTCGAGTAGCTGGGACTACAGGTGCCCACCGCCATGCCTGGCTAATTTTTTGTATTTTTTTAGCAGAGACGGGGTTTCACCGTGCTAGCCAGGATGGTCTTGATCTCCTAATCCACCCGCCTCGGCCTCCCAAACTGCTGGGATTACAGACGTGAGCCACCGTGCCCGGCCACAAAATAATTTGAAATAAAGACATAGACAAAATAGTTTATGGATCTGAAACATAATAGGTAAGAAAAAGGAAAAATAGAAAAGTAAGTAGCAAAGTGTAAACTGGATATGATACAGGAGAAAATAATATATACAAAGCATTAGTTCCAAGAGGGCAAAAATGCTGTCTTGTCTTTCAGAGTGCCTAGCACACAGCAAGCCCTTAATACATATTTGTTGAATAAATGAAAGAAAA
Organism: Homo sapiens; assembly: GCF_000001405.40. Classification (NCBI taxonomy): domain Eukaryota; kingdom Metazoa; phylum Chordata; class Mammalia; order Primates; family Hominidae; genus Homo; species Homo sapiens. The sequence goes on along the minus strand of NC_000017.11, from coordinate 20,061,742 downwards.
ATGGGACTGAAGTCAGTAAGTTATAGAAAACATTAAAAAATTTATGTGATTGGTAAGGAGAATAACTTAAAGACCTTCCAAATGTATCTGTCAAGAAATCAATTTCCTCATAGGCCTTGCTTAGCCAAGATTCCTGAGTGATGATCAACTAGGGGATTTACTTGTTTATAGCAATCAAAGGTTCAAGGTTCCCAAAGGTTGCATCTTTAAGGATCTACCAGGTGCACTCTCAGACTGGCCTCTACCATGGTCCTTGCCACCAAATGGCTACAGCCCAATGTACATACAACCTGCAGATGGAGGACATGTAGAGGCCCATGGAAGTTCAACAAAAGCTACACTGGGAATTCCTATTTCAAAAGAAACAAATGGGCCAAGTATGGTGGCTCATACCTGTAATCCCAGCACTTTGGGAGGCCGAGGTGAGTGGGTCACTTGAGGTCAGGAGTTCCAGGCCAGTCTGGCCAACATGGTGAAACACTGTCTCTACTAAAAATACAAAAATTAGCCGGGCGTGGTGGCGGGCACCTGTAATCCCAGCTACTCAGGAGGCTGAGGCAGGAGAATTGCTTGAACCTGGGAGATGGAGGTTGCAGTGAGCCGAGATCGCGCCACTGCTCTCCAGCCTGGGTGGCAGAGTGAGACTCTGTCTCAAAAAGAAACAAAGAAATAAATGAAACAATTTTGTTCACATATATTTCACAAATTTGAAATGTTAAAGGTATTATGGTCACTGATATCCTGTTTCATTCTTTATATAATCATTAAGTTTGAAATGTATACTTGCACTACTAACACAGTAGTTAATCTTAGTCCTACAAGTTACTGCTTTTACACAATATATTTTCGTAATATGTATGCACTGGTGTTTATGTACGTGTTTATGTTTATATCTGTTAAAATTAGCAGTTTCCATCTTTTTCTATTTTGTACCATCACATCAGTTCAGAAGGATTGACAGAGCAAAATGATTTGATGAAGTATAAAAGTCACATGGTGAGTGGCATAAATACAACTCTGAACAATTAGGAGGCTCACTATTGACTGGAACTAAACTGCAAGCCAGAAAGACACATATCCTATATGTCAAGAGATGTACCACCCAGGCAGTTAAAGAAGGGAAGTACACATAGAAAGCACAATGGTGAATAATTAAAAAATTGGAATTTATCAGACACTGGATTCATTTGCTCCTAAAGTCAGAGTCCTCTATTGTTTTTTTGTTTTTGTGGGTTTCTTTTTAAATTTTTTTATTTTTTGTAGAGTCGGAGTCTCACTGTGTTACCCGGGCTGGTCTAGAACTCCTGGCCTCAAACAAACCTCCTGCCTCAGCTTCCCAAAGCATTGGGATTACAGACATGAGCCACTGAGCCCAGCCCAGACGCTTTAGCATTTATGAAGCTTCTGAAATAGTTGTAGAAACCGCATAAGCTTTCCATGTCACTTTCAAAGTTTGATGGTCTCTTTAGTAAACCAACCAAGTTATTCCTCAAGGGCAAAATAACATTTCTCAGTGCAAAACTGATGCACTTCATTACCAAAAGGAAAAGACCACAACTATAGAGGCGTCATTGAAAGCTGCACTCTTCAGAGGCCAAAAAAAAAGGTACAAACACATACTAATGGAACATTCTTTAGAAGAGCCCCAAAGTTAATGATAAACATTTTCATCAAAGAGAAAAGAGAACAAGGTGTTAGCAAATTCCTCTATCAAATAACACTAAACATCAAGGAACATCAATGGCATGCCATGTGGAAGAGGAAGTGCTAGCTCATGTACAAACCAGTAGATAATTTCAACTTGCTGCCGAATGAAACCTCTTTGCAAGGTATGAATCAGCACTTCTCATGTTTGTTTTGCTTTGTTTTGTTTTGTTTTTAGAGACAGGCCCTTGCTCTGTCACACAGGCTGGAGTGCAGTGGCACGATCAGAGCTCACTGCAACCTGAAACTCCTGGGCTCAAGGGATCCTCCTGCCTTAGCCTCCCAAGTAGCTGGGACTACAGGCCCACCATGCCCAGCTAATTTTTTAAATTTTCTATAGAGATGGGATCTCACTAGCACCTTTCATGTTTGATGTTCATATACAACGACCAAGGTACAATGTGGAAAAGGGTCTCAGGGATCTAAAGTGAAGGAGGACCAGAAAGAAAAGGGGTTGCTACATAGAGTAGAAGAAGTTGCACTTCATGCCAGTCTACAACACTGCTGTTTTCCTCAGAGCAGAGTTGATGATCTAAATCAGGGGTCCCCAACCCCCAGTTCATAGCCTGTTAGGAACCGGGCCACACAGCAGGAGGTGAGCAATAGGCAAGCGAGCATTACCACCTGGGCTTCACCTCCCGTCAGATCAGTGATGTCATTAGATTCTCATAGGACCATGAACCCTATTGTGAACTGAGCATGCAAGGGATGTAGGTTTTCCGCTCTTTATGAGACTCTAATGCCGGAAGATCTGTCACTGTCTTCCATCACCCTGAGATGGGAACATCTAGTTGCAGGAAAACAACCTCAGGGCTCCCATTGATTCTATATTACAGTGAGTTGTATCATTATTTCATTCTATATTACAATGTAATAATAATAGAAATAAAGGCACAATAGGCCAGGCGTGGTGGCTCACACCTGTAATCCCAGCACTTCGGGAGGCCAAGGCAGGCGGATCACGAGGTCAGGAGATCGAGACCATCCTGGCTAAAACGGTGAAACCCCGTCTACTAAAAATTCAAAAAAAAATTAGCCGGGTGTGGTGGTGGGCACCTGTAGTCCCAGCTACTCGAGAGGCTGAGGCAGGAGAATGGTGTGAACCTGGGAGGCAGAGCTTGAGGTAAGCCGAGATCACGCCACTGCACTCCAGCCTGGGCGACAGAGCGATACTCTGTCTCAAAAAAAAAAAAAAAAAAAAAAGAAATAAAGTGAACAATAAATGTAATGTGGCTGAATCATTCCAAAACAATCCCCCCACCCCAGTTCACGGAAAAATTCTCCCACAAAACCAGTCCCTGGTGCCAAAAAGGTTGGGGACCGCTAATCTAAATAATCTAATCTTCATTCAATGCTAAAAAATGAATAAACTTTTTTTTAAATACACGGTCTCACTTTGTTGCCCAGGCTGGAGTACGGTGGCATGATCACAGCTCACTGTAGCCTCAATCACCCAGGCCCCAGCGATCCTCCCACCTAAACTTCCTGAGTAGCTGGGACTACAGGCACGCACCACCATGCCCAGCTAATTTTTAAATTTTTTATAGAGATGGGGGTCTCACCATGTTGCCCAGACTGGTCTCAAACCCTGGGCTCAAGTGATCCTCCCTCAAACTCCTGGACTCAAGTGATCCTCCTTCCTTGGCCTCCCAAAGTGCTGGGATTACAAGCATGAGCCACTGTACCCAGCTGGATAAACATTTTAAGTCGCACTACAGTCATGGACAATCAGGCTTTTCAACATGCAGTATGGACAGTGAGTCCCAGGGTCTGCTTTTCCATACTGAAATACATGTGATACTAAGGAGAAAGGTGCTCGCAAGGATATTTAAAATGAAGAATATTTAAAATGAGGAAAAAACTGTTTCTTCATGACTTTGATAAGGCTGATAAAGACCATTTCTGTGATCTCAGGTGATTCACTCAAGTAGTATATTTCAGTAATCATTATCTGGAACAGCCTGAATCTTAACCAAAATACCATGATTTTTTAATGCTGTTATGATACCTTGATGATATGACCAAACTGCAATGTAGGCAGCTAAATCTCCACGAGTTTGACTTCCCCGAGAGTTGACAGTTTTCTTCACAAATTAAAGAAATATATTTTTTGATACATGATTGGCATATTTAAAAACTACACTGAAATGCTGCAAAATGATATAAAGAAACATTTTCCAGAATCAAATGCAATCAAAGAGTGGATTAGGAATCTACTCACCATTATCAACTAAATAGAAACACTTGGACTGGGTGTGGTGGCTCACATCTGTAATCTCAGCACTTTGGGAGGCCAAGGCAGGTGGATTGCTTGAGGCCAGGAGCTCAAGACCAGCCTGAGCAACATAGCAAAACTCTGTCTCTACAAAAAAAAAAAAAAATTAACCAGGCATGGTGGCAGATGCTTGTAATCCCAGCTACTCTGGAAGCTGAAGTAGGAGGACTGCTTGAGCCCAGGAGATCAAGACTGCAGTGAGCCGTGGTCATGCTGCGCCACAGCCTGAGTGACAGAGAGAGACCCTGTCTCAAAAACAAAAACAAACAAAAAACACTTAACCTTCCTGTTTTTTGCTGTTGTTGTTGTTGTTTGTTTGTTTTGAGATGGAGTCTCACTCTGTTGCCCAGGCTGGAGTGCAGTGGCGTGATCTTGGCTCACTGCAAGCTCTGCCTCCCGGGTTCACGCCATTCTCCTGCCTCAGCCTCCCGAGTAGCTGGGACTATAGGCGCCCGCCACCACGCCCGGCTACTTTTTTGCATTTTTAGTAGAGATGGGGTTTCACCGTGTTAGCCAGGATGGTCTTGATCTCCTGACCTCGTGATCCACCTGCCTCGGCCTCCCAAAGTGCTGGGATTACAGGCATGAGCCACCGCACCCGGCCAACCTTTCTGTTTTTTAGTTTGATATGCTTGTTAACTCAGCAGCTGAAAGAATGCTGAAAGTGGCCTTCAGTAAAAAAATTTCACTAGAATCTCTACATCCATATTTAATCTGAATGCATATCCAGATTGATCAGTTAGAGCAAAAACACTCATCATCATTCCTGATGACCTCTAATTCTGGTTTCGGCTTTCTATTTCAATGGAAACAGAATAAGGAAAGAAATGGAAGGGCTCTGGAAATTTGTCCTGGGCTATAGATACTATCAAAGATCACCAACAATAAGATCTCTCCTATAAATATAAAACAAGTATAATTAATTTTTTAATTATTTTTTTCTCTTCAGAGGATTTTATTTCAAGATAAAACATAACTTCTACCCATACTATTGATTCCAAAGGTTAGAAAAAGTGTTTTTCCTCATCTTATCCTTCAAAGAGGTCACAGCAATGCAAACATCTATAAAATGCCTCTGCATAATTGTCAGAAGCTATAGTCCAGAAATCATTGAAAATGCTTTTCCATTTTAAGCTTAGGTGAGGTGTCTTAGGAAACCTCTATGACAACTTACTCTATTTATTGGGAGGTAAACTCCCAGACTCTCCCAGGGTCTCCTGTATTGATCTCATTTTTTAGGCTTCCTAATCCCTTGAAGCACAATCGAAAAAGCCCTGGATCTCTTTTCTGCACATATCATCGCGGAATTCATTCGGCTTCCAGCAAGCTGACACTCCATGATACAAGCGGCCTCGCCCTTCTCCGGACGCCAGTCCTTGCTGCGGTTAGCTAGGATGAGGGGTTTGCTGGGCTTCAGTGCAGGCTTCTGCGGGTTCCCAAGCCGCACCAGGTGGCCTCACAGGCTGGATGTCACCATTGCACACTGAGCTCCTGGCAGGCTGTACCAATTTTTTAATTATTTAATATTTATTTTTAAAATTATGGTGAATATTTTGGTATTCTGCTCTAAAATAGGCCCATAAATGCACAGCAGATATCTCTTGGAACCCACAGCTTTCCACTGGAAGAACTAAGTATTTTTCTTTTAAAGATGCTACTAAGTCTCTGAAAAGTCCAGATCCTCTACCTCTTTCCATCCCAAACTAAGACTTGGAATTTATGAGAGATCTAGCTAACAGAAATCCCAGACACATCATTGGTTCTTCCCAGAGTGCAGTCCTCCTAAAGAGGCTCAGCCCTAAGCAGGCCCCTGCACCAGGAGGGTGGGTCTGAGACCCACATAGCACTTCCCAAGGTGCATGCTCCAGAGAGGCACTGAAACAGCTGAGCACAAGCCTGCAAGCCTGGAGAACTCTCACAGTCAGAACGGAGGGGGCCCAGTGGGACTAACATAAAGAGAAAAGGGAACACAGAGAAATGGATGGCACCAACAACCAGCAAAGCCTTCATGGCCAATGAAAGCATCAGTGACGGGGCCAGAACCCTCATCCCCAAAGACTCTTCACTGCCTTTAGTGAAAAACAATGGCTAGAGAGTGAAGTTATGATCATGTATAGAGAGGTAAAGTTACATTTTTATATTCTGACTCTGCTAATGTGAAATTCCCTATCTGCTAGACTAAAAGTTTCAGACACCCTGTTCAAATATCCCATTAGTTGCTAGAGACTTAAAATGAACAGAACGCACATTGTCAGGATGACTATTACCAAAAAATCAAAAGACAGCAAGTATTGGTGAGGATGTAGAGAAACTGGAACTTTTGTGCACTGTTTATGAGAATGTAAAATGGAGCAGCTGCTGTGGAAAAGAGTATGCAGGTTCCTCAAAGAGTAAAACCAAGATGTGGAAACAACTAAATGCCCATCAGTGGATGAAGGGGTAGACAATATGTGGTATATACATACCATGGAGTACTATTCAGCCTCTAAAAAAAAAAAAGGAAATTCTATAACATGCAACAGCATGGATGAATCTTGAGGACATTTTGCTAATGAAATAAGGCAGTCATAGAAAGACAAATACTGCACGACTCCACTTATATGAGATACCAAAAATAGACAAATTCATAGAATCAAAGAGTACAATGGAGGTTACCTGGAGCTGCAGGGCGGGAAACGAGGAGTTACTAATCAACGAACATAACGTTGCAGTTAAGTAAGATGAATAAGCTCTCAAGATCAGCTGTACAACACTGTACCTAGAGTCAACAATAATGTATTGTACACTTAAAAATTTGTTAAGGGTAGATTAACAAATGTAGTAGATCCACAAATGTGGTTAAGTGTTCTTACCACAGTAAAATAAAAAAAGAATATCAAGCCCAGGAGTTCGAGACTAGCCTGGGTAACATGGTGAAACCCTGTCTCTACAGAAAATACAAAAATTAGCCAGCTGTGGAGGTGCACTCCTAGGGAGGCTGAGGTGGGAGGCTTGCTTGAGCCCAGGAGGTCAAGGCTGCAGTGAGCCATGATTGCACCACTGTACTCCAGCCCAGATGACAGAGCAAGACACCACCCCCCCCAAAAAAAGAAAAAGAATATCAAACATTTTAAAAGATCAGATACGCAAGAACAACAACAAAAAAGAGATGAACAGAGCATCGACCCTCATCTAGTGGGATTCTTGGTCTAACTGAAAAACAGACATTGAGAGACAAACAATGACAGTGATGTGATCACAGCAATTACACAGGTATCCCCTGGGGACTGCAGAAGAAAGGAGGAATGCCTAACTTTCAGAAAATAGAGAAAGCGTCAAACAGTTGGTGAAAGCCTTCCAAAACTAGAGAGAACTGCACACACCAAATCACAGAAAGAAGAAAAGCCGTGGGAGATTCTGGGACCCACCGGCTATTTTTGATGGCTGAACACCCTGCTGCAGGAGAGACAGGAGCTGGAAAGCATGGTGGGATGAAACCTCAAACAGCTTTGCCTGCATTGCTTAAGATGACTGGGCTTGATTAACTCTAGTCAATGGGGACAATTCAATCAAAGAAGAAAGATGCTCAAATTCACATTTTAGAATGATTTTTTATGGCAGTATGGGGAATAGATTAAAAGAGAGTGAAGCTGGAGGCAAGAAACTTGTTAAGAGGCAACTGAAACAGTCTAGATGATAAATAATAAACTGACAGAGTGACTAGAAAAATCAGAACAGGCTGAATCAACAGATACCTAGATGAAAATAACAGGACTTGATCACCAGTTGTATCTTGGAGAGGAAGGAGTTGTTTCCTTGCTTTCCCTACGACTGGGAATACGGAAGGTTTGCCGTGTGTATTGGTTATATACTGGTGTGTAGCCAATCACTGACAACCATTTAGCAGCTTAAAACACAAAGGCTTATCTCCCAGTTTCTGTGGGCCAGGAATCTAAGATAGGCTTAGCTGGCTGGTTCTGGCTCAGAGTTTCTCAAGAGGTTGCAATCAAGATGTCAGCTGGGGTTGCATCATCTGAAGGCTCAACTGGGGCCGGAGGGTCCACTTCCAAGGAGTTCACTCACCTGCCTGACAAGGCAGTGCTGGTTGTTGGCAGGAGATCTCAATTCATTGCCAAGTGAGCCTCTCTATAGCATTGCTGGAACATCCTCCCCATCTGGCAGTTGGCTTCTCTCAGCATGAGTGATCTGAGAGAGAGAGCAAGGAGGAAGCCACAGTGTTCTTCCTACTCCTACTCCTAACACTATGGACCTACTCCTAACACTCTCACTTCTGCCTTATTCCATTAGTTAGAAAGGGAACTAAGCTCCACCTCTTGAAATAAGAAGTGTCAAAGAATTTGTGGATATATTTAAAAATCATCACACTGTGGAAGTGGATAGGGGGTTCAATTAATGCTGAACTTGAAATGCCTGAGACATTCAAATGTCCAACAGGCAATGAACATACCCATAGATGGTCATGACTTTAGCAAGAATAGAGGAAGATCACAGAATTAAGGAGGAATTGAAAGGTAAAAGAAGTGGAGTCAGATTCCCCCTGAAAAGTGAGCCATGAAAGGAACTTTAACTATTGAGTTAGAGGTCAGAGTAGGAAATTTCGGTGGAATTCTTTTTTAAAGAAAGGAACCATATAAGCATGTTTTGAGGTAGAGGGAGAATAAATCAGTAGACAGGGAGAGGTAAAAAACATAAATGATAGGGGATAGTTGACAAAGGTCTTGGCAGAATCCCTTACCCATTGACTTGGGGCCAAGAGAGGGACACTTCTTTGTTTGAGGGATAAGGAAAATAAGAAAGAATGGGTGCTATTTAGTGTGGTCCTGTCTCTAGGGCAAACGCATAGGTAACAAACTGTGTGTGTTAGGAATATAGATGTGACCTCACATTGAGATTCTCACCTCAAATCCATTTTGTTGTTACCTGTACCTTCCTACCTTCTCTTTTTGCTACATGCAGACTGCTGTTTTGTCTTCCTGGCCTGTTCCAGGTTTCAGCATTCTGGCATATCTGCTACCCTGTTCCCAAACCTCTCTAGAGTCCATGCTCCTTCCTTGGATAGTGTTTGATTGGGCCACGTATCTAAGAAGTGATGCCTTCAGTTAGGCCTGAGAACCTCCTCTATGGAAATCTCCATCAGTGACCCTGACAGACTTGGTATCTTGGAGATGTCACTGCTCCCAGCCTGTGGTCTAGGAGAATCTCAGCCTGGGCCTCTAGTAGTATGGATAAGGCGTTAAGGTATCTTTGAACCAGAGTCTGTCATATTCCTCAATGTGGGACAGATAAAACAGTGGTAGTGCTGGTGTTTCTGAGCTAGAACTCTGGTTTTTGGTCTAGATTCTTTGATGTATGACCTTTCAGAGGTATTAAAATTTGTTCTAATACAATGTTCAATACAAATGTAGTTCCTTTTCTGTTAGGACCTCAACAAAACATGACCAACTGTAGATGAACATTAAACTATGACAATTCATGGAAATGAATACAGTAATACCTGCGGTTCCCCCATTTTAGCAGTCACTATGGTGACATTTGGCACAAATGGCTATTTAAGGGTGCTTTTGTTAAAACCTACCATCTTACTAGGCACATGATATTGAAACTAATGAAATAATGGAGAAACTTCTTAAAAACTTTTAATGAATAAAGTGATGAAGTGATAATATTTTAGCTGCTATTTATAAAGTGACTATTACAGGTCAAACATTCTTCTAGGGTTTTTTTGTTGAAGTTGTCACATTTAATCCTTAATAACCCACTATGAGTCAGGTATTCTTCTCTCCCCTTTGGACAGTTGGGGAAATGGGGGTCAGAGAGGTTAGGTAATTTGCTCAGGGCCACACAACCTGCATGTAGAAAATCTGAGATTTGTACAGGAACGTATCAAACTCTGAAGTCCATGCTTCTATTTTCCCATGCTGCCTTTCTAATAAAAGGTAACTAATGCTACTGGATGCTGCCCCCAAAGTGAGTCACTTTCACCCCACCCTACTTGATTTTCTCCATAAAACTAATCACATCCTGACAACTTATTTATTGCTGATCTCCCCCACTAGATTATAAACTCAATAAAAGCAAGATCCTTGTCTGCTGAATATCAGTACCTAAAACGCTGTCTAGCACAGAGCAAGTAATTAATATTTGTTGAATGAACAAATAAAGGAAAAAAATTCAAAGGAAGAAAAAGCCCTAAAACAGATGTTTACCTAAACATACATTTTAAAAGAAAGCATATAACAAATTCAGGACAGAATTTAAATTTGATTTTTTAAAGAAATAACCAAGTGCTAGCTGGGCACAGTGGCTCACACCTGTAATCCTAGCACTCTGGGAGGCCGAGGCAGGCAGATCACTTGAGGTCAAGAGTTCAAGACCAGCCTGGCCAACATGGTGAAACCTGTCTCTACTAAAAATACAGAAATTATCCAGGCATGGTGGCAGGTCCCTGTAACCCCAGCTACTCAGGAGGCTGAGTCAGGAGAATTGCTTGAACCCAGGAGGCAGAGGTTGCAGTGGGCCAAGATTGCACCACTGCACTCCAGCCTGAGTAACAAAGCAAGACTCTGTCTGAAGGAGAAGGAAAGAAAGAAGGAAAGAAGGAAAGAAGGAAAGAAGGAAAGAAGGAAAGAAAGAAAGAAAGAAAGAAAGAAAGAAAGAAAGAAAGAAAGAAAGAAAGAAAGAAAGAAAGAAAGAAAAAGAAAGAAAGAAAGAAAGAACCAAGTGCTTATTTGGGACCTACTATGCTATGTTTTTCCATGCACGCTATTTTCAGTAAAGCAGTTAGCAAACTTGCAAGATCATAACAACAAATATATGCTTCTATAACTCTAAAATTGTGCTTTAAGAAGTTCCTCTTTACCAGCTCATGTATGCATTAGTTTTCTAAGAGTTACTAGTAACTTTTTCCCTGGAGAATATCCACAGCCAGTTTATTTAACCAAAGGAGGATGCTTACTAACATGAAGTTATCAAATGTGAGCCTAAGTTGGGCCAGTTCATGTTAATATACTCCAGAACAAAAACCATCCTACTGTCCTCTGACAATTTTACCTGAAAATTCATTTTCCACATTACCAAGGAGCCAGGGTAGGAGAATATAGAAAGACCACCCAAGAATCCTTACTTCTTTCAGCAAAATCAATTCAAAGTAGGTAACTAAACACATGCCCTAACAATGAATAGCAGATTGTGCTCAGAAGAATGATCTACAACATCTTACTGTGAAGGAACTACTGAAATATTCCAATAAGACTTCTCTCCAAAATGATTTTATTGAATTTGCATTTTAAAAAATATTTTAAGCCTAAATTTTAAAAGGTTTGATATTGGTACATGAATAGACAAACAGACATGGACTAGACCAAGAATTAGGTTCAAACATATACAGGAATTTAATATACGATAAATCTAGTATTCCAAAGGAACCAACAAATGGTGTTCAGACAGCAGGATAGGCATCAGGAAAAACACAGTTGGGCACCCTACCTTACTCCTAACACCAGGAGTAACTGAAGGAGCACCAAATATTTATTTATTTTAATTATAGTTTTAAGTTCTAGGGTACGTGTGCACAACATGCAGGTTTATTACATAGGTATACATGTGCCATGTTGGTGAGGAGCACCAAATATTTAAAAGAAAAAAATTGGCCAGGGGCGGTGGCTCACACCTGTAATCCCAGCACTTTGGGAGGCCAAGGTGGGCAGATCACCTGAGGTCGGGAGTTCGAGACCAGCCTGAGCAACATGGAGAAACCCCATCTCTACTAAAAATACAAAATTAGCCAGGCATGGTGGCACATGCCTGTAATCCCAGCTACTTGGGAGGCTGAGGCAGGAGAATAGCTTTAATCTGGGAGGCACAGGTTGCGGTGAGCTGAGATATTGCACTCCAGCCTGGGCAACAAGAGCAAAACTTCAACTCAAAAAAATTAATAAATAAATAAAAATAAAGAAAGAAAAGAAAAAAATGAAAATAGTATAATTAGCAGAAGAAAACACCGTAGAATCCTCGGACTCTTAGGATGGGGAATGCCTATAATATAAAAACCCTGAAGTTATAAAAGAGAAAATCACCTACATACAAACCAAATCTTTCTACATGCCTAAAACATAGCACAAACACAGCTAAATAATCATAGCTGAATGAACTGGGAAAACAAAACTTGACTCATATCCAGACAGAGTTAATTTTCCTACACATAAAGAGTACCTATATAAACCCAACAAAAAAACCACCACTAACCCAAAATAAAAATGTGACAGGTAATGAACAGGTAGTTCACAGAGAATACAAATGGCTCTTCGGCACATAAGATGCTCAGACTGACTTTTACTTATTTATTTTTTGAGAGACAGGGTCTCACGATGTTGCCCAGGTTAGGCTCAAACTCCTGGGCTCAAATGATAGTACCAGGACTACAGGTGTGCCCCACCGCACCTGGCTCCTCAACCACCTGTATTAACAGGAAATGCAAAATAAAACTTTCAAATCTATTTTACCTATTAGAATGGCAAAAATTTGAAAAACTTCAAACATCATCATGTTGGTGAGAATGTGAGGAGACTGGCACTCTCATTTTTTGCTGATAGCATATATATACTGATGGCTTCTATGGAAAGCAATCTGGCAGCGTCTATCAAATGTACAAGTGCATATATCCTTTGACAAAGCAATTCCACTCTAGGAATGTGTTCTATATGGTTGTGCTTCCTGGGGCTGGGAACTGGGAGCTAAGGGACAGGGGCAGAAGATAATCTTCTTTTCCCTCCTTCCCCGTTAAACATGTTGAATTTTATATACTGTAATATATTATTTTTCACAAAAGATAATTTTTAAGCGATATGTCTGGGAATTTTTTTTTTTCTTTTCTGAGACAGGGTCTCACTCTGTCATCCAGGCTGGAATGCCATGGTATGATCTCAGCTGACTGCAGCCTCGACCTCCTGGGTTCAAGCAATCCTCCCACCTCAGCCTCCTGAGTAGCTGGGACTACAGGCACGTGCCATCATGCTAATTTTTGTATATACAGGGTCTCACTATGTTGCCCAGGCTAATGTCAAACTCCTAGGCTCAAGCAATCCACCCACCTCAGGCTCCAAAGTGCTGGGATTACAGGCGTGAGCCACCGCGCCTGGCCCTGGGAATTCTTACAAAAGAAAAAATATCTACTCTCCCCTTCTATTAAAGTCAAAACAGAGAAGGAAATTCAACCTATAATGAAAGTAGAGAAGGGCCTCAACCCTGAGCAACAAACACAAAGGCTATTTCTGAGACAGGAATTTGCTGAACAAAATCGAGGGAAGATGACAAGAATCAAGACTCACTTCTCGGCTGGGCGCAGTGGCTCACACCTGTAATCCCAGCACTTTGGGAGGCCGAGGCGGACAGATCACGAGGTCAGGAGATTGAGACCATACTGGCTAACACAGTGAAACCCAGTCTCTACTAAAAATACAAAAAATTAGCCGGGCGTGGTGGCAGGTGCCTGTAGTCCCAGCTACTTGGGAAGCTGAGGCAGGAGAATGGCGTGAACCCAGGAAGCGGAGCTTGCAGTGAGCCGAGATCACGCCACTGCACTCCAGCCTGGGTGACAGAGCAAGACTCTGTCTCAAAAAAAAAAAAAAAGACTCATTTCTCTAGATCTTGAGCCGTATTCAAATTTATCTCAGCTTAGTGAGAGGTTAAAGCAAGGAATATCCTTCCCTGTGGGCCCTGCTCCTTACTGAAGGAAGGTAACGGATGAGTCAAGGACACCAATGGAGAAAAGCACTAACACCATTATCTGATGAACATTACGTGAAGAAGGGTAAGAAGTGAAGTGGAATTGCTGAAGAAGTCAGTGAAAGCGGACATTCATTTGGGGAAATGGAATATAGGAAATCCATAAAAGTGATTAAAAAGATGTTAGAGGCTGAGGCGGGGGGACCACAGGGTCAGGAGATCGAGACCATCCTGGCTAACACGGTGAAACCCCATCTCTACTAAAAATACAAAAAATTAGCCAGGCGTGGTGGCAGGCACCTGTAGTCCCAACTACTCGGGAGACTGAGGCAGGAGAATGGCATGAACCTGGGAGACGGAGCTTGCAGTGAGCCGAGATCACGCCACTGCACTCCAGCCTGGGTGACAGAGTGAGACTCCATCTCAAAAAAAAAAGTTAGATACGAGAGATAAAGATCCAACAGACACACAACTGCTAATTCTGAACAGAACAAAACAAATGGCACAGGAAAAGAAAATTTAAGATATAACACCGGAAAACTTTCCTGAAATTGAGTAACTGAATCTATAGCTTGAAAGGGTTTAGCATATGCCAAGAAAAATCAGTAGAGTCCAACCAGCACAAGACACATCTAGCAAGGCTGGTGATTCTACCAACACAGAGAAAGAAGTGGGTGACCCATAATGCGGAAAAAGGCAGACCATCTGCAGTCTTCTCCAGAACACTGGAGTCTGAAGACAAAAGAATGCTGCCTACTGAGCCAGAAGGGAGAGAAAGTGACCCAACACATCTTTACCAAGTTAGAATGTCACGCATTATTTAAAGGCTGCAAAAGCCATGAAAGACATGAAAGAACACAAGCATTTACAACATGAAAGAACACAAGCATTCTCATACTCAAGAATCCTTAAGAAAAATGTAGTCCTAATCCAGCCCACTGAAAGTTAAATGTACTTAATGTGCTCATTAATGGGAACTTCATAGCTTCAAATCAGTCTGGTCCCATCTACCAACATCTCTCGCCCGGCTTTCCTGCAATAGTCAGCACCTTTCCCTCCTCCCAGTCTTGTCCCCTGGAGTCTGCTCTCAGCATAGCAGAGTGACCACATCAACACCCAAGTCAGAGCCCTCCAGTGCGCACTGGTCTACAAAGCCCTTCCCACCCCCCACCCCACGTGCCCTCCGGATCCTTGTGACGTGTCTCCTGCATACCCTAGCAGCCCTGGCCTCCTCACTGCCCCTCCTGTACATCAGGAAGGCGACTCCTTGAGTCTTGGCTCTGGCCGCCTCCTCCACCTGCAGTGAGTTAACTCCCTTACCTACTCTAGGTCATTGCTCAAATGTCAGCATCTCAATGGGGCCCTCCCTGACTACCCTATTTAAATTCTACATACTCCCCTTGACCCCATGGACCTCACTCACCCTATTCCACTTTTATTCTTACAATTTAGCACTTGTTCTCTTCTAACGTATTCTAAGACTTACTCATTTATTACATTGTTTGCCACCCCCTCTAGTACATAAACTCCAGAGGGGCAGGGATTTCTGTCTATTTATTCATTTCTTTATCCCTAGGACATAGAACAGGGCATAGTTCAGAGTATTCAATGTTATCAATGAATGAACTAGCAGTAGTACCAGTTCCAGTTAGGCACAGAATTAAATCTAAATAGAATTAAATCTCATGGTCTGGGTTAACTATGGATAGAAAATTAGATATAATTTTAAGAAGCCTAGAAAGAAAAAATTAATAATGTAAAAATAATATTAATTTGATAATAATAACAAAAACTCTGCCAGGCACTGTGGCTCAAATCTGCAATCCCAGCTACTCAGGAGGCTGAGGTGGAAGGATCACTTGAGACCAGAGTTCAAGACTCAGCCTAGGCAACACGGCAAGAAACTGTCTCTAAAAAAATTAAAACTTAAATTTTTAAAAAAGAATTCTCAAAGCGTCACAAAAACTGGAGATTAAGGTACAGGAAGTGTGAAGTAATATTACTATGCTAATGGTTTTTTTTTTTTTTAGAAAGGTATAACCAAAAGATTTCTTTCTCAAGTCGATAAACTGAGAAAGATAAGCATATCTTCCAATTAACAGAGGGGGAGGAAAAGCCAGATACAACAAAATAAGATATAAATTAGTTTCCAGTTGAAAACAAGAGTAGGAGTTATTTTGCATCACCTCACCTGTGACCTCCCCCAGCCCAAAAAACACTACTGATAAACAGGGTAGAAAAGCATCATCTCAGATAAAGCAGGAAAAACTGCCACAGTCTCAAACCACAAACTATAAGCACACACCTGGCCAACCCTGCCAAGTCTGGGCTCAGTAGGAGGAACGTGCTGAGAGCTAGGATGTACCAACTTAGACATTCTGTGGGATACAGATGTCCCTGGAAGGGTCACACCATCTCAAAGGCACCTGTAATGCCCACTGATTACAGCCACCATATGTGAGAGAGAAACTCAGGGCACTTAGAGAGTATAACAAGAACCTTATGTCATCTGAGATGAGGAATCCTCAGCCCTGCAAATTAACCAACTCTTTAGAACAACTGGCAAAACATAAATATCCACAACTTTTGTTTCAGTAATTCCACTCTTAGATATCAATCCAAAGTACATGAGACAGCAGATACACACACAAAATGGTATTTACTGCAGCATTGTTTATAATAGCAAAAAACAAGAAATAATCCATATGTCTCAATAGGATACTGGGTACATGAGGGTATGTACCCATCATTCAACCATCAAAAAGAGTGATATGGATGTCCACAGATGGACATAAAAAGCTGTGTGTTACGTGAAAACAAACTCAAGCAGCAGCAGGATGGGCTTATGATAGTCAGTATGAGCTAATTTCTGGAAAAAAAAATCTAGTGTGTGCACAGAAAACATCTGAAAGAACAGAAACAAAACTATCAGCAGAATATTGAGATGTTTTACTAAGTTGTATATCTATACTGCTTGTAATTTTTACCCCAAGCAAGAATTACTTTTTGGAAAAAGAAAATTCAGGAAATAAAGCATTTCTTTAAACTTCATGTTTAAACAAATGGTGATGGAATAAAAGAGTTCTTATTCATCATAAACACACACAGCACACATGCACGCATGTGCGTGAGCACACCCTTTACTTGATAAATACCATGTTGAATATTTTAGTCTTTCCTTTTAGGTTCTATCCCTTCACTCAAAATGCGGTTATAAATAAATGTACTTTTCATGTGCCTTCTGCCTAAACCCACTTTAATATAACTTTACAGTCCCATTATCATTATAGTCTCAAAGCTAGACTCAGCCTGAAACTACCCTTTCATTTGGAACCCTTATTAAAATGCCACATACAGCTCCTTCAAATAAAAACAAACCCTAGGACCTGACACTAGGCTTCCTTTGTTGCTACTCATAATGGCCAAGTTCTGTGCTTATAATACATCTTCTTTCATTTTATTGCTACATATCCAAGGGTTTTATATGTTTTTCTTATTATATCTTAATTCAAAACACCATCACGCTCTTTTCCAGATGAAAATAAGGAAAAGAAATTGAGCAACTGACTGACTTAAAGGTCATAAAACTATATAGTAGCAGAGTCAGCAAAAGAAGAAACACACATCTCCCAAGTAGAGGCTGAAAACCAGTACCATTCACCTCCAGGGTGAGCTATATACAGATTACAAAGTCACCTTCTCTAAATGTTCAAACTGAATCCCATACCCATACTTTACCACTACCTCGTAAGAACAGCCTCAGATCTTGTTATAGCCTTTTTTTTAGCATGCTGAAGCCAATAAAATGCTTCCCATTCAGCAAGAGAAACAAGTTCTGAAACACTGAATAATCTGCCCAGGGCCTATGAACATTTCCACTGTGAGAAATGTTCTCCACTGTGTGGAGAAGATCCTTACTCTTCTCCACACAGGCAGAACATTAGAAAAATTCTTGGATTCTATGATGCACAGCTTAGGAGTCTGTTTAGCACAATTTAAGTCCAAATAGTTATTAAATCCTCCTCTGTTCCAGAAACAGTGCTAAATACTGTGAATATAAAAATTGAAAAGATACTCTCCTGGCTCCCAAGAAAGTCAGCCAGATAGAGGAGACACAGGCACACAAATCACTGTCACATGAAGCTCTACCTCCCTAACTTCAAACGAGGGCCTAAGTCACCAAGAATACAGTAGCAGTTGTGACTACGAGTAACTACTATAATTCAATACTTTATCTTCCCTTAGAAAACTCTTCTCCCTTGGAAATTTATTTGCATTTCTAAATACCATTCCTTACTAAAAGGAAGCAGGGCTCCTTGGGGAAATAGCTGATTCTAGGTGTGGACTATGAAATGAAAATGGTGAGTCTGGGACATCCCATGTTGCCCAGAAATCAAGGAACTGCCCAAAGATTAACAGAGTCATGTTAAATGGACCTAAGAGTGAACCAGAAGGAGCTCACTTTGCCCCGCGTGGAACAATTTCAAGAAAAACATGACAGTAATGAATTATAAAACATGAATTAAAATACATATTGGTACTAAAAAGAGAACAAAAGGATGTGGCTTTGGATAAAGCTCTTCTTCATGGAAGAATACCAGCTAATAAATGTAAAGGAAATGAGAGAATTAGAAAAATTATCATTTTGTAAACCTTAATATATTCACCTAGACATGCTAAAACCACTGAGTAAAAGGCTGCTTGGGAAGAGGATGCTCACATGATCTCAGAGTTTCACACCACAGATAATTTATTAGATACAGGAAGGAAGATGTGATCAAGCTTCCTGTGACCCCCAGCCAGGCCCCACAACACTATGTGCCTCCTTGTGATGTGGGAGCTACACAGCATCGCCCACACAGCTTCTCGCCAAAACTGTTTGAAGCTAATCACAAGGGAAGAACTGGACAGCTTCTGACCATGAGACGCTCCACCAGACAACTTGCTTGGCCTCTCCAAAGAAACTTGCTTGGCCTCTCCAAAGAAAACTCAGTTTCATTTAAAAACAAAACTAATTATTTAAAAACAAACGAAAAGCAAGTTGTGGACTTGAGCTCCAGGGACAGAGCAGACATACTTTTCCCTGTTCTTCCCAGTAAGTGGTAATAAAAACCCTCAACACTAGATATAAAACAAATATAAGAAGGTTCTGGAAGGGGAAGAGGAGGCAGACTATCCAGGTGCCTTGAGGCCCACAGAACAACCCAGTGATGGGTTCACTGGGTCTTCTTTTTGCTTCATTATCTCAGACTTGGAGCTGAAGCAGCAGGCAACTTCAAAACACCAAGGGGCACAGATTGAAAAGCCCCAAGAAAAGCCTGCCCTCTCTAGCCAAAGGACCAGGAAGGAGACAGTCTAATGAGATGGAACACATTTAGACAGTAACTGCCCATTTACCAGCAATAACTGAGCAGGGAGCCTAGACTTCCAGTCTTGTGAGGACGTACCAAGGTACCCAACACCCCCACCAAGGCTGAGTAAGGACTGCGACTTTTATCCCTGCATGGCAGTAGTAAGGAGCCCATCCCTCACCCGCCAGCAGTGTCAGGGGAACCTGGACTTCCACTCCCACCCAGGAGTGATGAGGCCCTCCCTGCTGGGGTCATGTCAGAGGAGGCCTAGTGGAGATTCAGTGACTTAACCTTTTCCCAGAGATAATGAGGCCACCTTTCCTCCCTCTTCCCCCATGGTGACAGTGAAAGCACTGTGGCAAGCAGTAGGCACTCCTACCCCTCCTAGCCAGGGAGGTATCAGGGAGGCCAAGTAGGGAACCAGAATACCCACAACCACCCAGCAGCAACAGGGGTCCCCCACCCCATTGGGTGTCAATGGAAGCAGAGCGGAAAGCCTGGATATTTACCCCCATCTAGAAGTAACAAGCTGATGTCCCCCTTCTTCTACTACAATGGTGTTCAAAACAGGTTTAAATAAGGTCTAGAGTCTGATAACGTAATACCCAAATCGTTGAAGTTTTCATTGAGGATCATTTATACCAAGAGTCAGGAAGATCCCAAACTGAAAGAGAGAAAAGACAATTGACAGACACTAGCACTAAGAGAGCACAGATATTAGAACTACCTGAAAGGATGTTAAAGCACATATCATAAGCCTCAACAGGCTGGGCGCGGTGGCTCACGCCTGTAACCCCAGCACTTTGGGAGGCCGAGGCAGGTGGATCACAAGATCAGGAGATCGAGACCATCCTGGCTAACACGGTGAAACCCCGTCTCTACTAAAAATACAAAAAAAAATAGCAAGGCATGGTGGTGGGCACCTGTAGTCCCAGCTACTCGGGAGCCTGAGGCAGGAGAATGGCATGAACCTGGGAAGAGGAGCAGTGAGCCGAGATCGCACCACCGCACTCCAGCCTGGGCAACAGAGCAAGACTTCGTCCCAAAAAAAAAAAAAAAAAAAAAAAAAGCCTCAACAAACAACTACAAACGTGCTTGAAACAAATGAAAAAAAAATCTTGGCAAAGAAATAAAAGATATATATTTTGGCCAGGTGCAGTGGCTCACAGCCTGTAATCCCTGCACTTTGGGAGGCTGAGGCAGGCGGATCACCTGAGGTCAGGAGTTTGAGACCAGCCTGACCAACATGGAGAAACCCCGTCTCTACTAAAAATACAAAATTAGCCAGTCATGGTGGCACATGCCTGTAATCCTAGCTACTCAGGAGGCCGAGGCAGGAGAATCGCTTGAACTCAGGAGGTGGAGGTTGCGGTGAGCCGAGATCCCGCCATTGCACATTGCACTCCAGCCTGGGCAACAAGAGCAAAACTCCATCTCAAAAAAATAGATACATATTTTAATGGAAATTTTAGAATTGAAAAATACAGTAACCAAATTGAATGGAAAGACAACATAGAATGGAGGGGGCAGACAAAATAATCAGTGAACTTCAACAGAAAATAATAGAAATTACCCAATATGAAGAACAGAAAGAAAATAGACTGGCCAAAAAATAAAGAAGAAAAAAGAGGAGCAGCAGGAGGAATGATGGAAAAAGAGAAAGGAAGGAAGGAAGGGAAGGAGGGAGGGAAGGAGTGAGGGAGAAAGTCTCAAAGACCTCTGAGACTAAAATAAAAGATCTAACACTTGTCATCAGGGTCCAGGAAAGAGACAAAGATGGCACAGCTGGAAACGTATTCAAAAAATAATAGCTGAAAACTTCCCAAATTTGGCAAGAGACATAAACCTATAGATTCGAAATGCTGAACCCCAAATAAAAAGCCCAATAAAATCCACACCAAAATACATCATAGTCAAACTTCTGAAAAGACGAAAAGAGAAAACGTCTTGAAAGCAGTGAGTGAAACAACACTTCATGTATAAGGGAAAAACAATTCAAGTAACAGATTTCTTACAGAAATTAAGGAAGCCAGAAGGAAATGACACAATGGTTTTCAAGTGCTGAAAGAAAAGAAGTGTCAACACAAAATTCTAGATTCAGTAAAAATATCCTTCAAGAATCAATGGGAAATCAAGACAGTCTCAGATAAAGCAAAATAAGAGAATATGTTGCCAGCAGATCTCCCCTAAAGGAATGGCAAAAGGAAGATCATGCAACAGACCAAAAAATGATGAAAGAAGGAATCCAGAAACATCAAGAAGAAAGAAATAACATAGTAAGCAAAAATACATGTAATTACAATAAAATTTCTATCTCCTCTTAAGACTTCTAAATTATATTGATGGTTGAAGCAAAAATTATAACCCTGTCTGAAGTGCTTCTACTAAATGTATGCAGAGAATTATAAATGGGGAAAGTATAGGTTTCTATACCTCATTGAAGTGGTAAAATGACAACACTGTGAAAAGTTACATACACACACACACGTAAGTATATATAAATATATGTGTGTATATGTGTGTGTATATATATATATACATATAATGTAATACAGCAACCACTAACAACACTATACAAAGAGATAATAACCAAAAACAATTTAGATAAATTGAAATGGAATTCTAAAAAATATTCAAATACTCTACAGGAAGACAAGACAAAAAGAGAAAAAAAGAGGAGGACAAACTAAATTTTTTAAAAACATAAATAAAATGGTAGACTTAAGCCCTAACTTATCAATAATTACATAAATGTAAATGATCTAATTATATCAATTAAAAGACAGAGATAGCAGAGTTAATTTAAAAACATAGCTATAAGAAACCTGCTTTGGGCTGAGTGCAGTGACTCACACTTGTAATCCCAGCACTTCGGGAGGCCAAGGCGGGTGGATCACCTGAGGTCAGGAGTTCCAGACCAGCCTGGACAACATGGTAATACCCCATCTCTACTAAAAATACAAAAAAATTAGCCAGGCATGGTGGCACACGCCTGTAGTCCCAACTACTCAGGAGGCTGCGACACAAGAACTGCTTGAACCCGGGCAGCAGAGGTAGCAGTGGGCCAAGATTGCGCCACTCCAGCCTGAACGACAGAGTGAGACTCCACCTCAGTTGAAAAACAAAAAAGAAACCTGCTTTAAATATACCAACATATGTTGGTTGAAATTAAAAGAATAAAATATATCATGAAAACATTAATCAAAAGAAAGGAGTGGCTATATTAATAACATAAAATAGACTTCAGAGAAAAGAAAATTTCAAGAGACAGGAATAAAAGGATCAAGAAAAGATCCTGAAAGAAAAGCAGGCAAATCAATCATTCTGCTTGGAGATTCAACACCCTCTCTTAACAACTGATAGAACAACTAGACAAAAAAATCAGCATGGAGTTGAGAAGAACTTAACACCACTGAACAACAGGATCTAATAGACATTTACGGAACACTCTACCCAACAATAGCAAAATAAACATTCTTTTCAAGTATTCACTGAACATATCCTTAGACCCTACCCTGGGCCATAAAACAAAGCTCACTAGTGATTGCCGAAGGCTTGGATGGACAGTGGAAGAGCTGCATGGGGAGGGAGAAGGTGACAGTTAAAGAGTGTAGGATTTCTTTTTGGGATAATGAAAATGTTCCAAAATTGATTGTGGTGATGTTGGCGCAACTCTACAAATATAAAAAAGGCCATTGAATTGTACGTTTTAAGTGGGTGAAACATATGGTATGTGGATTATATCTAACGCTTTTTAAAAACTTAACACATTTCAAAGAATAGAAGTCATACAGAGTGTGCTCTACTGGAATCAAACTAGAAAGAGGTAACTGGAGGATAACGAGAAAAGCCTCCAAATACTTGAAAACTGGACAGCACATTTCTAAAATCATCCGTGGGTCAAAGATATTCATTTCTGATATTCATTTTTATTGTTTAATGTATTTTTAAAAATTTCTTAAGGGAAATAAACTGACTAAAAATGAATATGGCTGGGTGCGGTGGCTCACGCCTGTGATCCCAGCACTTTGGGAGGCCGAGGCTGGTGGATCACAAGATCAGGAGTTCGAGACCAGCCTGGCCAAGATGGTGAAACCCCGTCTCAACTAAAAAACTACAAAAAGTAGCCAAGCGCAGTGGCGGGAGCCTGTGGTCCCAGCTACTTGGGAGGCTGAGGTAGGAGAATCGCTTGAACACAGGCAGCAGAGGTTGCAGTGAGCCAAGATTGTGCCACTGCACGCCAGCCTGGGCGACAGAGACTGCCTCAAAAAAAAAAAAAAAAAAAAGAATATCAAAATTTGTGGGACATAGTTAAAGCAATGCTGAGAGGGAAATTTATAACACTAAATGTTTACATTAGAAAAGAGAAAAAGTTTCAAATCAATAGTCTCCACTCCCATCTCAAGAACACAGAAGATGAAGAGCAAAATAAACCCAAAGCAAGCAAAAGAAAGAAAATATAAAAATAAATCAGTAAAATTGAAAACAGAAACACAATAAAGAAAATCAGTGAAACAAAGTACTGATTCTTCGAAAGATTAATAAAATTGACAAACCTCTAGCAAGGCTAACAAACAAAAAAGAAAGAAGACACGGATTACCAGTTATTAGAATGAAAGCATAATTAGAAACAACTCTACACATTATAAATTTGACAATGTAGATGAAATGGACTAATTACTGAAAAAACACAAATTACCACAACTCACCCAATATGAAATAGATAATTGGGATAGCCTGATAACTACTGAGAAAATTGAATTTGTAATTTTAACACTCTTAAAACAGAAACATTAAACTTAATATTTTATAAATATTAGATAAGGTAATTATACCCTTCCTTAACAAATAAAAACGACAAATTATTTTGCAGCTAAAGAGATGTATGTACTGTGAAAAATATCTTCAGAAAAATAGAACTTTGTTTGAAGAATAAGGATTTAAAAAATGTTTTTAACTCTCAAGAAGCAAATATCTGGGCCCAGATGGTTTCACTGAAGAATTCTACCAAATGTTTAATGAAGAATTACCACCAACTCTACATAGCATCTTTGAGAAAACTGAAGAGAAGGGAACATCTCCCAGTTCATTTTATGAAGTGGGTGTTACTCTGATACTAGAACTGTATAAGGACAGCTACTCTTGACACACTGCCTATGGGTAGCTCTGCTCTGCAGGAACAGTCAGAAAAAAAAAAAAAAGAAGCACTGGACAAGGGCAGTATAAAAAAAGAAAACTGGGCCAGGTGCAGTGGCTCACACCTGTAATCTCAGCACTTTGGGAGGCTGACGCTGGTGGATCACCTGAGGTCAGGAGTTTGAGACTAGCCTGGCCAACATGGTAAAACCCTGTCTCTACTAAAATACAAAAATTAGCCAGGCAGGGTGGTGGGGAAAATAAAAAGGAAAAAAAAACAAAAATAAACTGCAGACCAATATCCTTCATGAGTATAGACACAAAACTCCTTAAACTCCTTAACAAAATATTAGCAAGTAGAAGCAATATATAAAAATAATTATACACCATGATCAAGTGGGACTTATTCCAGAAACGCAAGTCTGGTTCAACATTTGAAAACAAGGTAACCCACTATATGAACGTACTAAAGAGGAAAACTACATAATCACATCAATCAATGCAGAAAAAAGCATTTGCCAAAATCCAATATCCATTCATGATACTCTAATAAGAAAAATAAGAATAAAGGGGAAATTCCTTGACTTGATAAAGCTTACAAAAGACTACAAAAGCTTACAGCTAACCTATACTTAATGGTGAAAAACTAAATGCTTTCCCCTACGATCAGGAACAAAGCAAGGATGTTCACTCTCATTGCTCTTATTTAACATAGCCCTGAAGTTCTAACTTGTGCAAAACGATAAGAAAGGGAAATGAAAGACCTGCAGATTGGCAAAGAAGAAATAAAACTGTTCCTGTTTGCAGATGACATGATTGTCTCATAGAAAATGTAAAGCAACTAGGGGTAGGGGGGCAGTGGAGACACGCTGGTCAAAGGATACCAAATTTCAGTTAGGAGGAGTAAGTTCAAGATACCTATTGCACAACATGGTAACTATACTTAATATATTGTATTCTTGAAAATACTAAAAGAGTGGGTGTTAAGCGTTCTCACCACAAAAATGATAACTATGTGAAGTAATGCATACGTTAATTAGCACAACGTATATTACTCCAAAACATCATGTTGTACATGATAAATACACACAATTTTATCTGTCAGTTTAAAAACACATGATTTTGGCCAGGCACAGTGGCTCATACCTGTAATCCCAGCATTTTAGGAGGCTGAGGCGAGCAGAAAACTTGAGGTCGGGAGTTTGAGACCAGAATGGTCAACATAGTGAAATCCCGTCTCCACTAATAATACAAAAATTAGCAGGATGTGGTGGCGTGCACCTGTAGACCCAGCTACTTGGGAGGCTGAGGCACGAGAATTGCTTGAACAAGGGAGGCAGAGGTTGCAGTGAGCTGGGTGCCACTGCATTCCAGCCTGGTGACAGAGTGAGACTCCATCTCAAAAAAAATAAAATAAAGCATGACTTTTCTTAAATGCAAAGCAGCCAAGCGCAGTGGCTCATGCCTGTAATCCCACCACTTTGGGAGGCCGAGGCAGGCAGATCACAAGGTCAGGAGTTTGAGACCAGCCTGACCAACATGGTGAAACCCCATCTCTACTAAAAAATATATAAATTAGCCAGGCATGTGTAGTCTCAGCTACTCAGGAGGCTGAGGCAGGAGAATCACTTGAACCCGGAGGCAGAGGTTGCAGTGTTGAGCCACCGCACTCCAGCCTGGGTGAGAGAACGAGACTCCGTCTCAAAAAAAAAAAGCAAAATAACCTAATTTTAAAAACACTAAAACTACTAAGTGAATTCAGTAAGTCTTTAGGATTCAGGATATATGATGAACATACAAAAATCAATTGAGCTGGACAAAGGAGGATTGTTTTAGGTCAGTAGTTTGAGGCTGTAATGCACAATGATTGTGCCTGTGAATAGCTGCTGTGCTCCAGCCTGAGCAGCATAATGAGACCACATCTCTATTTAAAAAAAAAAAAATTGTATCTCTATGTACTAGCAATAAGCACATGGGTACTAAAATTAAAAACATAATAAATACTGTTTTTAATTGCCTGAAAAAAATGAAATACTTACATATAAATCTAACAAAATGTGCAGGACTTGTGTGCTGAAAACTACAAAACGCTGATAAAAGAAATCAAAGAAGACTTAAATAGCGTGAAATATACCATGCTTATAGGTTGGAAAACTTAATATAGTAAAGATGCCAATTTTATCCAAATTATTACACAGGATAACATTATTACTACCAAAATCCCAGAAAAATTTTACATAGATATAGACAAGATCATACAAAAATGTATACGGAAATATGCAAAGGAACTAGAGTAGCTAAAACAAATTTGAAAAAGAAAAATAAAGTGGGAAGAATCAGTCTATCCAGTTTCAAGACTTACATAGCTACAGTAATCAAGACTGTGATATTGACAGAGGGACAGCTATAGATCAATGCAACCAAATAGAGAACTAAGAAAGAAGCACACACAAATATGCCCAAATGATTTCTGACAAAGGTGTTAAAACACTTCAACGGGGGAAGATATGTCTCTCATTAAAGGGTGTAGAGTCATTGCACATCTATAGGCAAAAAGATGAACCTGAACCTCACACCCTACAGAAAAATTAACTCAAAATGACTCAAGGACTAAACATAAGATATACATCTATAAAACATTTAGAAAAAGGCCACGCACGGTGGCTCACGCTCGTAATCCCAGCACTTTGGGAGGCCAAGGCAGGTGGATCACCTAAGGTCAGGAGTTTGAGACCAGCCGGATCAACATGGAGAAGCCCCATCTCTACTAAAAATACAAAATTAGCTGGACGTGGTGGCACATGCCTGTAATCCCAGCTACTTGGGAGGCTGAGGCATGAGAATCGCTTGAACCCGGGGGGCAGAGGTTGCGGTGAGCCAAGATCACACCATTGCACTCCAGCCTGGGCAACAAGAGCAAAACTCCAACTCAAAAAAAAAAAAAAAAAGGAAAAATAGAAAATCTTTGGGATGTAAGGCGAGGTAAAGAATTCTTACACTTGATGCCAAACTAAGATCTATAAGGCCAGTCGTGGTGGCTCATGCCTGTAATTCCAGCACTTTGGTCAACTAGATGAAAGGTATATGGGAATTCACTGTATTATTCTTTCAACTTTTCTGTAGGTTTGACATTTTTTTAGTAAAAAATTGGGGGAAAGACCTGACGCAGTGGCTCACACCTGTAATCCCAGCACTTTGGGAGGCCGGGGCAGGTGGATCACACGGTCAGGAGTTCGAGACCAGCCTGGCCAACATGGTGAAACCCCGTCTCTACCAAAAATATAAAAAATTAGCCGGGTGTCATGGTGCATGCCTGTAATCCCAGCTACTGAGGAGGCTGAGGCAGGAGAATCACTTGAACCTGGGAGGTGGAAGTTGCAGTGAGCCGAGATTGTGCCACTGCACTCCAGCCTTGGGTGACAGAGCGAGACTCCGTCTCAAAAGAAAAAAAAAAAAAAGAATATCAAACGCTTACTTTAGAAACTATTTAAAGGAGCCAGAATTTAATTGTATTAGTATTTAGAGCAATTTTTATGCTCCATGGCATTGTTAAATAGAGCAACCAGCTAACAATTAGTGGAGTTCAACAGCTGTTAAATTTGCTAACTGTTTAGGAAGAGAGCCCTATCAATATCACTGTCATTTGAGGCTGACAATAAGCACACCCAAAGCTGTACCTCCTTGAGGAGCAACATAAGGGGTTTAACCCTGTTAGGGTGTTAATGGTTTGGATATGGTTTGTTTGGCCCCACCGAGTCTCATGTTGAAATTTGTTCCCCAGTACTGGAGGTGGGGCCTTATTGGAAGGTGTCTGAGTCATGGGGGTGGCATATCCCTCCTGAATGGTTTGGTGCCATTCTTGCAGGAATGAGTGAGTTCTTACTCTTAGTTCCCACAACAACTGGTTATTAAAAACAGCCTGGCACTTTCCCCCATCTCTCGCTTCCTCTCTCACCATGTGATCTCACTGGTTCCCCTTCCCTTTATGCAATGAGTGGAAGCAGCCTGAAGCCCTCGCCAGAAGCAGATAGTGATGCCATGCTTCTTGTACAGCCTACAAAACCATGAGCCCAATAAACCTTTTTTCTTTATAAATTATCCAGCCTCAGGTATTCCTTTATAGCAAGACAAATGAACCAAGACAGGGGGAAATCAACTTCATTAAAATAATCTATGCAGTCACTAAACAAATAAGAACAAGAGGCTCCAGAAGTGGGAAGCCAATACCCAGAGTTCCTACAATACAGTATCTGAAAAGTCCAGTTTCCAACCAAAAAATATATATATACAGGCCGGACATGGTAGCTTATGTCTGTAATCCCAGCACTTTGGGATGCTGAGGCGGGCAGATCACCCTAGGTCAGGAGTTCGAGACCAGCCTGGCCAATATGGCAAAACCCCGTCTCTACTAAAAATACAAAAATTAGCCAGGCATGGTGGTGGATGCCTGTAATCCCAGCTACTCGGGAGGCTGAGGCAGGGAATCACTTGAACCCAGGAGGCAGAGGTTGCAGTGAGCCGAGATCACGCCACTGAACTCCAGCCTGGGCAACAAAGTGAGACTCCACCTCAAAAAAAAAAAAAATATACATATATATATGTGTGTGTGTGTGTGTGCGCGCGTGTGTGTATATACACATACACATATATACATATATACAGACACACATATATATATGAAGCATGAAAAGAAACAAGGAAGTATGAACCATACTTTCTGTGGTTATGATAGGATGGGGTATCACGGGGGAAGTAGACAAGGGAAACTGCAAGTGAGAGCAAACAGTTATCAGATTTAACAGAAAAAGACTTTGGAGTAACCATTATAAATATGTCCACAGAATTAAAGAAAAGCGTGATTAAAAAAGGAAAGGAAAGTATCATAACAATATTACTCCAAATAGAGAATATCAATAAAGGCATAGAAATTATAAAATATAATACAATGGAAATTCCGGAGTTGAAAGGTAGAATAACTAAAATTTAAAATTCACTAGAGAAGGTTCAACACTATATTTGAACTGGCAGAAGAAAAATTTAGTGAGACAAATATACTTCAATAGACATTATTCAAATGAAAAATAAAAAGAAAAAAGAATGAAGAAAAATAAACAGAATCTCAGCAAAATGTGGCACACCATTAATCACATTAACATATGCATACTGAGAGTACCGGAAGCAGATGAGAAAGAGGAAGAAAAAATATTCAAATGATGGCCAGTAACTTCCTAGATTTTTGTTTTAAAGCAATAACCTATACAATCAAGAAACTCAATGAATTCCAAGTAGGATAAATACAAAAAGAACCACAAACAGATACACCATGGTAAAAATGCTGTAAGTCAAAAACAGAGAAAATATTGAAAGCAGCTAGAGGAAAACTTATAAGAGAACCTCACTTACAAAAGAACATCACTTATAAAAGAACCACAATAATAGAAACAGTTGACCTCTCATCAGAAACAATGAATGATAACATATTTGAAGTGCTCAAAGAAAAAAAATAAAGATTCCTATATACGACAAAGCTGTCTTTCAAAAATATACATCCAAAAGGATTGAAACCAGGGTCTTGAAGAGTTATTTGTACATCCATGTTCATAGCAGCATTATTCACAATAGCCAAAAGGTAGAAGCAACCCAAGGGTCCATCGACAAATAAATAAAATGTGGTATATGTATACACAATGGAATTTATTCAGTATTAAAAAGGAATGAAATTCTGACACATGCTACAACATGGCTAAACCTTGAGAACACTATGCTAAGTGAAATAAGCCAGCCACAAAAGGACAAATACCATATTACTTCACTTGTATGAAATACCTAGGGTAGTCAAATTCAGAGATAGAAAGTAAAACAGTGGTTGCCAAGGGCTGAGGGAGGGAGTAACGTGGAGTTATTGTTGAATGGGTACAGAATTTCAGTTTTGCAAGATAAAAAGAGTTCTGGAGACAGATGGTGGTGAGGGTGGTACAACAATACAAATATACTTTATACTACTGAACAGTATACTTAAAAATGATTAACATGGTGAAACCCCGTCTCTACTAAAAATACAAAAAAATTAGCTGGGTGTGGTGGCGGGCACCTGTAATCCCAGCTACTTGGGAGGCTGAGGCAGCAGAATTGCTTGAAACCAGAAGGCGGAGGTTGCAGTGAGCTGAGATTGCGCCACCGCACTCTAGCCTGGGCAATAAGAGCAAAACTCCGTCTCAAAAAATAAAAAATAAAAAAAATTTAAAAATGATTAAGCAGGAGGCCAGGCACGGTGGCTCACACCTATAATGCCAGCACTTTGGGAGGCCGAGGCAGGCGATCACTTGAGACCAGGAGTTTGAGACCAGCCTGGCCAACATGGCAAAACCCTGTCTCTGCTAAAAATACAAAAATTAGCCAGGCATGGTGGCATATACTTATAATCCCAGCTACTGGTGAGACTGAGACACGAGAATTGCTTGAACCCAGGAGGCAGAGATTGCAGTGAGTCGAGATCGCGCCACTGAATTCCAGCCTGGGCGACAGAGCAAGATTCTGTCTCGAAAAAACAAAAACAAAAACAAAAAGCAAAACCAAAAAATAATTAAGCAGGAAACGAGATTGCTGCTGAGGAGGAGAAAGATGTGCAGGACCAAGGCTCATGAGAGCACAAAACTTTTCAAAAAATGTTTAATGATTAAAATGGTAAATTTTATATGTATCTTACCACAAAAAAAAGGGCTGGGGGGCAGGAAATGAAGGTGAAATAAAGACATCCCAGAGAAACAAAAGTAGAGAATTTGTTGCCTTAGAAGAAACACCACAGGAAGTTCTTCAGGCTGAAAACAAGTGACCCCAGAGGGTAATCTGAATTCTCACAGAAAATTGAAGCATAGCAGTAAAGGTTATTCTGTAACTATGACACTAACAATGCATATTTTTTCCTTTCTTCTCTGAAATGATTTAAAAAGCAATTGCATAAAATATTATATATAAAGCCTATTGTTGAACCTATAACATATATAGAAATATACTTGTAATATATTTGCAAATAACTGCACAAAAGAGAGTTGGAACAAAGCTGTTACTAGGCTAAAGAAATTACTACAGATAGTAAAGTAATATAACAGGGAACTTAAAAATAAAATTTTAAAAAATTTAAAAATAATAATTACAACAATAATATGGTTGGGTTTGTAATATTAATAGACATAATACAAAAATACCACAAAAAGGGAAGAAGACAATAGAACTACATAGGAATAACATTTTGGTATCTAACTAGAATTAAATTATAAATATGAAGTATATTCTGGTAAGTTAAGACACACATGTTAAACCCTAGATACTAAAAAGTAACTCACATAAATACAGTAAAAAAATAAATAAAATAATTAAAATGTTTGTATTAGTTTCCTCAGGGTACAGTAACAAACTACCACAAATTGAGTGGCTTAACACAACTTAAATGTATTTTCTCCCAGTTCTGGAGGCTAAACACCTGCAATCAAGGTGAGTACAGGGCCATGCTCCCTGTGAAGGCTCTAGGAAAGAATCCTCCCTTGTCTCTTCCAGCTTCCAGTGGTTCTCAGTAACCCTAAGTGCTCCTTGGCTTGTAGCTATATCATTCCTAGCAACCAGAAAGAAGAAAATAATAAAGATTATGGCAAAAAATAATGAAATCAAAAGGAGAAAAATGGAAAAAAATAAATAAAACCAAAAGCTAGTTCTTTGAAAAGATCAACCAAGTTAACAAACCTTTTAACTAGACTGACAAAAAGGAGGTAAGACTCAAATTACTAGAATCAGAAATAAAAGAGGGGACATTACTAATGAGGGATTAGAAAAGAATACTACGAACAAATGTGTGCCAACAAATTAGAAAACTTAGATGAAATGGACAGGTTCCTAGGACAACATCAACTACCAAAATTTACTCAAGAAGAAAGAGACAATTTGAATGAGCTATAACAAGGGAAGAGACTGAATTGACAACCAAGAAACTATCCACAAAGAAAATCCCAGGCCCAGAAGATTTCACTGTGAAATTCTTTCAAACTTATAAATATAAATTAACATCAGTTCTTCACAAACTCCTCCAAAAAAAAGAACAGATCTCTATTTACAGGCGATACGATCTTTAGAAAATCCTAAGGGAACTACTAAGACACTATGATAACTGATAAACAAGTTCAGCAAGGCTGCAGGATAGAAAACCAATATACAAAAATCTATTATATTTCTATACACTTGCAGTGAACAACCCAAAAATGAGATTAAGAAAATAATTCAATTTACAATAACATCAAAAAGAATAAAAACACTCAAAAATAAATTTATTCAAGTAAGTGCAAAACTTATACTCTAGAAGCTACAAAACACTGTTAAAAGAAATTAAAGGTTTACATAAATGAAAAACTATCCCATGTTCATGGATCAAAAGACTTATTACTGGCAATGCTCTCCAAATTGATCTATAAATTCAACAAAATCCTTATCAAAATCCCAGATGAGGCTGGGGGTGGCGGTTCATGCCTGTAATCCCAGCACTTTGGGAGGCTGAGGCACGCAGATTACCTGAGGTCGGGAGCTCGAGATCAGCCTGACCAACATGGAGAAACCCTATCTCTTCTAAAAATACAAAATTAGTCAGGCGTGGTGGCACATGCCTATAATCCCAGCTACTCGGGAAGCTGAGGCAGGAGAATCGCTTGAACCCAGGAGGCAGAGGTTGCAGTGAGCCAAGATCGTGCCATTGCACTCCAGCCTGGGCAACAAGAGCAAAATTCCATCTCAAAAAAAAAAAAAAAAAAATCCCAGATGACTTCACTGTTGAAATTGAAAAGATTATTCTAAAATTCACATGGAATTGCAAGACCTTGAGAATAGCCAAAACAAACTTGAAAAACACGAACAAAATATAGGATGACTCACTTGCCAATTGCAAATGTTACGACACAGCAACAGTAATCAAGACTGTGTGGTACTGGCAAAAGACACATACATACATACATATCAATGGAATATAATTGAGAGTACAGAAACAAGCCTAAACATCTATGGTAAGTGCTTTTCTATTTTTTTCTTTTTTTTTTTCTTTTTTGTAGAGATAGAATCTCACCATGTTGCCCAGGCTGGTCTTCAACTTCTGGGCTCAAGCAATCCTCCCACTGTGGCCTCCCAAAGTGCTGGGATAACTGGCATGAGCCACCACATCCAGCCCAGATGATTTTCAAAAAAGTCAACAAGACCATTCTTTTCAACAAATAGGTCTGGGATGATCAGATAGTCACATGAAAAAAAAAATGAAGTTGGACCCTCCATCACACTAAAGTGCTGCGATTATAGGCATCAGCCACCACATCCAGCCCAAATGATTTTCAAAAAGGTCAACAAGACCATTCTTTTCAACAAATAGGTCTGGGATAATCAGATAGTCACATGAAAAAAAAAATGAAGTTGGACCCTCCATCACACCATATGCAAAAATTAATTCAAAAATGAATTGATGACTTAAACGTAAGAGTTACGACTGTAAAACTCTTAGAAGGAAACATACGGGTAAATCTTAAAGACGTTAGGTTTGACAAAGAATTCTTAGACATGACACCAAAAGCATGACCAACTAAGGTAAAATAGGGTAAATTGTACCTACCAAAATGAAAAACCTTTGTGCTGGAAAGGACACCATCAAGAAATGGAAAGCCAAAATAGCCAAGGCAATATTAAGCAAAAAGAACAAAGCTGGAGGCATCATACTACCTGACTTCAAAGCAACAGTAACCAAAACAGCATGGTACTAGTAGAAAAACAGACACATAGACCAATGGAACAGAATAAAGAACCCAAAAATAAATCCACATATTTATAGTCAACTGATTTTTGACAATGACACCCCTTCAATAAATGATACTAGGAAAACTGGATATCGATATGCAGAAGAATAAAACTAGACCCCTATCTCTCACCATATAGAAAAATCAACTCAGACTGAATTAAAGACTTGAATGTAAGACCCAAAACTATAAAACTACTGGTAGAAAACATAAGGAAAAACGCTTCAGGACATTGGTCCAGGCAAAGATCTTATGGCTAAAACCTCAAAAACACAGGCAACAAAAACAAAAATGGAAAAATAGCACTTTATTAAACTAAAAAGCTCCTGCACAGCAAAGGAAACAACAGAATGAAAAGACAACCTGTAGAATGGGAGAAAATATTTGCAAACTATCCATCCATCAAGGGACTAGTATCCAGAACACACAAGTGACTAAAACAACTCAACAGCAAAAAAGCAAATAATCTGGTTTTTATATGGGCAAAAGATCTGAATAAACATTCTCAAAGGAAGACATACAAATGTCACTATCATTCTGCCAGTACCACACTGTCTTGATTACTTGTTAGTGTATAAATTTTTAAATTGGGAAGTGTGAGTCATCCTACACTTTGTTCTTGTTTTTCAAGTTTGTTTTGGCTATTCTGGGAGCCTTGCAAGTATAAAATAGCCAACAAGTATGAAAAAATGCTCACCATCACTAATCATCAGAGAAATAAAAATCAAGACCACTATGAGATATCCTCTCACTCCAGTTAGAATGGCTACTATCAAAAAGACAAAATATAATGGATGCTGGCAAAGATTTGGAGAAAGGGGAACTCCTATACACTGTGGGTAGGGATGCAAATTGGTAATGGCCATTATGGAAAATAATACTGAGGTTTTTCAAAAAACTGAAAATAGAACTACCATATGATCCAGCAACCCTACTACTGGGTATTTATCCAAAGGAAAGAAGTCAGTATACTGAAGAAATATATGCACTCTCATGTTAATTGCAACACTGTTCACAACAGCCAAGACAGGGAATAAATCTAAATGTGCATCAACAGATGAATGGATAAAGAAAATGTGGCATATACACTCAATAGAATACTATTCAGCCATTAAAGAAGAATGAAATCCTGTCATCCCAGCAACATGGATGAACCTGGAGGACATTATATTTAATGAAATAAGTAAAGCACAAAAAGATAAACAGTACATGTTCTCACTCAGACATGGGTGCTAAAAAGAAAATGGGGTCACAGAATTAGAAGGGGAGGCTTGGGAAAAGTTAATGGATAAAAATTTACAGCTATGTAAGAAGAATAAGTTTTAGTGTTCTATAGAACTGTAGGGCGAGTATAGTTACCAATAACTTATTGTACATGTTCAAAAAGCTAGAAGAGATTTTGGATGTTCCCAGCACAAAGGAATGATAAATGTTTGTGATGATGGATATCCTAATTACCCTGATTCAATCATTACACATTGCATACATGTATCAAATTATCACTCTGTA
The DNA here is from genome assembly GCF_000001405.40 of Homo sapiens. Classification (NCBI taxonomy): domain Eukaryota; kingdom Metazoa; phylum Chordata; class Mammalia; order Primates; family Hominidae; genus Homo; species Homo sapiens. The sequence continues at coordinate 20,026,229 of NC_000017.11, read as the reverse complement.
CCTCATAAATATGTATAATTATTACGTCAACAAAAAAAGGAAAAAAAAGAAAATTAAGACAACCCACATAATGGAAGAAATAAAATATCTGCAAATTATATATATCTGATAAATATTTAATATTTATAATATATAAAGAACTCCTACAACTCAAGAACAACAACAAAACAACCCAATTCAAAAATGGGTAAAAGCCTTGAATATACACTTATCTAAAGACTATATACAATTGGCCAATAAAGACACGAAAAGATGCTCAACATCACTAGTCATCAGGGAAATATAAATCAAAACCACAATGTAGAATGTAGACACCACTTCATATGCACTAGGATGGCTAGAATAAAAAGGTAATAACAAATGTTGGTAAGGATGTGAAAAAATCAGAAACCTCATTCGCTGCTGTTGGGAATGTAAAGTGATGCAGCCACTTTGGAAAACAGTCTGGCAGCTCCTCAAATTATTAAATACAGAGTTACCGTATGACCCAGGAATATTCCTCCTGGGTCTATAACCAAAAAAATGAAAACATATATCCACATAAAAACTTGTACATGGGCATTTATAGCAACATTATTCATAACAGCAAAGGTGGTAAGAACCCATATGCCCATCATCTGATGAACAGGTAAATAACATGCGGTATTATCCATACACTAGAATATTATCTGCCCATACAAGGAGTGACATCCAGCTACATGCTACAAGGATGAATCTCGGAAACCTTATGCTAAGTGAAAGAAGCCAGTCACAAATGACCACAGATTATGATTCCATGCATCGGAAATGACCAGAATAGGGAAATCTATAGAGACAGAAAGTAGATTAGTGGTTGGGTGGGGCTGGGAGGACAGGTAGTACACTACTTTCCCAGAACTACTGGAACAAAGTACCACAAACTGGGGAGCTTAAACATAGAAATTGATTTCCTCACAGTTCTGGAGACTAGGACTCTGAGATCAAGGTGTCAGCAGAGCTGGTTCTTTCTGAGGGCCCTGAGGCAAGGCTCTGTCCCAGGCCTCTCTCCTTGGCTGGCAGGTGGCCATCTTCTCCCTGCGTCTTCACATCATCTTTTCTCTGTGTGTGCCCATGTCCAAATTTTGATTGGCTCATTCTGGGTCATGGCCAATTGCTATGCACAAAGTGAAGTCTACTTCCAAAAGAAGGGAAGAGGGAACACTGACTAGGCTAAACTTATAGTCATTTTAATGTCCGCTTTTCCTATGAGATTGTGAACACACAGAAGTAGGGTTTTTATCTACATTGTGCAAAGTTTAATAAGAAAAATAGAATTCAAGAGAAGCAGTTCAATAGCAGGAATTTAATATGGGAACTAATTACAAGGTTTAGGGCAGGACTAAAAAGCCAGTTGGGATGGTGAGCCAACCCAGAGATTAGCAACAGTGGGACCCCATCTACCTACCACCCATGAAGCTGGAAGGATAAAGGAGGGGCTATTATCAGAGTCCACAAGCCAGTGTCAGAGTCCTTGGCTGGAGCTGGGACCACCCTAGAGACACTGTGCAAAGCAGAAAACAAGGGGGAAAAACCCTGACTTCTCCCTTCCTCCCACCTTTCAATCTCCCACTAGTGCTTCCTACTAGCCATACTTGGCCAGAGACAGTGACAAGGAACACTGCAAAATGAAGTTTGTAGGAATCATCTCCCTCTGAGACAGAGAAATATGGAAGGGTAGAAAATGAATCAGAGGATAAAGAGAAAAAACCCTGAGTACTATCTTATTTATCTTTGTATCTCCAGTGCCTAATCTGTCTCTCAAAAAAGGAAAGCAATTGAGAGAAACTGAAAACTCCAATTGAAATGAAAGAATGGAGAATTACTGGACTAGAAGAGAAGAGAAAAATTTATTCCGCATAGAGTAAACAAGAATGGATTCACAAAGGACGTGATGAATGAAAAGCTATAATCAGCAAAGATTTGCCAGAGAAATTAAAAAGTGGTAAACTCAGCCACGCTGTACAACCTGAAGGCACAATGCATGAAAACGTTTCAAGAAATGACAAGATTTGAAGTCAAATTCTAAGTGCTTTTCCAGAATCTCTCAAGACGATTATATAGCTACCCCATTTTATTAAATAAAATGGAAACTTACTAAACTTTCCCCTTGTATTAAACTAACATATGTCCTAATAGCAAACGATTCTGGAATTCCTAGAGTAAAATATATTTCGTCAAAGTGTATTGCTCTTTTAATATTCTGCTGACCTCCTTTTGCTATTTAGGATATTTGTATACACATCACACGTAAATTTGGTCTATAGTTTACATCTACGGGCTTATACTGTTCTTTTTTTCATTTTTTTAAAATTTCCAACCCCCAGTATCCATATACTGCTCTCTATCAGGGTTATTTTAACTTTGTAAAATCAGCTGAGATGCTTTCCATGTTTTTTTTTTTTATTTTCTGCCACATTTGAATAGCATAGGAGTTACCACCATCAACCTTGGATTATTTAAGCATTCACGATTCCACGTGTGGATTTTTTATTCAGAGTCTTTCTTGTCATTCCTGCTATCAGCACAGAACCCAATCTCAGCTTTCCAGCTATACTCTCACCCCATGGAATTTGCAGATGAAGTTCAAAAGGACCTTTGCATTATCCTGCCTCGCCCTCTTCCCCCTTCATTTAGACATCACCTTCTTCTAGAACGTCTTACCTGACATGCCCTGCTCCCAACCCCTGCTGCCCAATTGTGTGCTCTCCCGTGTCCTGGCCTGCCATCCTCTTTAGTAATTGCCTGCTCCCTCATCTGTCTCCCCACCCAGACATTAAGCTGAATAGACTGGATTTGTGTCTTGTCCATCACTATAATCTCAGCACCTAGTACCTAGTAGGTACTTACCATGTATTCATTAGCAAAATGTTATGTATAACCTTGCACCTTAAAAACAAGAGAAGGAAGACAAAATTAAGTCTTAAGACTATGGTTTAGAACATGGATCAGAAACTACAGTCTGCAGCCCAAATCCAGACCAAATGAAGAGACCATGTTCATTTACATACAACCTATAGCAGCTTTCACACTACAGGAGCAGAGCTAAGTAGTTCCAAGGGAACACACGGCCCTGCAAAGCCTAAAATATTTACTCTATAGCTCTTCACAGAAAAAGTTTTCAGATCCCTCGTTTAGAACTCTTGTTCATATGCAATTTCACTAAACCATAGTTTTTTGGGTTTGTTTGGTTTTTTTTGGCAAAAAGGAATGAGCCGATCCAGAAAAGGTTGAAAAGAATGAATCATTACTGCTGAAAGAATGTGCACACAGTCCGTCAGTATTCTGCTGCCATGCTGACACCCATCCAATAGTGTCATGAGATGCAGCAGCTACTACTGTGTTCTCAATGCCGAGTCCACCCACTCCATAACCATGTCCAAGCAATCTTGGGAACATCATCACCATGCTTGTTTATCCTTAAGGTATTGCCTCACATACAGCAGTGGCTGGTCATAAAGTCAAATGACACTAGTGGCCAGGAGGTCAAGAGAATGAGTGAGGACAGGTGGGTAGGCAGCCCAGGCCCTAGCAACAGCAGGAGCTCACCCCTCAGTCACTCTAGCCAGGACTGAAATACTTTTCACCCTTTCAAGAGAGACTAGGAATCTGGATTTTTATGTGAAATATCTTGATTACTAAATGTTGTCAACAGACATGTCAAAAGGTAAAACTAAGTAAGTTCATGGGGCAGATTGACTATTCAGGTTATAGAATTAAGGATTCTTATCCAACACAGATACCAACCAAAAAGCTGACGTATAACATATTAGGAGAAACTATGTGCACTGTCGAAACATCAACAAGGGGCTAATGTCTAAAATAGTCTATATTGGATTCCAGTTGAAACATGGGGAAAGGACATGAACAGGCAACTTATGTCAATGGAAACTCAAAAAGATAACAAGCATATATAAAAGCATTCTCAAATTCAGTAGTAAACAGACAGATGCAAATAAAAAGAGGGAAACTGCTGCCGGGCACAGTGGCTCACACCTGTAATCCCAGCACTTTGGGAGGCCGAGGCGGGCGGATCATGAAGTCAGGAGATCGAGACCATCCTGGCTAACATGGTGAAACCCCGTCTCTACTGAAAACACAAAAAATTAGCCAGGCGTAGTGGTGGGCACCAGTAGTCCCAGCTACTCAGGAGGTTGAGGCAGGAGAATGGCATGAACCCAGGAGGCGGAGATTGCAGTGAGCCGAGACCATGCCACTGCACTCCAGCCTGGGCGACTGAGTGAAACTCCATCTCAAAAAATATAATAATAATTATAATTATAATAATAATAAATAGTAAATAAATAAAAAGAGAGAGACTGCTAAAGTCTAGAAAGTTGAATGATGCCAAGCGCATGCAAAGATCAGGGCCTTGGGATGGCCGGGTGCAGTGGCTCACGCCTGTAATCCCACCACTTTGGGAGGCCAAGGCGGGCGGATCATGAGGTCAAGAGATCAAGACCATCCTGGCCGACACAGTGAAACCCGGTCTCTACTAAAAGTACAAAAAAATATATATATATATATATATTATTATATTATATATATATATATCAGAGCCTTGGGAATCCTTGTGTGCTGCTGGGGAAGGTAGTGGTGCAGCCACCCTTGACAGCAATCTGGCAGTACTTGGTTATATTAAGTATAGGCACACACCACGACCAGGCAGTCCTACTCCTGGGTCTAAATCCCAAAGAATTCTCACACAAGTCCATAAGGAGACATGTACGAGGCTCATTCAGCATTACTGGGAGTGGGAATCAACCTGGGTGTCCATCTACAGGAGACGAGATGGACAAAATGTGGTGGATATTAAGACCAGAATCACCAAGTAACAGAGATGGGTGGTGAGTGACAATCCTAAGATACAGAATAAAGGCTAGAACATGATGCCATTCATGTAAATTAAAAATAGATGCACACAAAGCAGTATACGCGTGACCCTTGAATAGCACAGGTTTGAACTGCCTGTGTCCACTTACATGTGGATTTTCTTCCACTTCTGCTACCCCCAAGACAGCAAGACCAACCCCTCTTCTTCCTCCTCCCCCTCAGCCTACTCAACATGAAGATGACAAGGATGAAGACTTTTATGATAATCCAATTCCAAGGAACTAATGAAAAGTATATTTTCTCTTCCTTATGATTTTCTTTATCTCTAGCTTACATTATTCTAAGAATATGGTACATAATACACATCACACGCAAAATAAATGTTAATTGACTGTTTATATTATGGGTAAGGCTTCCACTCAACAGTAGGCTGTCAGTAGTTAAGTTTTGGGAGTCAAAAGTTATACACAGATTTTCAACTGTGCAGGCAATCAGTTCCCCTGACCCCCTCATTGTTCACGGGTCAACTGTATATACACAAAAGTATTATATGAACCTCATTAGAATAGCTGTCTATAGGGAGAAGAGAATGAGAGTGGGATAAAACGGAATGAACAAATAAACCAACAAATGCATTAACAAGCAAAACAACAGAGGGGCTTGCATGGGCCAGTGATGATAAAGGGCTAAGAATGAGAATATAATTAATTCAATTCCTCACACCTGAGGTCTAAAACCAAGGAAAGGGAGGGCCAGGCGTGGAGGCTCACGCCTGTAATCCCAGCACTTTGGGAGGCTGAGGCGGGCGGATCACAAGATTAGGAGTTTGAGATCAGCCTGGCCAACACAGTGAAAGCCCATCTCTACAAAAAATACAAGAATTACCCAGGTGTGGTGGCACATGCCTGTAGTTAGCTACTCTGGAGGCTGAGGCAGGAGAATCACTTGAACCCAGGAGGCGGAGGTTGCAGGGAGCCGAGATCACACCATTGCACTCCAGCCTGGGTGACAGAGTAAGACTCTGTCTCAAAAAAATAAAAAAAATAAAAAAACAGAGAAAGGGAGGAAACTAGATCCAGGCTGACTAGATACAGCCTTTAGAGTTAGAAAAGATGATTTGACAATCTAAGCCCACACTCAGATTGAATGAAATTGAAAAGCCTTTCAAACTAAAACATTTAATTACACCATCTGCTGCAGACAGAACTCAGACAACTCAAACAGGTAATGTCAGCGTGGTGTTTTATATCACCACCCTCAACACAGAATAAAAATCAGCTGCATGTGAAGCAGTGACTAGAATGAAGAAAAGGCTGCTTCTTACTTCCTTCTAGTGGTTCTTTCCGAAAACATTAATAGGCACCAGCTCTATGCATGTCACCCTGCAGGGAGACATGGGGTATATAACTATGACTTACTGTTCATTCCTCAAGGAATTCCCAATCTTGTGGAAGATTATACACAATGAGGCAACAAAAACTATCCAATAAAACCACGGAAAAGAAGCCAGTGACAAAGAAGCCAGTGATGAAAGGCCCTGTGAGCAGAGCTGATGGCCATTTGGGGAAGAAAGACCAACATGGATGGGGGTGATCAGGGTGGCTCCGTGGGAAAGCTGGAAGAGAAGTGGCAGATCTCTGAGCTGGATGATGGGCCACTACCATCTGTATATGGCTAATTAAAGACCATGTGTGGATTTTTTATTCAGCTCTTTCGTGTCATTCCTGCTATCAGCACAGAACCCAATCTCAACTTTCCAGCTATATTGAGCTAAACTTCTCACCTCATGGAATTTGCAGATAAAGTTCAAAAGGATCCTTGCCTTTTCAAAATAATTTTGAATGGTTGAGTAGTCCCTCTGTGCTCTCTCACTGACACCCTCTCAAGGCTGCTGAGCACGTGCCATGCTATGGCTTTCTCCAACATCAGGAAATGTTCTCCACTCAGTTTCACCTTAATACAAATGTGTTCTCTCTTCAGAGAAGGCAAAAAAATTCATGACCATCTGACTGGGAGAAGTCATTTCTAGGTAAAGTGTCCATCTTTTTCTGAGGAACACAGGAGGAAAATCTTACAGAAAAGAGTTAACACAGCAGGCCTAAGACTGCTTTTTAAAATAAATAAATAAATAAATAAATAAATAAATAAATAAATAAATAAATAAATAAATGAATGATAGGGTCTTCTGTATTGGCCAGGCTAGTCTCAAATTCCTGGCTTCAAGAGATCCTCCCACCTTGGTCTCCCACAGTGTTGGGATTATAGACATGAGCCATTGTGCTTGGCCCAAGACTGTTATTCTTAAAAAGTCTCATAAAAAGCATGGTTAATCCTTGGCTGGCACCTGGGAACTTAGATTTCAGAAGGGTTCCCACCATCCAACCTGGAAAGAGGGACTCACTGTGCCTAAATTATTGTGTGGTTTATGCTGAACTCCTGCTTTTCTTCAGGTAGCGTGGAATGTGGTATGTGCTGGGCAAAGGGGGCCTGCATGACCAGCCCCCAATAAAAACCCTGGGTGTTGGGTCTCTAGTGAGTTTCCCTGGTAGACAGCATTTCACATGCGTTGTCACAGCTCCTTCCTCGGGGAGTTAAGCACATACATCCTGTGTGACTGCACTGGGAGAGGATGCTTGGAAGCTTGTGCCTGGCTTCCTTTGGACTTGGCCCCATGCACCTTTCCCTTTGCTGATTGTGCTTTGTATCCTTTCACTGTAATAAATTACAGCCGTGAGTACACCACATGCTGAGTCTTCCAAGTGAACCACCAGATCTGAGCATGGTCCTGGGGGCCCCCAACACAGAAATAAATTATAAAAGACCAAGGACTGGGCATGGTGGCCCATGCCGGTAATCTCAGCGCTTTGGGAGGCCGAGGCAGGAGGACCAGTTAAGCCCAAAAGTTCAAAGTTACAGTGACCTATGACTGCGCCAATGCACTCTAACCTGGGAGACAGAGCAAGACCCTGTCCCCAAAACAATAAACTAAACACATACTTCTGCCTTCCAAGTGTCTTAAAATTCAATGGAATGGTAGAAACATTTTTAAAACACTAAATCAAAAGAAACCTGGAAAACAAGAGTGCCGATGGCCAACTAAAATGTCTAGGAAATTTCTGAAAAGTAAAAAGTACTCAGAACCAGATTACCTGAGCAAACCATAGCCCAATACAAGCTTGGGAGGAGGCTGTTATGCAGAAGGAAATGGTAACAGGTTTCCAGGAACAGACTTGTAACAGCAGATAGAACAGCAGAGGTAGAACCTGACAAGGTGATTACCTGGGGAACTGCAGTCTGAATGACCAGGACTGTTGGACCCTTCCCCTCACATGGAATACACACGCCACTCAGCAGCACACCACAGCTCTTCAACAATCACAGGAGGCACGCTACGCCTAGTAAGACAGGAAAAAAGGAATTCTCAAACTTCGAAGATGAACACATAAAGAATCACCAAGTTTTTATTCAGTATGATGAAACAGGGACACTGAATCAACAGAACACAAACCCAAGCAAAGATAATTACTAGAGCACATAGAAGAAATTATTAGATATTCTTGGGAAGACCTAAGGGGACATTATAAAGAGCAAGCAGTTGGTATGTGACGATCTTTGTGATATACCAAGAAATAAAAACACAGGATGAAGACCAGATAGAGAATAATGCTACTATTTGTGCAAAAAAGGAGAAATGGAGAATCTGATTCATATTTGCTTGTATTTGCATGAAGAAACTTTGGAAGGTACATAAGTAACTAACAACAATGGTTACCTACTTGTAAGGCGAGAGAAGTAAGAGGACAGGAATGGTGGGAACACCTTTTGTGTCCGGAATTGGTGGGTTCTTGGTCTGACTTGGAGAATGAAGCCGTGGACCCTCGCGGTGAGCGTAACAGTTCTTAAAGGCGGTGTGTCTGGAGTTTGTTCCTTCTGATGTTTGGATGTGTTCGGAGTTTCTTCCTTCTGGTGGGTTCGTAGTCTCGCTGACTCAGGAGTGAAGCTGCAGACCTTCGCGGCGAGTGTTACAGCTCTTAAGGGGGCGCATCTAGAGTTGTTCGTTCCTCCTGGTGAGTTCGTGGTCTCGCTAGCTTCAGGAGTGAAGCTGCAGACCTTCGAGGTGTGTGTTGCAGCTCATATAGACAGTGCAGACCCAAAGAGTGAGCAGTAATAAGAACGCATTCCAAACATCAAAAGGACAAACCTTCAGCAGCGCGGAATGCGACCGCAGCACGTTACCACTCTTGGCTCGGGCAGCCTGCTTTTATTCTCTTATCTGGCCACACCCATATCCTGCTGATTGGTCCATTTTACAGAGAGCCGACTGCTCCATTTTACAGAGAACCGATTGGTCCATTTTTCAGAGAGCTGATTGGTCCATTTTGACAGAGTGCTGATTGGTGCGTTTACAATCCCTGAGCTAGACACAGGGTGCTGACTGGTGTATTTACAATCCCTTAGCTAGACATAAAGGTTCTCAAGTCCCCACCAGACTCAGGAGCCCAGCTGGCTTCACCCAGTGGATCCGGCATCAGTGCCACAGGTGGAGCTGCCTGCCAGTCCCGCGCCCTGCGCCCGCACTCCTCAGCCCTCTGGTGGTCGATGGGACTGGGCGCCGTGGAGCAGGGGGTGGTGCTGTCAGGGAGGCTCGGGCCGCACAGGAGCCCAGGAGGTGGGGGTGGCTCAGGCATGGCGGGCCGCAGGTCATGAGCGCTGCCCCGCAGGGAGGCAGCTAAGGCCCAGCGAGAAATCGGGCACAGCAGCTGCTGGCCCAGGTGCTAAGCCCCTCACTGCCTGGGGCCGTTGGGGCCGGCTGGCCGGCCGCTCCCAGTGCGGGGCCCGCCAAGCCCACGCCCACCGGGAACTCACGCTGGCCCGCAAGCACCGCGTACAGCCCCGGTTCCCGCCCGCGCCTCTCCCTCCACACCTCCCTGCAAAGCTGAGGGAGCTGGCTCCAGCCTTGGCCAGCCCAGAAAGGGGCTCCCACAGTGCAGCGGTGGGCTGAAGGGCTCCTCAAGCGCGGCCAGAGTGGGCACTAAGGCTGAGGAGGCACCGAGAGCGAGCGAGGACTGCCAGCACGCTGTCACCTCTCACTTTCATTTATGCCTTTTTAATACAGTCTGGTTTTGAACACTGATTATCTTACCTATTTTTTTTTTTTTTTTTTGAGATGGAGTCGCTCTCTGTCGCCCAGACTGGAGTGCAGTGGTGCCATCCTGGCTCACTGCAAGCTCCGCCTCCCGGGTTCACACCATTCTCCTGCCTCAACCTCCTGAGTAGCTGGGACTACAGGCAATCGCCACCACGCCCAGCTAATTTTTTATTTTATTTTTTTTTTAGTAGAAGCGGAGTTTCACCATGTTAGCCAGATGGTCTCAATCTCCTGACCTCGTGATCCATCCGCCTCGGCCTCCCAAAGTGCTGGGATTACAGACGTGAGCCACTGCGCCCTGCCTATCTTACCTATTTCAAAAGTTAAACTTTAAGAAGTAGAAACCCGTGGCCAGGCGTGGTGGCTCACGCCTGTAACCCCAGCACTTTGGGAGGCCGAGGCGGGCGGATCACGAGGTCAGGAGATCGAGATCATCCTGGTTAACACAGTGAAACCCCGTCGCTACTAAAAATACAAAAAATTAGCCGGGCGTGGTGGTGGGCACCGGCAGTCCTCGCTACTGGGGAGGCTGAGGCAGGAGAATGGCGTGAACCTGGGAGGCAGAGCTTGCAGTGAGCCGAGATAGTGCCATTGCCTTCCAGCCTGGGCGACAGAGCGAGACTCCACCTCAAAAAAAAAAAAAAAAAATAGAGACCCGGAAAGTTAAAAATATGATAATCAATATTTAAAAACACTCAAGAGATGGGCTAAAGAGTTGACGGAACAAATCTAAATATTAGATTGGTGACCTGCAAAACCAGCCCAAGGAACATCCCAGAATGCAGCCCATAAAGATAAAGAGAGCATTTCCGCTGGGCACAGTGGTATGGCAGGGGAATTGCCTGAGTCCAAGAGTTGCAGGTCACATTGAACCACACCATTGCACTCCAGGCCTGGGCAACACAGCAATACTCTGTCTCAAAAAAAAAAAAAATTAAATTAAAAAAGACAGAATATTTGAGAGAAAAAAATGCTTATTTCAAGAAACATGAAAGATAAATCAAGATATTCTAATTCCCAAGTAAGAATAATTCCAGAAGCAGAAAATAGAATAGAGGCAAGGAAACACTCAAAACTTCTCCAGTGCCATAGAAATGTGTATTAATCTTTAGAATGAAACGGACTACCAAATGCTGAGCAGGAAGAACAAAAGAGATCCACTCTTAAGCCAGTGTGGTGCCCAAGCGCAGTGGCTCATGCCTGTAATCCCAGCACTTTGGGAGGCCGAGGCAGGTGGATCACCTGAGGTCAGGAGTTTGAGATCAGTCAGGCCAACATGGTGAAACCCTGTCTGTACTAAAAATACAAACATTAGCTGGGTATGGTGGTGCACATCTGTAATCCCAACTACTTGGGAGGCTAAGGCAGGAGAATCACTTGAAACCAGGAGGTGGAGGTTGTAGTGAGCCGAGATCATGCCACACTCCCAGCCTGGGTGACAGAGCAAGATTCCATCTCAAAAAAAAAATCCACTCCTAGACAAATAATAGTTAAATTTTAGAACACCAAGGAGAAAGAAAAAAAATTGTAAAGCTTCAGAGAAAATAAACATTAACTACAAAGAAACGAGAGTCAGACGCGTGCACTTCTTCCTAGATACCAGCAGATAAAGCAATATCTCCAAAATTCAGAAGGTTTTAACGTAGAATCCTATACCCAGTCAAGAATATTCACATGGAAAAGTGAAATAAAAAACATTGTTTAAACATGCAAGGGTTCAGAAAGTTTACCATTCACAGAATCCCTGAAAACAAAACCAAATAATCACTTAAGGACTCATTAAGAAAACAAATGAAATAAAAGCACCAATGATGAGTAAATAATCAGAAAAATTTACAGTTTACCTAAATAACTGTTTATGCATAATGTATGAAAACCCAAAAATTTAATATGGGACAGAATTAAAATCATGATAAGATTCTTTTTTGCTTTACTCATGGAGAGTTCACATAAACAGATTATCTTTTAATAGCAAGAGAAAAAAATGTTTAGATATGTGTGAAAAACTAAGGGTACCAAAACAGTGCAAATTCATTTATCATCAGGAAAATCCAAATTAAAACCACAGTATCCACCAGAATAACTAAAAGGTAAAAGACAGAAATTACCAAGAGTTGGCAAGAATGTGGAGCAACCACATATACTTCTGGGGTAAATAAGTTGGTGCAACCGGTACTGAAAACTGTTTGCTAGTATCTACTAAAACCGAGCACATGCACAGACTACAACCAAGCAGTTCCACTCCCAGATACACACTCAACAGAAATGCACACACTCACTCAACAAAAGACGTGTACTAGAGTGTTCATGTACTTACTATTCATAATAGTCCAAAAATGCAAACAACCAACTGCCAATCAAAGTCAAATGTATATCTATATTAGGGATATATACAATGGCATATACACAGCAATGAGAATGAAATGAACCAGCTCGGCACAGTGGTTCATGCCTGTAATCTCAGCACTTTGGGCGGGTAAGGCAGGCAGATCACTTGAGGTCAGAAATTTGAGACTAGCCTGGCCAACACGGTTAAAACCTGTCCCCACTAAAAACACAAAAATTAGCCGGGCATAGTGGTTGCAGGCCTGTAATTCCAGCTACTCGGGAGGCTGGGTTGGGAGAATCGTTTGAACCCGAAAGCCGGAGGTCGCAGTGAGCGGAGATCGTGCCACTGCACTCCAGCCTGGACGATAGAGCAAGACTCCGTCTCAAAAAAGGAAATCAAAAATATAAAATAAGATGACAGGAATAATCCGCAAAAGATCAGTAATCAAAATAAATATAAATGGGCTAAAGCTACCTATTAAAAGACAAAGATTTCACACCCATAAGGATAGCTACTATCAAAAAAAGAGAGAGAATAACAGATGTTAGCAAGGATGTATGGAAACTGAAATTCTCACGCATTGCTGGTGAGAATATAAAATGGTTCAGCCTCTGCGGAAAACACTATGCTGGGTCATCAAAAAATTAAAAATAGAAGTACTACTTGATCCAACAATTCTACTTCTGGGTATATACCCAAATAACTGAAAGCAGGGTCTTGAAGAGATATTTGTACACCCATGATCATGGCAGCATTATTCATAATAGCTATGATGTGGAACCAACATAAATATCCTTTGATAAATATATGGATAAGCAAAATGTGGTGTATACATTCAATGGAATATTAATTAGCAATAAAAATGAAGAAAATTCTGACACATGCTACAACATGGATGAACCTTGAGGGCATTACATTAAATGAAATAAGCCAGTTATAAAAAGACAAATACTATATGAGGTACTATATTAGATACTCATGCAAGGTACCTAAAATAGGCAAATTCATAGAGACAAAAAGCAGAATGGTGGTTGCCAGGGGCTGCGGTAATGGATACAGAGCTTCAATTTTGTAAGATGAAAAAATTCTGGAGATTGGTTGCATAACAATGTGCACACACTTAACACTGGGGAACTGTAAACTTAAAAGTAGTAAATGGTAAAAATAAAAATAATAAATAATAAATTTTATGTTATTTTACCACAATATTTATTAAAAGACAAAGATTAACTAATTAAACAAAATCCAGCCATAAGCTAATGGTAAGAGTAACAATTAAAGAAGACACAGAAAATTGAAAATCAGTGACTAGAAAAAGATATTCCATATAAATGCTAACAAAAAGCAAGTACAGCAATATAAAGAGAATGAACAAAAAAAAAATTAAATAAGATGGCTCGTTTATTCCCAAAAGGTACAATTCACCAAGAAGATACAAGAATTGTGAACCTTTAAGCACATAAAACAGCTTCAAAAATACAACATTTAAAGAAAAATATATATTAAACATAGAAATAGTACAAAAACCCCTACAAGAATCATAATGGGAGTCTTCAATACAACTCTCCATATCAACAGGTCAAACAGAGAAAAAAAATAAGTTAAGGATGCAGAAAACCTGAATTACCATCAATAAACTTGAGATTAATATAGAACTGTATACCCAATATACTAAGAGTTCAGGGAACAGTCGTGACTGACAGTGGACTGCAAATTAATCTGTTCTTAATCTTTGTTTTTCTTTCAGCACTGTGGCAGAATAGAGATCCTAAAAACCTTCCAGCTACAAAACATCTTTTTAAAAATATAAAAAAATACAAAAATAACTCTGAAATCAATAGAAGACACATGGTGAAACCAAAATTCTAGAATACAGGGAGAATAAAGGCATTTTCAGATATTACAAAAACAGAAAATTGATCATTGCTGAAGTAATTTCTAAAGAATGTACTTGAGGGAGAAGAAAAATGTTCCAAAGAAAAGTATCTGTGATACAAGAAGGAATGGAAAGTGAAGAAATGGTAAACAGGTAGATAAAGCTAATAAATGTTGACCTAGAAAATAACAAAAACAATAGCAATAATGTCTCGTTGGAAGGGTTGAAGTAAAAATACAATTAAGGCCAAATGTGAGGTAAGTGGAATGAAAGAATTAGAAGTCCTTGCCTTGTTCACAGGACTGATTAAATAAATGAGCCAGGTTTTCCATTCAAACAGTTAAAACTTGAACAAAATAAACTCAAATTAAGTAGAAAGATAAAAAACAGAAATTAATGTCATAGAAAAATAAAAAATCAATAGAATTAATCAATAAATCCTGGTTAATAAAAGCTGGTTCTTTGAAAGGATTAATAAAATAATCATTAAGCAAGTCTGATCAAAAAAAAAGAGAAAAGGTACCAAAAAAAGTACTGTATCAGAAAGAGAACATACAGATACATACAGATATGTAAGAGTCTGTTTTCTTACACCAGAATACTATATACAACATTATGCTAGCATATATTAAATTTCAATAATGTTAATGATTTTCTAGGAAAACAGAAAATATTAAATTTACTTTGAAGAAACAGAAAAACTGAGAAAAATAAATGATCATGAAAAAAATGAAAAGGTAATTAAATACTGATATTAACTGCCTAAACAACACCAGCAGCAGCCCAGGCAGTCTGCAGTCAAGTTCTGCCAAACTTGAGGGAACAGATAATTCTTCTATTCCAGAGCATAGAAAATGATGGAAAGTTTCCCAATTTAATCAGAGAGGACAGCCTGATCCTTGTTATGAACACAGATAAAAATGGGGTAAACTATATGCCAAACTCAGATACCAAAACCCTAAATAAGATGCTAGCTTATTGATGTGAACAATCCAAAAGTGCATTTTAAATTAGCCCAGGGTTTTAGAGAAAGAAAATCTAGCAATGTGACCACCACTTATGTTAACAATTTTAAGACGAAAATCTACATGATCATATCAATGCATGCTACACAAAAGCATTTGGGCAAAAAACCCAACACCCACCCTTGACTTTTTAAACTCTTAGTAATTAGGCATAAACAGAAATGTACTTAATGTGATAGAATACACTCGGTGAAGATACAGAGGGAATGCTCCCTAAAACCAAGCCCAAGACAAAGATTCCTATTTAACCTCAATAGTCAACACTGCAGCGAGAGTAATCTATGGAAGACAAGGAAAAAAGTAAAAACATGAGAGACATCTGTTGTTTAACAGACAATAAGATCACCTACTTGGAAGAGGCAAACGAATCAAGCGAAAAACTATTAAAACTGAGACAGGCTTTAGTATGGAGGCTCAGCTTCAGCTGTAGTTTGGGCTACCAAATTCAACTCGCTTGCTTGGAGAGTTAATCCTGCAAAGCTAATTTCTGTTGAGGTATTAGGATTGACAAGCCTGTGCTCCTCCCTCCTCCCCCATCTTCAACACTGAAATAACACGGTGTTTGGAACTGGATAACAGAATCTTCCAAAAACAAAAATTGTCCTGAAGGGCTGACTTGTGCCCTTACTCAAAAAACACTTTATCTGCTGCCTGCAGCTCCTACAGTTGCTGGTGGATAAGCCTGCCAACCAGCTCGGCGTAATTCTTCCTGCAGAGGGCAAGGAAGAGCACTTTCACAGGAAAATTTTTTTCCGAACTGTATGCCGCTTATTACATAAACTTACGTGCTGGCAAATGGAGCTCCAGCAAAATAAGATATTCAGAGTCAAACTTCCTTAGGAAAAAAAAAAAAAAAAAGCAAGCACATAACACTAATTTCCTTGCATGGGCACTGGGGAAGGAGGTCGTTACTTCCGCACGCCCGCAGGTCCGCACCACCGGGAAACCCACGGGCACCGCGCGCTGCCCCCGGGCCTTCCAGGTGCACTGCGCCGCGGCGCCCCAGCTGACCCGGGATGCGCAGCCCTAGCCCTTCCCCTGTCACCCCGGCCAGGAAGGGGCGGGAGCGCGGCGGACGCCGAGGGCGAAGGGCTTCTCGGTCCTCTGCACCACGCAGCACCCCCAAGGCACAACAGGGAGGGTGCGGGAGGCTCCCGAGACCCAGGAGCCGGGGCCGGGCGTGCCCGCGCACCTGTCCCACTGCGGCGAGGGCTGGGGTCGCCTCCAGGGCCGCAGCTGTCGGGAGCCACCTGGCTCTCAGTCCCGGGTCCCTGCGACAACCCTCGGGCCCGGAGGGGAGGAGGCGGCCACCTGCCGCTGCCACCTGCGGCACCGGTCCCACCGCTCCGGGCCGGGCAGGACAGGCCAGGACGTCCCTCCTGGGCTGGGGACAGGACACGCGACGAGGGGACCGGGGCCCCCGCGGCGAAGACGCAGCACGCCTTCCCAGAAAGGCAGTCCCGTGCCCCCACGACGGACTGCCGGACCCCCGCGCTCGCCCGCCCATCCCTTCAGACCACGCGGCTGAGGCGCAAAGAGCCGGCCGGCGGGCGGGCTGGCGGCGCGGCTAGTACTCACCGGCCCCGCTGGCTCAGCGCCGCCGCAACCCCCAGCGGCCACGGCTCCGGGCGCTCACTGATGCTCAGGAGAGGGACCCGCGCTCCGCCGGCGCCTCCAGCCATCGCCGCCAGGGGGCGAGCGCGAGCCGCGCGGGGCTCGCTGGGAGATGTAGTACCCGGACCGCCGCCTGCGCCGTCCTCCTTCAGCCGGCGGCCGGGGGCCCCCTCTCTCCCAGCTCTCAGTGTCTCATCTCCCTATCTGCTCATCCTCTGGTCGCACATAATCGATGTTTGGGCGTCCCAAGCCAGATGTGGACCCCATTTCCGCACTCTACACTGGAGGTTTTCTAAGGGTGGTGCCCGGACCAGCAGCTTCAGCCTCATCTGGGAACTTGAGAAAATGCAGATTCTCCGTCCCACCCAGCCTATTCGGTTTTTCCTGCACTAAAACCATGAAGGTGGGGCCCAGCAGTCCACATTCTCGCAAGCCCGTCAAGTGATTCTGAGGCGCCCTCCAGTTTGAGAGCTATGCTCACGGCCTCACCTCCGCCCCGCAAGGAGCCCGGTCTTGCCTGTGGCGCTAGCCGCACACGGACACCTCATCCTGCGGGGCCCGCCCCCCCGCTGCACCCTCACCGCCCAACGCCTCCTCCGGGATGCAGCGGAGGCGCCTGGAAGTCGGCAAGGTCAACATCCCCCTCAGCATCTTCCCTACCCTCACGGCTCCTCCTCCAGGGGTGCCTCATGGCCAGGGGTTAGAAAGAGCCACTGTGTTTCTTGACATGGAAGTGGCCTAAGACCTTAATGAAAACTGCAGGAGTGGAATGACAGAACCTTTGGTCATACTTGAGGGCGTGAAGCTCAAATGAGGAGGAAGGAAAGGATCCAGGGAGAATAACCAACCCTGGCAAGTTGTGGCGCCCAGGTAGAGGGGCGAGCCTAGGCTAGCGGTTCTCGACCAGGGCCGGTGTTGCCCCTCCTCGCCGCCCCGCGTACATTTGGGGAGGTCTGGAGACATTTTTGGTTGTCATGATGCGGGAGTTGCTACTGTTGCCTAAGTGGGTAGACACGAGGGTGCTCCTCAACATCCTACCTGAAGGACAGGACTGCCCCACAAGGAAGAATGATCCGGCCCCAAATAAGAAACCCTGGGCTGGTCAGCAACAACCCCTTTGTTCTGAGAAGAGAGGAGGAAAGAATAAAAGAAGTGGGGTGAAGTTTTGGTTTGGTAGAGGAAACTTGAAGACATTTTCACTGGAAAGGAAGAGAGGAAGAGGAGGGAGATGTCTGTAAGGACGAGCAAACCGGGTGACAGCTGATTTCCTCATATTGAAGTAATGAGTCCTAGTTATAATAAATTCCTAATAAAAACCCAGTTTATCCCTGCAATAAACTTGTCTTTTTTTTTTAAATATACTGCTTGATTCTGTTTGCTAATATTTTATTTACAGGCTTTGCATTGATATGCAAAAATGAGATGGGCAATAATTTTCTTTTTGAATGTCTAATGTTGTTTGGTTTCAGAATCAATGTTATGCTCACATCATAAAAAATTTGGAACCGAGGCAGGAGGAGTGCTTGAGGCCAGAAGTTCGAGACCAGTCTAGGAAACACAGTGAGACCCCCCCATCTCTACAAAAAAAAAAAAAGAAAAAAAAATGGGCATGTTTGCTTTTTCCTTTTACTCTGAACAATTTAAGGAGCATTAAAATTATCTATTCTTTGAGGTTTGATCATTTCCCAGTTAAAAATGTTCCTCCCAGCCTGATGCTTTCTTTGGGGAGGGTAAATCTTTTAAGGCTAGAAAAGTTTCTTCTGTGGCAATTTTATTATTTACATTTTAAAAATTATTCTAGAGTTAATTTTGATAAAGCATGTATTTCTTAAAACAAATTATCCTTTTTTTCCAGATGTTCAAGTGTATTTGCATAAAGTTGAGGAAAGTAGTCTTTTGTGAATCTTTTAACTTCTCCCAAATATCTTATTTTGTGTATTTTTGCTTCTTTATTTTGTTAACTTTTAAAAGTGTATTTTTTTTTCAAAGAATCAGCTCTTAGGTTTATGTTTTTGGTTATACTGGAGCTTTTTTCTTCTTCTTTTTAAAATATTTTTTCTCCTTTATTTTTTAGACGTATTTTGATCTAACGTAATCGGAAGAAGGTAAATTAGAATCTTTTGTTACTATTGTGTTTTTATTTCTCCTTATTTCTCTGAAGTCCTGCTTTATAAATAGTACCATGTTATTTGTGCATAAATATTCATTTGTCTTATATTCTTGGGAATTTTCCCACTTCATCATAAAATGACCTTCCTTGTCTCATTTAATGTGTTCAAACTTTGCCCTGAATTTAACTTTGTCTGATATTTTACCATCCTGCTGAATTTTGTTTGTTACCCCAAACAACCTTTGCTGTTTTCGTCTTTTCTGAACCCTTTATTTTAGGTAATCCCTTGAATTAGAGCACTAAGTTTTGCTTTGTGATTAAATCTGAAAATCTTTATCTTGCCATAGATGAGTTGAGCCCTATTCATGTGACAGCTATATTATGCTGTTTCATAGCCCTTTTGGTCCTTTTTTCACTCTTGCATTGCATATTTTGTGTTTATTGTGTTTTGTGTTTCTTCTGATAATTTGGAAGGTTTGTATTTTTATTCAGGGAGTTGCCTTATAATCATACTCCGCAATACACATCGTCCTCAGTTTCTTCAGACTGTCTGTTAACTCCCTATTCTGAATAAAAATGACATTGTAATTTCCCTCTTTTTTCTTTACCCCTTTTCTTCTCCTCACCTAATGTAAATGATTTTATCCTTCTTTAGTATTTGCTTTTTTAATTAACTACATTTATAAATATCTTTATCACTTGATTTTTAAATCAGCTTTGAATGAGATATTTGGATTCCTAGATATAAAAGATGTTAATTATACCATTTCCACGTTAGTAGGTTTATAAAATCATACATTCTGCTGTGTAACCATAATCCCACGTTTGTTTTAGTTCCACTCCTACAGTTAAAAGATTCAGAAGTATTATTAACAGTTATTTTGCCATAGTTTTTTCCCCAACCCATTTTGTGGTAAGTTATGATCCTGCTTTAGTTTCTTAAGAATAATTTATAGAGCAGAGTGTGGTGGCTCACGTTTGTAATCCCAGCACTTTGGGAGACAAGAGGTAGAAGGATCGCTTGAAGCCAGCAGTTCAAGACCACCCTGAGCAACATAGTGAGACCTTGTCTCTACAAAAAATTTTAAAATTTAGCCAGACGTAGTGGCGTGTGCCTATAGTCCCAGCTACTCAGGAGGCTGAGGCAAGAGGATTGCTAGAGCCCAGAAGTTTGAGGCTGCAGTGACCTCTGATTGTGCCACTGCACCCCAGTCTGGGCAAGAAAGTGAGAACCTATCTCTTTAAAATAACAATAATAACTTATGAAAATTATATTCCCTGAGTTTTTCATGTTTAAAAATATTTGTTGCCTTTATCCTGTAAAAGTTTGAGTATAAATTCTTGGGTTATACTTTATTTATTGAAGAATGTATAAGTATTGTCTTCTAGAATTGAGTGTTGCTGTAATGAAACCAGAAGTCAGCCTGGTTTATTTTTCCTCAGAAATGAGGTAATTGCCGGCCGGACACCGTGGCTCATGCCTGTAATCCCAACACTTTGGGAGGCCGAGACAGGTGGATCACGAGGTCAGGAGATTGAGACCATCCTGGCTAACATGGTGAAACCCCGGCTCTACTAAAAGTACAAAAAGTTAGCTGGGCATGGTGGTGGACGCCTGTAATCCCAGCTACCCGGGAGGCTGAGGCAGGAGAATGGCGTGAACCTGGGAGGAGGAGCTTGCAGAGAGCTGAGATCGCGCCACTGCACTCCAGCCTGGGCGACAGAGTGAGACTCCGTCTCAAAAAAACAAAAAAAAAACAAAGAAGTGAAGTAATTGCCATGATGCTCCAAGAATTATCTCTTTGTCTATGAAATCCAGAAATCTCACTGTTATACATTTTGGAATTATTATTCTGGGCCAATATTTCCTGGGACACAATAGATTGACTCTATAGATTTAATTTTTTTTTTTTTTTTGAGACAGAGTCTCACTGCAATCTCAGCTTACTGCAACCTCTGCCTCACGGGTTCAAGCAATTCTCCTGCCTCAGCCTCCCAAGTAGCTGGGACTACAGGCGCGTGGCACCATGCCTGGCTAATTTTTGTCTTTTTAGTAGAGACAGGGTTTCACCATGTTGGCCAGGCTGGTCTTGAACGCCTAACCTCAAGTGATCCACCTGCCTCAGCCTCCCAAAGTGCTGGGATTACAGGCGTGAGCCACCATGCCCAGCCTCAATTCCTCTTTCTATCTGGTAATTTTTCTGAAGTTGAAAACATTTGTTCTAATACGTTATTTCAGTGTTCTTCTAAGATGTGTAAAGCACCCTATTCCCAGGTCAGCCCCCATCTTGCTAGTGAGCTCGGCTGGTTCTTCACAAGAGCTCTGGTTTTCTCCTGCTTAATCTCAAGTACCTCTGTCAGCCTCCACCTGGTTTATGATTTGGAGTTTTTTGGTTTTTGTTTTTTGTTTTTGACAGAGTCTTACTCTGTCACCCAGGCTGGAGAGCAGTGGCATAATCTCAGCTCACTGCAACCTCTGTCTCCCAGGTTTGAGCGATTCTCCTGCCTCAGCCTACTGAGTAGCTGGGATTACAGGCGCGTGCCACCACACCCGGCTAATTTTTGTATTTTTAGTAGAGATGGGGTTTCACCATGTTGGCCAGGGTGGTCTTGAACTCCTGACCTCAGGTAATCCACCTGCCTCAGCCTCCCAAAGTGCTGAGATTACAGGCGTGAGCCACCGCGCCTGGCATGGTTTGGAGTTTTAATCTGTAGTTTTAATAAAGATAGTGCTTATGTTTGTGTTTCTTATATTTCTTGGTACTCTTGGGTAATTTGTAAGATCCCCATATCTACACAAGAAGTCCATTTTCAATTCTTTTCTTCAGACTGTTTATTTTATTTTATTTTATTTTATTTTTATGTTTGAGATGGAGTCTCGCTGTGTCACTTCTGGAGGCTGGAGTGCAGTGGCGCGATCTCAGGTCACTGCAACCTCCGTCTCCCGGGTTCAAGCAATTCTCCTGCCTCAGCCTCCCGAGTAGCTGGGATTACAGGCACCTGCCACTTTTTAATTTTTTTAGAGACAGAGTCTCGCTTTGTTGACCAGGCTGGAGTGCGGTGGTGCAATCATGGCTGACTATAACCTCCAAATCCTGGGCTCAAGTGATCCTCCTGCCTCAGCCTCCTGAGTAGCTGGGACTACAGGCACATGCCACCATGCCCAGTTAATTTTAATTTTTTTGTAGAGACAGGGTCTCCATATGTTGCCCAGGCTGGCCTCCTACTCCTGGCCTCAAGTAATCCTCCTACCTCAGCCTCCCAAATTACTAGGATTATAAGCATGAGCCACCATGCCCAGCCTTGTTCTACTACTTTAATTTCATATGTTAGGTGACCATGTAATTGATCATCCAAACCAGGATACTGTAAGAATGAAAGAGGCTGACAGTAGTATGATGCTGGGACTAGCATTGTGCACTGAGATTATTTCTGGGAAAGCAGGAGATACGGTCACCCTACTTATAGTGTGCTTGTCTTTGGATTGTTGAATTTGGAGTTTCTATTTGCAGGCTTATTTCAACTGGGCAGCCTTGATCCGCCCTGCCCAGCAATGCTACCGTTCTCTCCACCGGGTCTCTGGGACCCCTTCAGTCACTATACTTAGCTCAGTTCCCCACCCTCCCACTCCCTAAAAGCGTAACCAGGAATCCTGCCTCAGGTCTACTGCCGTCTTCCGTGGGCTGTTTCAGTTCCTATTACCCAGAGTCAAACTCCCAGCATTCCCTACCTGATTCCAGACTTGGAGTCCAGAGCTTTAACCTCTTCAGGCCAACTCCCCACTTTGCATTTCTGTCCCTATATCTTAGTCCATGGAGATACATTTCATGTCTTTGAGTCTACTTACAAAGTAAATTTTGCTGTTTTTTAATTTTTTTTTTGAGATGGAGTCTTGCCCTGTCACCCAGGCTGTGGTGCAATGACGCCATCTCGGCTCACTGCAACCTCCGCCTCCTGGGTTCAAGCGATTCATCTGCCTCAGCCTCCCAAGTAGCTGTGATTACAGACAGGCACCACCACGCCCAGCTAATTTTTTTTATCTTTTAGTAGAGACAGGGTTTCACCATGTTGGCCAGGCTGGTCTTGAATTCCTGACCTCGTGATCTGCCCATCTCGGCCTCCCAAAGTGCTGAGATTACAGGCGTGAGCCACTGTGCCCAGCCAATTTTGCTTTTTTTATATTTCATTGCTATATGTTTAGAGGATAAGTTTACAGTGCTATATGCATTCCCAAATATTAGACCAAAAAAATCTCCAAAAAATTAGAAAGAAAATCCAAAAAATCTCAAAAAATACCAAAAAGCAACAATCTCACAGACCATACTCACTGACCCCCAATAAAATAAAATTAGAAATTAACCACAACTTAACAAAATAAAGTACTCAAGTCAGAGAGGAAAGAGGAAATAAACATCAAAATTACAAAGTCTAGGCGGTGGCTCACGCCTGTAATCCCAGCACTTTGGGAGGCCAAGGCGGGCAGATCACAAGGTCAGGAATTCGAGACCAGCCTGGCCAATATGGTGAAACCCCGTTTCCACTAAAAATACAAAAATTAGCCAGGCATAGTGATGTGTGCCTGTAATCCAGCCACTTGGGAGGCTGAGGCAGGAGAATCACTGAACCCAGGGAGACGAAGATTGCAGTGAGCCAAAATCGTGCCACTGCACTTCGGCCTGGGTGACAAAGCGAGACTCCATCTCAAAAAAAAAAAAATTACAAACTCTTTAGATAGAAATTTTGGTGTTTTTTTTTGAGACGGAGTCTCACTCTGTCGCAGAGGCTGGAGTGCAGTGGGACTATGTCAGCTCACCGCAACCTCCATCTCCTGGATTCAAGCAATTCTCCTGTCTCAGCCTCCCAAGTAGCTAGGATTACAGGCGCCCACCACCAGACCCAGCTAGTTTTTATATTTTTAGTAGAGATGGTGTTTCACCATGTTGGCCAGGCTGGTCTCAAACTCCTGACCTCAAGTGATCCACCTGCTTCAGCCTCCCAAAGTGCTCAGATTACAGGCGTGAGCCACCGCACCCCACCTAGATAGAAATTTCAACATGAGGCCGGGCACAATGGCTCACGCCTGTAATCTCAGCACTTCAGGAGGCTGAGGCGTGGGAGGATCACTTGGGCCCAGGAGTTCAGGACCAGCATGGGTGACAGAGACAGACCCTGTCTCTATTTATTTGAAAAAAAAAAAAAAAAAGAGAGAGAGAAAGAAATTTCAACATGAAAAGTATCTCTCAAACCCTTCGAGATGTTGGCAAAAAGCGACTCAAAGGAAAATGTATTACTGTGTGTGAATTTGCTTGAAAATAAGAAAGAGGCCGGGTGTGGTGGCTAACACCTGTAATCCCAACACTCTGGGAGTCCGAATCAAGTGGATCATGAGGTCAGGAGATCGAGACCATCCTGGCTAACATGGTGAAACCCTGTCTCTACTAAAAATACAAAAAATTAGCTAGGCGCGGTGGCTCATGCCTGTAATCCCAGCACTTTGGGAGGCTGAGGCAGGTGGATCACCTGAGGTCAGGGGTTTGAGACCAGCCTGGCCTACATGGTGAAACCTCGTCTCTTCTACAAATACAAAAATTAGCTGGGCGTGGTGGTGGGTGCCTGTAATCCCAGCTACTCAGAGGCTGAGGCAGGAGAATCGCTTGAACCCGGGAGGCGGAGGTTGCGGTGAGCCGAGATCGCACCACTACACTCCAGCCTGGGCAACAGCCTGGGTGACACAGTGAGACTCCATCTCAAAAAATACAAAAAATTAGCTGGGTGTGGTGGCCTGCGCCTGTAGTCCCAGCTACCCGGGAGGCTGAGGCAGGAGAATGGAGTGAACCTGGGAGGAGGAGCTTGCAGTGAGCCGAGATCCCACCACTGCACTCCAGCCTGGGCGACAGAGCAAGACTCTTGTCTCAAAAAAAAGAAAAAAAAAGGAAAAAAGAACCCTGATAATAAAGAAACCAAATGTTCAACTCTCAAAGCTCGGACACTTTAAAGAAATAATTAATAAAGGCAGAAGTTAAAGGGAGGATGATAAAGCAATTTTTTTTGTTGGTTTTTTTGAGATGGAGTCTTGCTCTGTCACCCAGGCTGGAGTGCAGTGATGCGATCTTGGCTCACTGCAACCTCTGCCTCCCGGGTTCAAGCAATTCTCCTGCCTCAGCCTCCTGAGTAGCTGGTACTACAGGTGCGCGCCACCTGGCCCAGCTAATTTTTGTATTTTTATTAGAGACGGGGTTTCACCATATTTGTTAGGCTGGTCTCAAACTCCTGATCTCAGGTAATCTGCCCACCTCGGCCTCTCAAAGTGCTGGGATTACAGGCAGGCGCCACCGCGCCTGGCCTAAAGCAAAATATTGGTTCTGTGCAAAAGGTCAATAAAAAGAGCAAACGTTTACAAACTGGAGCCAGCACCCATTCAGCTCAGTGTGTCTGGAGAAAAAACAATCTCGCTTCAGAATTCATGATTACGCAGCCCTTTTTGCTTCCTAAAAATCCTACTATGTTGCTGTTGACCATTCTCTCTCTTTCTCTCTCTCTTGCTTTCTCTCCAGAAAAGCTATTCAGACATTCTCCTCTTTCCTCAAACCTCCAACACTTCCTCCTCCATCCTTAGCCTCAGCTGCTGACCTCACTTCTAATCATTGAGAAACCAGGAGAAGCATTTAAGAGTGAACCTCCGCCTCCCCGCACGGGCAAAACCACCCACCCACAGAATTGTGCCCCAATTCTGCGTCCTCTCCTCTCACCATGGATGGACGGTCCAGGCTCCGAGCCAAAGCCAGGCCTCCCCTGGAGCTCTGGATCCACCACCTGCAGCTTCTCAGGCAGGGCCCCAGCAGCTCCCCTGCTCCCTTGTACCATCAATCCCTCCCCTCACTGGGTCACTCCCAACAATATATATATTTAGTGATGTTTCTCCCATGTGGTAAAATCACTTAGCCTCTCTCCTCCCCCAGCTACTATCCTATTTGTTTCTTTCCATTCTCTGCAAAACTTCTCAAAGCATTGTGTCTATGTGCTGACTCCATTTATCTTCTCCCGTTCTCTGCTGAGTCCTTCCCACAGACTCTCACCCCAGTTACTCCATGAAATGACCTCTGCACTGCCACATCCAATGGTGAATGTTCAGTTCTTAATTTTATTCAGTCTTTCAGCAGCATTTGACCTGGCCGATCACTCCCTCTTCTTAAAAATACTTTTCTCAGCCAGGCGTGATGGCTCACACCTGTAATCCCAACACTTTGGGAGGCCAAGGCGGGAGGATCATGAGAGCCCAGGAGTTCAAGATCAGCCTGGGCAACATGGCAAGACCCTATCTCTACAAAAACTAAAAAGTAGCCAGTGTGATGGCATGCACCTGTAGTCCCATCTACTTAGGAGGCTGAGGCAGTAGGATGACTTGAGCCTGGGAAATCAAGGCTGCAGTGAGCCATGATTGCACCACTGCACTCCAGCCTGAGTGACAGCGAGACCCTGTCTCAAAAAGACAAAATAGGAAACTTTTCTCAGCATATTCCTCTGATTCTCCTGCTGCTTCTGTCTGCACAGATTCAGTCTCCTTTGCCGGTTCTTCCTCATCCTCCTGATCTCTTGACCTTGAAGTGCCCCAGAGTACAGTCTTTTTTTTTTTTTTTGAGACGCAGTCTCGTCTGTCACCCAAGCTGGAGTGCAATGGCGAGGTCTCAGCTCATGCAACCTCTGCCTCCTGGGTTCAAGCGATTCTCCTGCCTCAGCCTCCCAAGTAGCCAGGACTACAGGCACATGCCACCATGCCCAGCAAATTGTTGTATTTTTAGTAGAGACAGGGTTTTACTATATTGGCCACGCTGGTCTCAAACTCCTGAACTCGTGAACCACCCGCCTCGGCCTCCCAAAGTGCTGAGATTACAGGCATGAGCCACCACACCCGGCCCAGAGTACAGTCTTTAGACGGCCTCTCTACCTATACTTGCTCCCCTCATAAACTCCTCCTGCCTCATGGCTTTAAATACCATCGGTAGACTGATGACTCCCATATTTCTC
This sequence comes from Homo sapiens, assembly GCF_000001405.40. Lineage (NCBI taxonomy): Eukaryota > Metazoa > Chordata > Mammalia > Primates > Hominidae > Homo > Homo sapiens. The sequence continues at coordinate 19,999,253 of NC_000017.11, read as the reverse complement.
TTTTTTTTTTGGAGACGGAGTCTCGCTCAGTCCCCCAGGCTGGAGTGCAGTGGCGCGATCTCGGCTCACTGCAAGCTCCACCTGCCAAGTTCACACCATTCTCCTACCTCAGCCTCTCCAGTAGCTGGGACTACAGGCACCCGCCACCACGCCTGGCTAATTTTTTTGTATTTTTAGTAGAGATGGGGTTTCACCATGTTAGCCAGGATGGTCTCGATCTCCTGACCTCGTGATCCGCCCATCTCGGCCTCCCAAAGTGCTGGGATTATAGGTGTGAGCCACCGTGCCCAGCCGATGACTCCCATATTTCTATCTCTTGCTGTGTGGGAGTTCTCCTCAGAACTCCATACTCATAAATCCAACTCTCATAAATAGTATCTCAAATGGGCAATATGCTCAAAAGTCAATTCCTACTTTTCTCCCTAAACTTGCTTTCCTGCAGTCTCCACCATCTTAATGTCCAATCTAACATTAGGAGGCAAAAACTTTGAAGTCATTCTTGACTCTTCTCTATTACACACCCTATCCAATCTTTCTGCAGATCCAGTCGACCCCCAAATCCAGTTAGCTCTCATCATCTCCCCTGTTACCCCCTGGTCCAGGCCATCTTCCTCTCTCACCTGAATCACTGCAGCATTCTCCTCACTGGTCTCTTTGGTTCTGTTTTCACTCCACCTTAGCATAGTCTCCACAGAGCAGTCAGAGGGATCCTTTTAAAGTGTAATTCCCATCCTGTCCCTGCTCTGCTCAAAACCCTGTCGTGATTCCCGTTTTAATCTGTCAGATTAAAAGCCAGAGTCTTTCCAGTGACCTACATGATCTGCCTATTATCACCTCCCACTTCTTTCCCCTTGCTCACTCCACTCCAGCTCTGCAGCTGTCCTTTCTGTTTCCTGAACAGCCCAGATTTTGCTTCTTTAGAACCTTTGTATTTGCTGTCCCCTCTGTCTGGAATGTTTTTCCAGGAAGTCACCTGGCTCTCTCCTGCACTTCCTTCCTGACCACCATGTTTAAAAATCACTCAAACACACTTCAGGCCGGACATGGTGGCTCACGCCTGTAATCCCAGCACTTTGGGAGGCCAAGGTGGGTGGATCACCTGAGGTCAGGAGTTCGAGACCAGCCTGGCCAACATGGTGAAACTTCGTCTCTACTACAAATACAAATAGTAGCCAGGTGTAGTGGCACACACCTGTAATCTCAGCTACTCAGGAGGCTGAGGCAGGAGAATCGCTTGAACCCAGAAGGCAGAGGAGGTGCAGTGAGCCAAGATCACGCCACAACACCCCAGCCTGGGTGACAGAGCAAGACCCCATCTCAAAAAAAAAAAAAGAAAAAAAAATCACACAAACACACTTCTCTTCATATTCCTTTTCCAAGTTTTATTTTTCTCCAGAATACTTTACATTGTTTTAATGGAAGTTCTCCGTTTCCCCCCAACTAGAATGGATACTTCCTGCAGGTAGGCACTCTAGTCCTCCCATCCAAGTACTAACCAGGCTCAACCCTGCTTAGCTTCTGAGAGCAGGGGAGATCAGGCCTGTTCAGGGTGGTATGGCCCAGGAATTTTGATTCTGTTTTATTCATTGCTGTTCTGTTGATTCTCTTTTGTTCCTCCTCCTAGTGCTGAGAACACTACTTGTACATAATAAGCATTCAATAAATATTTGTTGAATGAATGACTTGTTGAATGAATTAATCTCAGAAATGCAGGACTGGTTCTACATTAGAAAATTTTTCAAGGTCATTCTCTGTTGTCGTAACACATTAAGAGAGGAAAATTTTGTACTCTAAATCATTTGATAAAATACATACTGATTTCTGTTTTCAAAAACTCTTAGTGGCTGGGCGAGGTGGCTCACATCTATAATCCCAGCATTTTGGGAGGACGAGGTGGGCGGATCACTTGAGGTCAGGAGTTTGAGACCAGCCTGGCCATCATGGTGAAACCCTATCTCTACTGAAAATAGAAAAATTAGCCGGGTGTGGTGGCGCATGCCTGTAGTCCCAGCTACCTGGGAGGCTGAGGCAGGAGAATGGCTTGAACCCGGGAGGCGGAGGTTGCAGTGAGCCAAGATCATGCCATTGCACTCCAGCCTGGGTAACAGAGTGAGACTCCATCTCAAAAGAAAACTCTTAGTGAGTTTAGGAATCCAAGGAAGACCCTCAAACTAAATAGATAATCTAGCTACCAGAAGCCTTCAGTAAACCTTAACACTCCATGGTGAAACATTAGAAACATTCCTACTAAAAGACAGGCTAAGAATGCCTGCAATCTTCACGGCTAGTCCAAGAAGTCAAAAAGAAGAAATGAGCGCTGATTTAAAAAAATAAACAAACAAAAAACTACCGATGCAGAGGCTGGCAGCAAGGACTGAAGGACTGTACAGTACTTGCCTGGAGCAGGCGGATGGCCACACCCCTGCGAAGCCTGCTCAGCTGGCTGGGGGACGCTCCAGTGTGTGAGTGGCAGGATGCAGGGTACTTCCTCTGCCAGGGAGTTGCACTGGGGAGATCCTCCCCCACTCACACTTTGGCAGCTGGGGCTTTGGAATGTGACTTAGCTTCTGTCAAAGGGTCAATCCACCCTTTGATATATGATGCAAAGGCGAACATATGATGCAAAGGTGAGAGAACAGCCCAAATTAGGACTTTTACCACAGCTGTGGAGGTGGACAGCGACAGTGGTGGGCCCTGGCCAGACTTTTCATGCTCAAAGGTGGTGGTTGTTCTTCCTACTTCTTGTCCCTCCAGGGCTTCCTTTGCCTGTGTGCTGAACCTGCTTCTTTTAATTTTTTTTAACTTTTTTAAATTTTTAATTGTTTTAATTAAAACAAATTTTGAAAACTGTCTGAACCTGCTTTTGAACCCTGCTATGATTTGAATGTTTGTCCCCTGCCAAACTGATTTTGAAACTTAATCTCCAAAGTGGCAATATTGAGATGGGGCTTTAAGCAGTGACTGGATCATGAGAGCTCTGACCTCATGAGTGGATTAATGGATTAATGAGTTGTCATGGGAGTGGCATCAGTGGCTTTATAAGAGGAAGAATTAAGACCTGAGCTAGCATGGTCGCCCCTTCACCATTTGATATCTTACACTGCCTAGGGGCTCTGCAGAGAGTCCCCACCAACAAGAAGGCTCTCACCAGATACAGCTCCTCAACCTTGTACTTCTCAGCCTCTGTAACTGTAAGAAATAAATGCCTTTTCTTTATGAATTACCCAGTTTCAGATATTCTGTTATAAACAATAGAAAACGAACTAAGGCAAACTCTCATGATTCTACTGCCATGCCATTCCAATAAACTCCCTTTATGCTTAAGAGAGCCAGAGTTGGCCAGGCGTGGTGACTCACGCCTGTAATTCCAGCACTTTGGGAGGCCGAGGCAGGTGGATCACAAGGTCAGGAGATCGAGACCATCCTGGCTAACACGGTGAAACCCCGTCTCTACTAAAAATACAAAAAAATTAGCTGGGCGTGGTAGTGGGTGCCTGTAGTCCCAGCTACTCGGGAGGCTGAAGCAGGAGGAGAATGGCGTGGACCCAGGAGGCGGAGCTTGCAGTGAGTCGAGATCGTGCCACTGCACTCCAGCCTGGGTGACAGAATGAGACTCCGTCTCAAAAAAAAAGAGAGCCAGAGTTTATTTCTGTTGCTTGCAACCAAGAAATCTGGCTGGTGCACTGAAGTTTCCATAAATAATAGCAATTTAAAGACTCTTTCCAAGCCAGGCAATGCCTAGCCTTGTGTAGTCCTTGTGGTAATACATTCATTCATTCATTTGTTCAACCAACTGTGCTCCAGAGACTAAGAATACAAAAATGGGGGCCGGGTGTGGTGGCTCACACCTATAATCCTAGCACTTTGGGAGGCCGAGGCAGGTAGATCACCTGAGGTCAGGAGTTCGAGACCAACCTGGCCAAAATGGTGAAACCCCTACTCTACTAAAAATACAAAAAATTAGCTGGGGGTGGTGGCGGACACCTGTAATCCCAGCTACTCGTGAGACTGAGGCAGGAGAATCACTTGAACCCGGGAGGCAGAGGTTGCAGTGAGCCGAGATCGCACCACTGCACTCCAGCCTGGGCAACAAGAGCGAAACTCCACCTCGAAAAAAAAAAAAAAAAAAAAAGAGGGCCGGGGCTGGGCGCAGTGGCTCACGCCTGTAATCCCAGCACTCTGGGAGGCCAAGGCAGGAGAATTACGAGGTCAGCAGATCGAGACCAGCCTGACCAACATGGTGAAACCCCATCTCTACTAAAAATACAAAAATTATCCGGGCGTGGTGGCGCACACCTCTAGTCCCAGCTACTTGGGAGGCTGAGGCAGGAGAATCGCTTGAACCCGGGAGGCAGAGGTTGCAGTGAGCCGAAATCATGCCACTGCACTCCAGCCTGGGTGACAGAGTGAGACTCCGTCTCAAAAAAAAAATAAAAAAAAAAAAAGAATTCAAAAATTGTAGAGTTATAGTGTGCTTCTAGTTTAGTTGAGAGGACATCTGTCCTTCAAGGAAGGCTAGAATCTATACCCTGAGTCCTTACTGAAATCAATCCAGCAGTCAAAACATGGGACCAACGATCACAGCAGTAAGATAGGAAGAGCACCTTTGTACATTTAGCTCATGTTGAGATAAGCCACTGACAGAGCTGAAGGAAGCTCACAGTTCTGGGTTCCATCCTTTGGCATTTAAAAAGAAAAGTGCTAAGAAAATTCGGTTGGTCACGGTGGCTCACGCCTGTAATCCCAACACTTTGAGAGGCCAAGGCAGGCAGATCACGAGGTCAGGAGTTCGAAACCAGCCTGGCCAACATGGTGAAACCCCGTCTCTACTAAAAACAGAAAAATTAGCCGGGCATGGTGGCGCATGCCTATAATCCCAGCTACTCAGGAGGCTGAGGCAGGAGAATTGCTTGAACCCGGGAGGGGGAGGTTGCAGCGAGTGAGAGCAGGCCACTGCACTCCAGCCTGGGAGACAGAGCAAGACTCTGTCTCAAAAAAAAAAAAGAAAAAAAGAAAGAAAGGAAAAAAAGAAAGAAAAAAAAAGAAAAAAGAAAATTCAGGCCAGGCCAGGCCTGGTGGCTCACACCTGTAATCCCAACACTTTGGGAGGCTGAAGCGAGACGGTGCCTTAGCCCAGGAGTTTGAGACCAGCCTGAGCAACATAGCGAGACCCTGTCTCTATAAAAAAAAATTTTTTTTTGGCCAGACGCAGTGGCTCACGCCTGTAATCCCAGCACTTTGGGAGGCCGAGGCAGGTGGATCACGAGGTCAGGAGATGGAGACCATCCTGGCTAACACGGTGAAACCCCATCTCTACTAAAAAATACAAAAAATTAACCGGGCGTGGTGGCGGGCGCCTGTAGTCCCAGCTACTCGGGAGGCTGAGGCAGGAGAATGGCGTGAACCCGGGAGGCGGAGCTTGCAGTGAGCCGAGATTGCGCCACTGCACTCCAGACTGGGAGAGAGTGAGACTCCGTCTCAAAAAAAAAAAAAAAAAAAAAAAATTAATTGTCAGGTGTGCTGGCATGCAGCTGTAGTCCTAGCTACTCGGGAGGCTGAGGTAAGAAGATCGCTTGAGCCCAGGAGTTCAAGGCTGCAGTAATAGTGCCTCTCACTCTACCCTGGGTGACAATGAGACCCTCTCTCAAAAAGAAAGAAAAAAGGGAAAGAAGAAAAGAAAGAAAGAAAGAGAAGAAAGGAAGGAAGAAAGAAAGAAAAAGAAAAGGAAGGAAGGAAGAAGAAAAAAAAAGAAAGAAAGAAAAGAGAGAGAAGTTCAAAGACCAAAGGGTCAGGATCCCAAAATAGTTTTTATGTTTTATTTATTTATTTACTTATTTATTTTTGAGACAGTATGGCTCTGTCGCCCAGGCTGGAGTGCAGTGATGCGATTGCGGCTCACTGCAGCCTCCAAACTGGGCTCAGGTGGCCCTCCCACCTCAGCCTCCCGAGTAGCTGGGACCACAGGCGCGTGCCACCATGCCCAGCTAATTTTTTAATTCTTTGTAGAGATGAGGTCTCTATATGCTGCCCAGGCTGGTCTCGAGCTCCTGGGCTTAAGCCATCCACCCGCCTGGGCCTCCCAAAGTGCTGGGATTACAGAAGTGAGCCACCGCGCCTAATCGGGTGGTTTGTTTGTTTATTGACGGGGTCTCGCTGCTGCCCAGGCTGGAGTGCCAGTGGCTGTTCACAGGTGCAGTCCTGGAGCATTGCATCAGCTCTTGGGCTCTAGCGATCCTCCAGAGTAGCTGCAGCTGGGATTCCAGGCGCGCCACCGCGCGGGGCTCAGAATGGGTTTTTATATTGAGGGTTATGCTGCCACCTAGAGGATATATGTAGTACCGAACTGTGTGCGCAGGGAGGCTGAGGTTGCAGTGAGCCAAGATGATGCCAGGGCACTCCAGCGTGGGTGACAGAGCAAGATTTCATCTCAAAAAAAAAAAAAAAAAAAAAAAAAAAAGAATTGAAAGTAAGGTCTTGAAGAGATATTTGTGCCTGTATGGTCATAGCAGTATTAACTTTGACCCACTAGCTAAAACACAAAAGCAACATGTGTCTGTCAGCAGGTGAACGGATAAACAAAATGTGGTATATATGTACAATTGAATATTATTCAGCCTTTAAAAAGGAATAAAAGGCTGGATGCGGGGGCTCACGCCTGTAATCCTAACACTTTGGGAGACTGAGGTGGGTGGATCACCCGAGGTTAGGAGTTTGAGAACAGCCTGGCCAACATGGTGAAACTTCATCTCTACTAAAAATACTAAAATTAGCCGGGCATGGTGGCACTTGTCTGTAATCCAAGCTACTGGGGAGGCTAAGGCAGGAGAATTGCTTGAACTCAGGAGCCGGAGGTTGCAGTGAGCTAAGATGGCACCACTGCACTCCAGCCTGGGCAACAGAGTGAGACTCCATCTCAAAACAAACAAACAAAAAATTATTATTTCCAAAGAAACAAGACCCTGGGTCCATTTCCCAGCCCACACCTGATGTTGACTCACAACACACAGCCTGGTTTGCTATGAGCCTGCTTCATTTAATTGTCACCTTAACTTCACATCACCCTCAAGTCCTGGAATAACTCTTTGCTGACCTTTGTGTGCTGAGCCATCTCCATGTCGCTCAACGTGCAGTCCCTCTCACTGCACTGAGTCAATAGCCAGACGTGGTCTGACTGCAGGGTCATCCTTGGTGGCTTAGGCTGACTCGGGCATAGCAGGGTGCTCTGAGACCTCACCGCATATAGGCTTTGCCCCCAATAAACTCTATATAATATTCATATTATGTGGTCTGGGTGTGTGTAGCTTTGCACTGTCTTCTCGTGACAGTGCCCTCAACCTCTTTCCCAGGATTTCCTCCTCTACCTCCTCAAGTCCCACTGCTCTGCAAAGACCAAAAGCTGCAGAGTCCCAGCTCCCTCCTTTACACCCCACGACGCAGCCTCCTCTCTCAGAACCCTTTAAACAGAGTCTTTTACTGCAGATCCCAAGAACAGCCACACCCCTCTCTCCCACCCACTCCAGACACACCCAGGTAATTATAGCACCCAGGGTAACTATGTAGATGGAGTCCCTGGAACATGTGGATAGTGCCCCCTGGGAGTATGCAAAAGCAACATTGCTGGCACCTGCAGAGAACAGGGTGACATCCAGGAATCAGAGCATGGGCCTCTGGGAGGTAGGGATGTGGCCAGGCAGGCTGCCAAAAATTGGTAGAGCAAGGCCACAGGATCTTTCTGACCTTCCTTCCAAACAGAGGCTCCTGTACTGGTGATCCCTGTGTTGATTGACCACTCCCTTCCTGGGGGTCGTGGTCTCTGTCCCAGTTGCCCGGACTTCTGTGAGTGTCCTACTGAGGTCCTTTTCATGAGAAGCATGCTGTCCTTCCACCTGCTGGGAGCAAGAGTGACAACTTCAATACTATAATAGCAGTGGCATACAGAGAAGAAGAAAGATGAAGTGGCAAGAAAAACAGGCTTCCAAGCAGGAGTTTTTCTATAAAAACAAAAACGTTTACAAGCAAACTTTTTATAAAGGGCTAGATAGTAAATATTTTAGGCTTTGAGAGCCACATAGACTTGTTTGCAGGGACTCAATGTCGCTATTGTAGTTTGAAAGCAGCCATCAGGGTTATGTAAATGAGTGAGTCTGATTTTGTTTCAGCAAAATTTTATTTACCAAAACAGACAATGAGTGGGCTGGATTTGGCCCATGATCCTTAGTTTGCCAACTCCTGCTTTGGGCTCACCCAGATCTGATTTTGAATTCTGGCTCTGCTACTGGTTAGCTGCAGGAGCTTGGAAGGCTCTCTGAGCCTGTTTCCTCATCTGTAAAATTAAAGCAATAATTTCTAACACTCAAGAGTGTTACCTCACGCCTGTAATCCCAGCACTTTGGAGGCTGAGGCAGGCGGATCACCTGAGGTCAGAAGTTCAAGACCAGCGTGGCCAACGTGGCAAAACCCTGTCTCTACTAAAAAATACAAAAAGTAGCCGGGCATGGTGGCGCGCATCTGTAATCCCAGCTACTTGGGAGGCTGAGGCAGGGATACTGCTAGAACCTGGGAGGTGGAGCGTGCAGTGAGTGGAGATCACACCTCCACACTCCAGCCTGGCCGACAGAGCGAGACTCCATCTCAAAAAAAAAAAAAAAAAGAGTGTTAGAAGGTTTTGAGATAATGAATAAAAGATGCCTTGTGTATACTAAGTATTCAACAACTGATAGCTGCATTGGTCTAATTATAACAGTTTAGAAGCGATTGAGTCAACAAATGCTGGATTTGTCAGGGAGGACTTCCTATCAGGAGGTAGATCTTGGGCTGAGTCCTGAAGCAAAGATAGGCATTGGATAGAGGAGTTGAGAGAACACCCTAGGACTGTTATTATTATTATTCGACACGGAGTCTCTTGCTCTGTCACCCAGGCTGGAGTGCAGTGGCGCGATCTCGGCTCACTGCAACCTCTGCCTCCCAGGTTCAAGCGATTCTCCTGCCTCCTAAGTAGCTGAGACTACAGGTGTGTGCCACCACACCCGGCTAATTTTTATATTTTTAGTAGAGACAGAGTTTCACCATGTTGGCCATGCTGGTCTCGAACTCCTGACTTCAGGTGATCCACCCGCCTCAGCCTCCCAAAGTGCTGGAATAACAGATGTGAGCCACCGCACCCAGCCCAGAACCATTTTTCAATCCTTGGCTCTGCCTTTTATTAGCTGCAAGATCTCAGGCAATTTATTTAACCTCTCCAAAGACTCATTTTCTCATTCACAAAATGAGGCAAATAATAATATCTACTATCCCAGGTTGTCATGAGAATTAAATGCAACATGACATTTAATGAAATGAGAAGTCCCTTGGACATTAACTGGCTAAAGTATGTGCTCGACAAGGATATCATTTTAGGTGGATACTTAGCATCTCAGAACTGATGCTCACAATGGAATATCATTGAAACGCATTAAAATTCATTTTAAATGATTGTAGGTAGTGAGGCAATTGAAAGAAGAAGACAAGAGGACTGATTATAATGCTTCAGGCTCACTAGTCTCCTTTTAGGAGGGAAAAACAATTTCAAGTTAAATTTTAGGCTCTAGATTTTTACCCCTGCTGCTCATTAGAATCACCCAGATTGATGAAATCAGAGCCCATCTGAGGCTGTGTTTTTCATCTCCAGAATGAGAGCTGTTGTGGGGATTAAGTTTTTGAAAAAGTACATCTAACAGGTGATCGAAAATGATAGTGATATTATTGCAGTGATGGTCATTATTGTTGTTATTATTATACTGAAAGAGGCTTCAGTTTTCTGATCCATAAAGTGAGGGAATTGCATGAGACCATTGCTAAGATTCCTTCTAGCTCTGTTTTTTTGTTTTTGTTTTTTAGACAGAGTCTCTGTCGCCCAGGCTGGAGTGCAATGGCATGATCTTGGCTCACTGCAACCTCCGCCTCCCGGGTTCAAATGATCCTCCTGTCTCAGCCTCCGAAGTAGCTGGGACTACAGGCACACACCACCATGCCCAGCTAACTTTTATATTTTTAATAGAGGTGGGGTTTCACCATATTGGTCAGGCTGGTCTCAAACTCCTGACCTCAGGTGATCCACCCGCCTCGGCCTCCCAACATGCTGGGATTACAGGCATGAGCCACTGTGCCCAACCCCTTCTAGCTTTCTTGATCACTGATTCTAGGGTTCTCTGCTGAAATATATTTGAGACATCCTGGATAAAAGATCATGCAAGAGCTCCCAATATGGTATTAATAATTGATTCTGGAGGCTTAGCTACTCCTGATGGATTAGACATGACTCAACTGCCTCTCTTATGTGTACAACACAACAACACAACCAAGAAAGGTTATTCTGGCATTCCATTTATTCAGTTTATTTACAGCCCTTACTTCCAGCAGCACGTTAAAGATATGGCCAGGGCCGGGTGCAGTGGCTCAAGTCTGTAATCCCAGGACTTTGGGAGGCCAAGGTGGGCGGATCACAAGGTCAGGAGTTTGAGAATCTGGCAATTCTTCAGACTTAGAAGCAACCAGCTCGATAACACAGTCTTGTGTGGGCTCTCCCTCTGTCCCTCCCTCGCTTCCCTCATTTCTCATCCCTGCCCCTGAGACTGTGCACCTTCACATAGCCCTGCCATGAGACCTTCATCTCAGGCTTTGCTTTCTGGGGTAACTGAGGCTAAACACTGAGTGGCCCTAAAAGAGGATTGGGATTTGGAAGTTAGATTATTCACCAGAGAACAGACTTTGCTGATGATCAGGCCCAGGTTGTAATTGTTGAAAAAAAGAGAGGATGCATAGTCTTATCTCATCTCCTAGTCAAAGTCAACACCATGATAAATAAGAGTCAAATCCTGAGATGTGAATTGGGGACATTTGAGTGGTTAACCCTGAGAAGCTTGCACCTTCAGACCCCTCAATACCCCTGCTCCCCAGAGAAGGCTGGACATTGACCTCAGCACAGGCAGGAGCCCTGCAAGATGCCATTTGTCCTACTAAAGATGGACCCCTCCACTCTGTTTCTAGGTAAATAACCAAAGTCAAGTCTCCACACAGCCTGAGCAAGAAAGTCAGAGCCTGCTACAGGAGAAAATACCACACTGGCCAAAGGATTCACTAGCCCTGGCCACTGTGTGTGGGAGGAACCAGGGAATCATGTGTGGGAGTCAATGTTGAAGCTGTTGGACTGGGGGTGGGGTGGAATATAAGCCTGGCCCTGGGGAGTTTTTCCCGTTTGAGGGCCTTTACCCACAACTCAAGATCCAGTGCTATAGCAGGAGATCCCAGAGCTAGTCCTAACAGATGGTCAGGATTGAACTTGGCCTAGAGTAAAATGAGGAGGATAGTGCCAGAACTTTCTCAACATACTATTGAGGAAGAGGTCAGAAGGCTTAAGGAGGTAGTGTAACTGGAAAGGGGTCCTGATCCAGACCCCAGGAGAGGGTTCTTGGACCTTGCATAAGAAAGAGTTCGAGACGAGTCCACCCAGTAAAGTGAAAGCAATTTTATTAAAGAAGAAACAGAAAAATGGCTACTCCATAGAGCAGCGACATGGGCTGCTTAACTGAGTGTTCTTATGATTATTTCTTGATTCTATGCTAAACAAAGGGTGGATTATTTGTGAGGTTTCCAGGAAAGGGGCAGGGATTTCCCAGAACTGATGGATCCCCCCACTTTTAGACCATATAGAGTAACTTCCTGACGTTGCCATGGCGTTTGTAAACTGTCATGGCCCTGGAGGGAATGTCTTTTAGCATGTTAATGTATTATAATGTGTATAATGAGCAGTGAGGACGGCCAGAGGTCGCTTTCATCACCATCTTGGTTTTGGTGGGTTTTGGCCGGCTTCTTTATCACATCCTGTTTTATGAGCAGGGTCTTTATGACCTATAACTTCTCCTGCCGACCTCCTATCTCCTCCTGTGACTAAGAATGCAGCCTAGCAGGTCTCAGCCTCATTTTACCATGGAGTCGCTCTGATTCCAATGCCTCTGACAGCAGGAATGTTGGAATTGAATTACTATGCAAGACCTGAGAAGCCATTGGAGGACACAGCCTTCATTAGGACACTGGCATCTGTGACAGGCTGGGTGGTGGTAATTGTCTGTTGGCCAGTGTGGACTGTGGGAGATGCTACTACTGTAAGATATGACAAGGTTTCTCTTCAAACAGGCTGATCCGCTTCTTATTCTCTAATTCCAAGTACCACCCCCCGCCTTTCTTCTCCTTTTCCTTCTTTCTGATTTTACTACATGCCCAGGCATGCTACGGCCCCAGCTCACATTCCTTTCCTTATTTAAAAATGGACTGGGGCTGGGCGCGGTGGCTCATGCCTGTAATCCCAGCACTTTGGGAGGCCGAGGCGGGCGGATCATGAGGTCAGGAGATCGAGACCATCCTGGCTAACACGGTGAAACCCCGTCTCTACTAAAAATGCAAAAACATTAGCCAGGCGTGGTTGCAGGTGCCTGCAGTCCCAGCGGCTCAGGAGGCTGAGGCAGGAGAATGGCGTGAACCTGGGAGGTGGAGGTTGCAATGAGCCGAGATTGTGCCACTGCACTCCAGCCTGGGTGACAGAGCGAGACTCCGTCTCAAAAAAAAAAAAAAAAAAAAAAATAGCTGGGCATGGTGGCGCGTGCCTGTAATACCAGCTACTCTGGAGGCTGAGGCAAGAGAATCGCTTGAACCCAGTAGGCGGAAGTTGCAGTGAGCCGAGATCTTGACACTGCACTCCAGCCTGGTGACAGAGTGAGACTCTGTCTCAAAAAAAAAAAAAAGAAAAAAAAAGACAGAAAGAAAGAGCACAGACAGAGTCACAGGTATTTGCAGTAGGAAGCTGTCAGGTTAGAGTGCACGGAAATAGAAAGTATATTTTACACTTACAGCACATCTTCGTTTGATTAGCCACATTTAAAATACTGAATAGCAACGTGTGGCTATTTAGTATTCACTAAAATCTTGGACAGTGCAAGTCTAAAGAATCCTTGATCCGTCCGGCATGGTGGCTCACGCCTTTAATCCCAGCACTTTGGGAGGCCAAGGTGGAAGGATCACTTAAGGTCAGGAGTTCGAGACCAGCCTGGCCAACATGGTGAAACCTCGTCTCTACTAATAATACAAAAAAAATTAGCCGGGCATGGTGGTGCATGCCTGTAATCCCAGGTACTTGGGAGGCTGAGGCAGGAGAATAGCTTGAATCCAGGAGGCGCTGCAGTGAGCCGAGATCATGCCATGCCACTACTGCACTCCAGCCTGGGCAACAGAGTGAGACTGTCTCAAAAAAAAAAAAAAAATTGTTGGGCGTGGTGGCTCACGCCTGTAATCCCAGCACTTTGGGAGGCTGAGGGGGGTGGATCACCTGGGTTCTGGAGTTCGAGACCAGCCTGGCCAACATGGTGAAACCCCATCTCTACTAAAAATACAAAAATTAGCTGGGCGTGGTGGTGGGCACCTGAAATCTCAGCTACTCAGGAGGCTGAGGCAGGAGAATTTCTTGAACCCAGGAGGCAGAGGTTGCAGTGAGCCAAGATCGCGCCTCTGCACTCCATCCTGGGTGGCAGAGCAAGACTATGTCTCAAAAAAAAAAAAAAAAATACTTGATTGTCTGGACATTCTGCAGAACATCATATGGAGACACTATGTTGACGACATCATGCTGATTGTAAGCAAGAAATGGCAAGTGTTCCAGAAACACAGTCAAGACACATACATGCCAGAAGGTGAGATATAAACTCTACTAAGATTCAGTGGCCTGCCACACTGGTGACATTTTTAAACCTGCTAGATGTTTGTGTAGAAAAGGATTTAACCTTGCCCAAAGAGGGGTCTGGCCTTTGTCCCCAGCTACTGGACATAATCTCTTTAAACTCTTGAAATATCATTCCTGATAGAAGTATTTTTGTTTTGACTAGGGGCCTTGGGCCAGCCAGATAGCAACAATGTGATCTGGGTTGGGGGCTTTGGATCAGGTGGCATCAGTGTGACCTCCTGAGTGGCTAGAGACTAGAATCAACCACATGGGCAGACAACCCAGCTTACATGATGGAATTCCAATAAAGACTTTGGACACAAGGGCTTGGGTAAGCTTTCCTGGTTGGCAATGCTCTATACTGGGAAACCCATTCTGACTCCATAGGGAGAGGACAACTGGATATTCTCATTTGGTACCTCCCTGGGCTTTGCCCTATGCATTTTTCCCTTGTCTGATTATTATTATTATTATGAGATGGAATCTCGCTCTGTCACCCAGGCTGGAGTGCAGTGGAATGATCTCAACTCACTGCAACCTCTGCCTCCCCGGTTCAAGCGATTTTCCTGTCTCGGCCTCCCGAGTAGCTGGGACTACAGATGCATACCACCACACCCGGCTAATTTTTTTGTATTTTTAGTAGAGACGGGGTTTCACGTTAGCCAGGATGGTCTCGATCTCCTGACCTCATGTTCCGCCTGCCTCGGCCTCTCAAAGTGCTAGGAATACATGTGTGAGCCACCGCGCCCAGCCCCCTTGGCTGATTATTAAAGTGTATCCTTGAGCTGTAGTAAATTATAACCGTGAATATAACAGCTTTTAGTGAGTTTTGTGAGCACTTCTAGCAAATTATCAAACCTAAGGATAGCCTTGGGGACCCCTGAACTTGCAGTTGGTGTCAGAAATAAGGGTGCTCATGTGTGTACCATGCCCTCTAATTTTGTAGTTAATTAACTTTCACAACTTTATTATTACCGCTTACACTCAATGTTTATTCACATTTATCCACATACCACTTATTCTAGTGCCTTGCATCAAAGACTTTCTATCTCATGTACTTTATTCTGCTTGAAGTAAATCCTTTAGGATATTCTTTTTTTTTTTTAAACTTTGCACATACATACTTTTATTTTTTATTTATTTTTAATTTTGTTATTTTTGTGGGTACGTAGTAGATATATGTATTTATGGAGTACATGAGATGTTTTGATACAGGCATGCAATGTGAAATAAGCACATCATGGAGAATGGGGTATCCATCCTCTCAAGCAATTTATCCTTCAAGTTACAAACAATCCAATTACACTCTTTAAGTTATTTTAAAATGTACATTTAATTTTGTATTGACTAGAGTCACTCTGTTGTGCTATCAAATATAATTTTTTTTTTTTTTGAGACAGAGTCTCACTCAGTGGCCCAGACTGAAAGTGCAGTGGCACAAGCTCGGCTCACTTCAATCTCTGCCTCCCTGGTTCAAGCGAATCTCCTGCCTCAGCCTCCCACATAGCTGGGATTACAGGCACACACCACCATGCCCAGCTAATTTTTATATTTTTTTAGTAGAGACGGGTTTTCGCCATGTTGGCCAGGCTGGTCTTGAACTCCTGGCCTCAAATGATCTGACCACCTCAGCCTCCCAAAGTGCTAGGATTACAGGCATGAGCCACCACACCTGGCCAAAATAGAATATTCTTTAGTGAGGTCTGCTGGTGACAATTTTTTTCTTTTTTTTGAGACTGAGTCTCGCTGTTGTCAGCTTGGGCTGGAGTGCAATAGCACGATCTCAGCTCACTGCAACCTCCACCTCCCGGATTCCAGCAATTCTCCTGCCTCAGCCTCCCAAGTAGCTGAGAGATTACAGGCACCCACCACCACACGCGGCTAATTTTTGTATTTTTAGTAGAAATGGGGGTTCACCGTGTTGGCCAGGCTGGTCTCGAACTCCTGACCTCAGGTGATCCACCCACCTTGGCCTCCCAAAGTGCTGGGATTACAAGCATGAGCCACCACGCACAGCCAATTTTTTCCGTTTTTGTCTGAAATCTTATTTTGTGTCATCTTTGAAATATATTTTTGATGGATATAAAATTGTTGGTTGATAGTTATTATCATTATTATTATTATTTTGAGACAGGGTCTCACTCTGTTGCCTATGCTGGGGTGTAGTAATGTGATCTCGGTTCACTGCAGACTTGACCTCCTAGGGCTCAGGTGATCTTCCCACCTCAGCCTCCCTAGTAGCTGGGACTACAGATGCATGCCACCATACCCAACTAATTTTTCTATTTTTTGTAGAGATGAGGCTTTGCCACATTTCCCAGGCTGGTCTCTAACTCCTGAGCTCTAGCAATCCACCCACCTTGGCCTTACAAAGTGCTGGGCCATGACTAGCCAGCAGTTACTTTTTATAGCATATTGAATATTTAATATGAATCTTCTGGCATCCACTGTAACTGTTTAAAAAATCAGCTGTTTACTTGGCACTCTTTTTTTTTTTTTTTTTTTTGAGACAGAGTCTTGCCCTGTCGCCCAGGCTGGAGTGCAGTGGCGTGATCTTGGCTCACTGCAAGCTCTGCCTCCCGGGTTCACGCCATTCTCCTGCCTCAGCCTCCGGAGTAGCTGGGACTAAAGGCGCCCGCCACCACGCCCGGCTGATTTTTTTGTATTTTTCGTAGAGTTGGGGTTTCACCGTGTTAGCCAGGATGGTCTCGATCTCCTGACCTCGTGATCTGTCCGCCTCGGCCTCCCAAAGTGCTGGGATTATAGGCGTGAGCCACCGCGCCCAGCCTCTTTTTTTTTTTTTTTTAGACGGAGTCTTACTCTGTCATCTAGGCTGGTGTACAGTGGCGTGATCTCAGCTCAGTGCAACCTCCACCTCCTGCCTCAGCCTGCCAAATAGCTGGGATTACAGGTGCGTACCATCACGCCCGGCTAATTTTTGTATTTTCAGTAGAGATGGGGTTTCACCATGTTAGACAGGCTGGTCTCGAACTCCTGGCCTCAAGTGATCTGCCTGCCCCAGCCTCCCAAAGATTACAGGCATGAGCCACCGCACCCGGCCAAGTAGCACTCCTTTGAAGGTAATCTGCTTCCCCTACCCCTAGCAATTTTTAACAATTTTTCTTCATTTTTATTTCCTGAAGTTTTGTTATTAATAATCTGTGTGCAGATTTCTTTGTATTTCTTTTGTTTGCAGTTCATAGTGATTCTTGAATTAGTGTGTTGGTTTCTGTTATCACCACAGGAAAATTGTCAGCCGTTAGCTTTTCAAATATTTCCTTGCTAAATTCTCTCTTCTCCCCTTTCGGTACAATTGATTTGATTAAAACTAAAACCAGGGCCGGGTGCAGTGACTCATGCCTGTAATCCCAACACTTTGAGAGGCTGAGGCAGGTGGATCACCTAAGCTCAGGAGTTCAAGACCAGCCTGGCCAATATGGTGAAACCCCGTCTCTACTAAAAATACAAAAATTACCAGGCATGGTGGCACACATTTGTAGTCAGGAGGCTGAGGCAGGAGAATTGCTTGAATCCAGGAGGTGGAGGTTGCAGTGAGCTGAGATCCCACCACTGCAGTCTGGCCTGGGCGACAGAGTGAGATGAGAATCTGTCTCGAAAAAAAAAGTTATGAATGTTTGAT
This sequence comes from Homo sapiens, assembly GCF_000001405.40. NCBI lineage: Eukaryota > Metazoa > Chordata > Mammalia > Primates > Hominidae > Homo > Homo sapiens. Next base: position 19,981,866 of record NC_000017.11, on the reverse strand, counting down.
AAACTATATTTGTTAGAATGTTTGTTGTAGAATACTATTCATTGATTTTTAAACAATGTTAGATTAAACCATTCACTGGATTTGTGATAATTAACTTACTGATTTTACCTCACTGATTTGTTGTAATTAATACAACTGGTATAAAAAGACTGTGACGAGGCCGGGCATGGTGGCTCCCGCCTATAATCCCAGCACTTTGGGAGGCTGAGGCAGGCGGATCACCTGAGGTCAGGAGTTCAAGACCAGCCTGACCAACATGGTGAAACCCCATCTTTACTAAAAATACAAAATTAGCCGGTCGTGGTGGTGCATGCCTGTAATCCCAGCTCTTCGGGAGGCTGTGGCAGGAGAATCACTTGAACCCGGGAGGTGGAGGTTGCAGTGAGCCGATATCGCGCCATTGCACTCCAGCCTGGGCAACAAGAGCGAAACTCCGTCTAAAAAAAAAAAAGAAAAAAAACACATAAAACAAAACAACACTGTGACGGTTCCCAAAAATTAGGAGCATAATTAAAGGAACTCCTGATAAAAATTAATTTTATCTTACATGTAAACTAAAATGACTTTATGAAGTTAATTCAGAAATACAATGCAGGGTATTAGTTTGCCACAGCTGCGTATTCAGCCTAATGTAATATTCTTGTTATTTTTAAATTCTTCTTTTAACTTTACTCATATGTGGATCATCAAATTTCAAAAGATTAAATGACAATACTCTTAGCAGCAAGCTTCCCTAAGCATATAAACATTTTAATGGGTGATGATTCAGAAGGTACCCGAAGAATATGTACTGCCAGATATCATTCACCCCCATATACCTGCCCGACAGACATCCCATTTTGGGACCCTGGATAAATGTGTGGGTGGAGAGAAAGATAGGAGAAAGTGGTATAAGCAAATGGCTTTGGAGTCTGATTGACAGCGATTGAAATCCTGTCTCTACCTCTTAACAGCCTCATGATCCTACATAAGTTACCCCGATCCTCAGGGCCACATCTGTAAATTGGGGGTTGCGATGGCAGCCATCTCACAGGGTCTCTTTTCGGGGAAGGGCAGGAATTATGGATTAAGTGAGCTAGTAATTGTAAAGCACTTAATACAAGGAGGGCGCATAATAAGTACTTCATAAATAATGACGGCCATTATCATGACTGAGGTGTATGCAGCTGTCGGGGATTACGGCGACTTCAGAATTTCTGGTGGGCAGGGCTCAAAGGCAGCAAATCACACTGGAAGTCGAGGTGAGGCACTGCTTCTGCACAGACTGCTTAGCTGGAGAGAATGAGGAAGGCTTAGAGGAGATTTAGAGGAACTTAGAGTCCTCCGCCTCCAACTCTGTGGGATCTGCTCCCGTGCCAGAGACATTCAGGGGATTTCTCGCACTCTCCCCTCCCCTACGTCCCTCCCGCCCCATCCAACTAACCACACAACACATACAAAATAGCCCCTGCGAGGTTCTGCACGCTGGAAGGGAACAGGAGAAGGGCGCTGCGCTTTCTTGCTGATGCCCTGTACTTGGGCCCCTGGTAGACACAGCCACTTGTCCCCTCAGCCTGCAGAGAAATCCCACGTAGACCGCGCCCGGGTCCTTGGCTTCAGCCAATCTCCCTTTGGTGGGGGTGGGATGCACGATCCAAGGTTTTATTGGCTACAGACAGCGGGGTGTGGTCCGCCAAGAACACAGATTGGCTCCCGAGGGCATCTCGGATCCCTGGTGGGGCGCCGCTCAGCCTCCCGGTGCAGGCCCGGCCGAGGCCAGGAGGAAGCGGCCAGACCGCGTCCATTCGGCGCCAGCTCACTCCGGACGTCCGGAGCCTCTGCCAGCGCTGCTTCCGTCCAGTGCGCCTGGACGCGCTGTCCTTAACTGGAGAAAGGCTTCACCTTGAAATCCAGGCTTCATCCCTAGTTAGCGTGTGACCTTGAGCAGTTGACTTTATTTTTCAGTGCCTAGTTTTCCAGATACCAGGACTGACTCCAAGGACTATTACTCATCTGGAGGGTTTAGCACAGTACCGTCGCATAGTAAATTTCCATGTCAGTTTTGGTTACCTTTCATGCACTTGCAAACATGCCATGCTCTGAAACGAAATAGGCACATCTTTTTTTTTTTTTTTTTTAAGGAGTCTTCCTCTCGCCCAGGCTGGAGTGCAGTGGCGCGATCTTGGCTCACTGCAACCTCCACCTCCCGTGTTCGAGATTCTCCTGCCTCAGCCTCCTGATTAGCTGGGACTACAGGCATGCCACGACGCCCAGTTAATTTTTGTATTTTTAGTAGAGACGGGGTTTCGCCATCTTGGCCAGGCTGGTCTAACTCCTGACCTCAGGTGATCTGACTGCCTCAGCCTCTCAAAGTGTTGGGATTACAGGCATAAGCCACTGCATCTGGCCAGAAATGAAATAAGTAAATCTTTTAACCTGCTCTAACAATATAGTGAAAAGACCATATTATTATTAGAGCAGGTTAAGGGATTTGCCTATTTCGGGTTCTAGTTATAGTCTTAAACTTGGACATTCTTGTAGAAAGTAAAAAGTTTCCTCTTCAAAGTTCCCCTTCTTGTTAAAGAATACATCATAAGTGTTAGAAGTAATAGTTTATTTTAAAGACTAACTTTCTTCAAGCCTCCTTGCTTTGTGCTAATAACTCTTTGTTAAGCCCTATCCTATGTAACTGTTGGACATGCTCACAGGCACGTTCCAGTTCACAGCCTATGCCCCTTCCTTATTTGGAAATGTTATTGCTTCCTTAAACCTTTCGGTAAGCAACTTCCTCTCCTTCTTCGTTCTTCCTTGCACTTACCTATTTAGAAAGTTTTAGGCTATTAGCAAATCGGCTATCAGTTTAAGAGTGTGAGGTCCCGCTCCAGCCAATGGATGCAGGACATAGCAGTGAGGACGACCCAAATGCGTAAGGGATAAATATGTTTGCTTTTCCTTTGTTCAGGTGTGCTCTCGACATCGTTCCATCTGCGATTGAGCACCCTTTCTGCAGAAAGTAAAGATTGCCTTGCTGGAGATCTTTTGTCTCCGTGCTGACTTTTCTTCGTGGCACCGATTATCTATTTCTAACAATTTTGGTATTTCTAACATTCTGAACAATCTTGGGCTAGTTGTCTCTTCTGGGCCTGTTTCCCCATCCGTCACATGATAAACTTCATTGGTTTAAAAACCCCAGCGAACATTTATTGAGTTACTATTACCTTCCTGCCCTCCCCAACCCCAACCCCAGGGAGCAGTTACAACCTCAGCCGCTGAGCGCACTCGCCGGGTGTTAAGAAGCACCAAAGACAGGGAGGCTTGATTGATTTTGCTTTGGGAGTAGAGGGTCAGAAGATTCACAGGAAAATGGCATTTGAGCAAGGATGATTCACTGGAGCTAGCTTTTAAATACTGGCGAGGCTTTTATGTTGCAGTCCCTTACAAAGTTGAGCATTCGCAGGGACTGCACTCCGAAATAAGCCCGCTTCCCCTTTTCATTCGCTAATGATCCAGGGAGCTGCTGGTTCCGCATGCGGCAGGTTGTGCCTTTTCCTAATCAGGGTTCTGCATCGCCTCGAACCCGCAGGCCGTGGCGGGTTCTCCTGAGGAAGCAGGGACTGGGGTGCAGGGTGAAGCTGCTCGTGCCGGCCAGCGCCTGTGAGCAAAACTCAAACGGAGGAGCAGGAGGGGTCGAGCTGGAGCGTGGCAGGGTTGACCCTGCCTTTTAGAAGGGCACAATTTGAAGGGTACCCAGGGGCCGGAAGCCGGGGACCTAAGGCCCGCCCCGTTCCAGCTGCTGGGAGGGCTCCCGCCCCAGGGAGTTAGTTTTGCAGAGACTGGGTCTGCAGCGCTCCACCGGGGGCCGGCGACAGACGCCACAAAACAGCTGCAGGAACGGTGGCTCGCTCCAGGCACCCAGGGCCCGGGAAAGAGGCGCGGGTAGCACGCGCGGGTCACGTGGGCGATGCGGGCGTGCGCCCCTGCACCCGCGGGAGGGGGATGGGGAAAAGGGGCGGGGCCGGCGCTTGACCTCCCGTGAAGCCTAGCGCGGGGAAGGACCGGAACTCCGGGCGGGCGGCTTGTTGATAATATGGCGGCTGGAGCTGCCTGGGCATCCCGAGGAGGCGGTGGGGCCCACTCCCGGAAGAAGGGTCCCTTTTCGCGCTAGTGCAGCGGCCCCTCTGGACCCGGAAGTCCGGGCCGGTTGCTGAATGAGGGGAGCCGGGCCCTCCCCGCGCCAGTCCCCCCGCACCCTCCGTCCCGACCCGGGCCCCGCCATGTCCTTCTTCCGGCGGAAAGGTAGCTGAGGGGGCGCCGGCGGGGAGTCAGGCCGGGCCTCAGGGGCGGCGGTGGGGCAGGTGGGCCTGCGAGGGCTTTCCCCAAGGCGGCAGCAAGGCCTTCAGCGAGCCTCGACCTCGGCGCAGATGCCCCCTGAGTGCCTTGCTCTGCTCCGGGACTCTTCTGGGAGGGAGAAGGTGGCCTTCTTGCGCGAGGTCAGAGGAGTATTGTCGCGCTGGTTCAGAAGCGATTGCTAAAGCCCATAGAAGTTCCTGCCTGTTTGGTTAAGAACAGTTCTTAGGTGGGGGTTAGTTTTTTTGTGTTTCTTTGAGGACCGTGGATCAAGATCAAGGAAATCTCTTTAGAACCTTATTATGGAAGTCTGAAGTTTCCAAATGTTGAGGGTTTTATGTCTAAAAGCAACACGTGAAAAAATTGTTTTCTTCACCCAGTGCTGTCTTCCAATTTCCTCTTTGGGGGGAGGGGTAGTTACTGCTGTTACTAAAATAAAATTACTTATTGCTAAAGTTCCCCAACAGGAAGACCACTACTTTTGATGACTTTGGCAAGTTTGCTAACTACTGGAACCCTAACTTACAAACGAACTACTTACATTTTTGATTTCCAGTTGTATTACCTGCCCAATGTTTACGTAGAAACAGCTTAATTTTGATTCTGGGTAACGTTGTTGCACTTCATTAAAAATACATATCCGAAGTGAGCAAGTATGGGTCTGTGGACAGCAGTGATTTTTCCTGTCAATTCCTGTTGCTTCAGATAAAATGTACCAGACAGAGGCCGGGCGCGGTGGCTCACGCCTGTAATCCCAGCACTTTGGGAGGCTTGGCGGGTGGATCACCTGAGATCGGGAGTTCAAGACCAGCCTGACCAACATGGAGAAACCCCGTGTCTACTAAAAATACAAAATTAGCCAGGGTGGTGGCGCATGCCTGTAATGCCAGCTACTTGGGAGGCTGAAGCAGGAGAATCGCTTGAACCTGGGAGGCGGAGGTTGCGGTGAGCCGAGATAGCACCATTGCACTCCAGCCTGGGCAAAAAGAGCGAAACTCCGTCTCAAAAAAAAAGTACCAGACAGAAATGGGTTTTGTTTTCTTTTTTTGTTTTGAGACGGAGTTTCGCTCTTGTTGCCCAGGCTCGAGTGCAATGGCGCGATCTCAGTCTCGGCTCACTGCAACCTCTGTCTCCCAGGTTTAATCGATTCTCCTGCCTCAGCCTCCCAAGTAGCTGGGATTACCCATGCCCCACCATGCCCGGCTAATTTTTGTATTTTTAGTAGAAACGGGGCTTCACCATGTTAGGCTGGTCTTGAACCCCTGACCTCAAGTGGGCCTCCCACCTCGGCCTCCCAAAGTGCCAGGATTACAGGCATGAGCCACCGCGGCCAGCCAGAAATGGGTTTTGGAAAAAGCACTAAACAAAATCGAACTTGGTTTCATATGACAGCTCTGCTGCTAACTGTAACAGGGGCAGACCAGTTAACCTACTTTTCTGTCTTCTGTCAGCTGAGAATTAGATGATTCCCAAAGGCCCATTGAACTCTGAATGACTTTAAATACTTCTTCTTAAGTGGGTACACGGTTTTGGTAACTGATGCCAGGTGATGAATGCATGAAAGTGCTTAATGAATGAAACCGGTAAAATAGTAGGAGGAAGCTTTATTGGTAAGGCAGGGGTATACCTAATAGCTCTCTAATTTATTGGTATTGAAGTGGTTAACTTTTGTTTTTTTAAGGGGGGAAAACATTCTAAGAATAATGAGGCAAACTGCATATTGCACAAGAGACTGTTGTCTCTATTCAACAAATACCTTTTGAGTGTCCAGAGTCTGCCAGGTGCTGTGCTAGGCCCTCACGATTGAGTAGTGAACCAGAGAATGTCCCTGCACCCATGGAGCTTATTGTCTACTGGGGTAGACAGATAATAAATAAGCAAACAAATCTTCTCTCTTCTCCCTTTCGCTCCATGTAAGTGTGTGTGTATAGGTGTATACTTACAAGTTGAGTAAAGTGTTATGAAAGATTAAGAGGAGAAATGCATTTTGGTTAGATGTTAGAGGACTCAGCAGGTGACCTTGAAACTTAGAGCTGAAGGATCAGTAGGAGGTAACTAGAGAGGCCAGGGAATCGCATGTTCAAAGGCCAGGAGGCAAGAAAGAGCATGGTGCCCTTCAAGAGAGGAAAGAAGGCTACTGTGACTGGAGCATAGATGTAGGCAAGTGTTGGGTGATTGAGAGCTCTACGGGCCATGGTTAGGTTTTATTCCTAATGCCGAGATGCCAAACATGGTGGTTCATATCTGTAATCCCAGTATTTTAGGAGGCCGAGGCAGGAATATAGCTTGAACCCAGGAGTTCAAGACCAGCCTGAGCAACATGAGACCTGTACAAAACATTTAAAAAATTGCTGGGTATGATGGTGCACACCTGTGGTCCCAGCTACTCAGGAGGCTGAGGCAGAAGGATCACTTGAGCCTAGGAGGTGGAGGCTACAATGAGCCATATTTGAGTCACTACACTCCAGCCTGGATGACAAAGTGAGACCATGTGTCAAACAAAATACAGAAAGAATATTAATTTAAAATTTTGAAAGAGGAGTGATCTGAACTTATATCTTAAAAAGATCATTCTAGGGCATGGTGGCTCATGCCTGTAATCAAGGGCTTTGGGAGGCTGAGACAGGAGGATCACCTGAGGCCAGTTCGAGATCAACCTGTACAGCATAGAGAGACTCCATCTCTACAAAAAGAAAAAATAAATAGCTGGGTGTTGTGAGTTATTCAGGAGGCTGAAGCAGAAAGATCACTTGAGCCCAGGAGTTTGAGGCTGCAGTAAGCTATGATCCCACCACTGCAACACAGTGAGATCTTGTCTCAAAAAAAAAAAAAAATCATTCTAGGTGCTTTTTGGAGGCTGGATGTGGTAAGAGTAGAAGCTGGAGATGGTCCTGTTAGGGATTCGATTCAGACTTTAAATACCATCAATGCATTGAGTCCCAAATTTACATCACTACGTTGGATCCTTGCCCCTGAATCCAGACTGGTATATCCAACTTTAGGTTCAGTTTGTATCTCTACCTGACCAATATAGAGGTGTCCAGTCTTTTGGCTTCCCTAGGCCACATTGGAAGAAGAATTGTCTTGAGCCACACATAGAGTACACTAACGCTAACAATAGCAGATGAGCTAAAAAAAAATCGCAAAACTTATAATGTTTTAAGAAAGTTTACGAATTTGTGTTGGGCACATTCAGAGCCATCCTGGGCCGCGGGATGGACAAGCTTAATCCAGTAGATACCTTCAACTTACAATATCTAAAATTTTATGCCAGATTTAGTCATTTTAAACCTGCTCATCAGTTTTTCTCAAGAAGTAGTATTTTGGCTTTTTTTCTTTTCTTTTTTTTGAGATGGAGTTTCGCTCTTATCGTTCAAGCTGGAGTGCAGTGGCGGATCTTGGCTCACTGCAACCTCCGCCTCCTGGGTTCAAGTGATTCTCCTGCCTCAGCCTCGCAAGTAGCTGGAATTACAGGCATGCGCCACCATGACCAGCTAATTTTTGGAGACAGGGTTTCACCATGTTGGTCAGGCTGGTTTTGTACTCCTGACCTCAGGTGATCTGCCTGCCTCGGCCTCCCAAAGGCTGGGATTACAGGCATGAGCCACCGCTCCCGGCTGCATTTTTGGATTTTTAGTTGCTCAGCCCAAAACTTTAGTACATCTTTGAACCTCTTCTTTCCTCCTACTCTATATCTGATCCATCAGCAAATCTGTTAGGTCTACCTCACACATATCGAAATCCTACCACGTCTCACCATCTGTGACAATTAACACCCTGGTCTAGGCAGTCATCTCTGTTAAGATTGAGTGGTTAAGGATGTCCTCTAAGGAGATGACATTCAAATCTTAGCTTAAATGTCAAGAGGGAGCTGGTTTTATAAAGATTGAGGAGGCAGCATTATTTTGCCATAGGCTTCCATTTGGTTTCCATTCCATTCTTGATACTTATGGTATATATTCAAAACAAATGCACAGAAACAGACCCAGGTATATTGGGAATTTCGGATATAGAGTTCCTAGTTGGGAAAAGATAGACTGATCTGTAAATGATGCTAGTTATCCATCATCTGGCAAAAAATAATTTCCTGCCTCCTCTCATATATCTCAGATCAACAGACTTTTTCTGTTAAGGGCCAAATCATAAATATTTTAGGCTTTCCAGACCATATGGTTTCTGTCACACTCTCCTTTATCCTTGAAGCCATAGACAATATGTAAACAAATGGGCATGGCTGTGCTACGATAAAACTTTACTTACAAAAACTGGTAGTGGGCCAGTTTAGGCATGGCCAGCACTTTGGGAGGCTAAGGCAGATGGATCACTTGGGGTCAGGAGTTTGAGACCAGCCTGGCCAACATGGTGAAACCCTGTCTCTACTAAAAATACAAAAAATAGCTGGGCATGGTGGTGGGTGTCTATAATTCCAGCTACTCTGGAGGCTAAGACACAAGAATCACTTGAACCCAGGAGGCAGAGGTTGCAGTGAGCTGAGATAGCACCACTGCACTCCAGCCAGGGTGACGGAGTCTTAAAGCAAAACAAAACAAAAGGTAGTGGGTTGTATTTGGCCCATGGGCTGTAGTTTGCCAATCCCTGATGCAGAAACAAATTCCAGGTAAATAAGAGCCTGGAATGTTAAAAAAACAAAACTTGAAGTCATGTAGAAGAACAGGTAGGGGGAACAATCCTGATCTCAGGATAGGAAGGGATATTGCTTAAAATAAGACACAGGAAAATATAATCCATGTTGTGTAAATTTGACTACGTTAAAACTTAAAACTTTCGCCAAGCGCGGTGGCTCACGCCTGTAATACCAGTACTTTGGGAGGCCGAGGTGAGCAGATCACCAGGTCAGGAGATTGAGACCATCCTGGCTAACACGGTGAAACCCCGTCTCTACTAAAAATACAAAACATTAGCCGGGCGTGGTGGCGGGCGCCTGTAGTCCCAGCTACTTGGGAGGCTGAGGCAGGAGAATGGCCTGAACCCGGGAGGCGAAGCTTGCAGTGAGCTGAGATCGCGCCACTGCACTCCAGCCTGGGCGACAGAGTGAGATTCCGTCTCAAAAAAACAAAACAAAACAAAGCAAAAAACCTAAAACTTTCATACAATAAAGTATACCTAAGATACTTCTAGAAGAGAAGATTTACATCCAGGACGTGTATGGAATTTCTGCAAGTAATAAGTAAAAGACAAGGGACATGAAGAGGCAGTTCACAAAAGAGGAAGCCAAAATGACCAATAAACATGAAAGGATGTTTAACCTCAAAGGAAACAAGGAAATGAATTAAAAACATCAAATGCCATTTCAAAACTAGTAAGTTGGCAAAATTAAAAATACCAAGGATGAGAATATGAAGCATGGCTATATGAGTGCATGGAATGGTACAGTCACTTTCATTAAAAATGCACATAATTTGTTTTTTATTTATTTTTTTGAGACAGTCTATGTCGCCCAGGCTAGAATGCAGTGGCATGATCTCGGCTCACCACAATCTCTGCCTCCTGGGTTCAAGCAATTCTCCTGCCTCAGCCTCCTGAGTAGCTGGGATTACAGGCACATGCCACAACGCCCGGTTAAGTTTTGTATTTTTAGTAGAGACAGGGTTTTGCCATGTTGGCCAGGCTGGTCTCGAACTCCTGACCTCAGGTGAGCTGCTTCCCAAAGTGCTGGGATTAGAGGCGTGAGCCAATGCTCCTGGCTGAAAAAAATGCACATAATTTGTTACCTAGCAATTCCATGTCTAGAGGCTTATCCTAGAGAAATTCTTGCTTATATGCATAGGAAGACGTGTACTAGAATGTTCACTAGTTGAATGTTTAAGTGAAAATTAGGAAATAAAGTAAATGTTCATTAACAGGAAAATGAGTAAAGGTATATTTATAAAACAATTAAGTAGCTAAAATGAATAAACTAGAGCTGCGTGAATGAACTAGAACTGGTTCAATAGTCATGTCAGATTATTGAATGAATACAGGTCAGATATGTATAGAGTGTCATTTGTGTAATTAATTTTTTTTTTTTTTTTGAGATGGAGTCTCACTCTGTTGCCCAGGCTGGAGTGCAGTGGCGTGATCTCAGCTCACTGCAACCTCCACCTCCTGGGTTAAAGTGATTCTCCTGCCTCAGCCTCCCGAGTAGTTGGGATTACAGGCATGCACCACCATGCCCAGCTCATTTTCCTATTTTTAGTGGCCACAGGGTTTCACCATGTTGGCCAGGCTGGTCTTGAACTCCTGACCTCAAGTGTTCCACCCAACTTGGCCTCCCAAAGTGCTAGGATTACAGGCGTGAGCCACCGTGCTCAGCCATTTGCGTGATTTTTAAAGATGTGCAGAATAATGCCATTAAAAAAAATACACATACATGTATATATATACACGTTTGGCTGGGTGTGGTGGCTCACACCTGTAATCCCAGCACTTTGGGAGGCTGAGGCAGGAGGATCACTTGAGCCCAGGTGTACAAGACTAGCCTGGGCGAGATAGCAAGACCCCATCTCAACAACAGAAAGGATAATTAGGTATGGTGGCATGAGAGGATCACTTGAGCCCAGGAGTTCGAGTGTTATCAGGCCACTGCACTCTAGCCTGGACAACAAAGCAAGACCGTGTCTCAAAAAAATAAAAATAAAAAGTATTTGTATGTGGTCATAGTCAAAAAACGTACATGGAAGGAAAATGTCTTTATTTATTTATTTATTTTTTTTTTTTTAAGACAGAGTCTTGCTCTGTCACCCAGGCTGGGGTACAGTGGTGTAATCTCAGCTCACCGCAATCTCGGCCTCCCGGGTTCAAGCGATTCTTCTGCCTCAGCCTTCTAAGTAGCTGGGACTACAGGTACCCGCCACCACACCCTGCTAATTCTTGTGTTTTCAGTAGAGACAGGGTTTCACCATGTTGGCAAGGCTGGTCTCGAACTCCTGACCTTAAGTGAGCCACCCGCCTTGGCCTCCCAAAGTCCTGGGATTACAGGTGTGAGCCACTGCGCTTGGCCAGGAAATATCTAATTTAGTAAGTATTTATATCTGGGAAAGGAAGGGTCAGGTGGTGATTCATAGGAACTCTAAAGTCTATGTATAATACTTAGGGGGACAGAAGGAAATAAAGCAAAATGCTGATATTTGATTGTTGAGTTGTGTATATGTTAGAAGTATAACATAGGAGATCTGATTGATAGTAGGAGAATGTTTTTAGGTGGTAAAAGTGGAACCGTGGTGGTTTGTTTTGGCAGTAGAATCAGTTGGTCATAGTTTGTATGTGGAAGGTAATAAACAGACCATGTTAAGGATGACTTCCGGAATTTTGGTCTGAGTAGTGGGTGGATGACAGTGTCATTCATGAGGGAAGATGAAGACTGAGGTAGGAACAGGTTTGGGAGAAGATGACATGTTCCCTTTTAGACAAGTGGAATTATGGAAGATGGCAGGTAGGTGGTTAGCTATATGAATTTGAGATAAAAGATTTAGGATGGAGATATAAATTTAGGAGTAACAGCGTATCTATGGTATTGTAAGCCTTAAGAATGGGTAGGATCAGCCAGGAAATACAGATGTATATGCAGAAGAGAGGAGTCAAGGAAGCCAAGACAAGTTAATGTTTAAAGTGAGTGATGTAGTCCATGGGCAGATGCTGCTGAGAGGGCTGCAAACACCAGTGACCCTACAACATTTTTAAATGTCGTCTTCCTGACAGCAGTGATCAGTACCTGCAACGATCTTATTTATTTTTTTCATGTTAGTCTCCACACACTTGAATGTAGACTTTTTGAAGGCAAAATCATTGCCTTTTCTGAGCTGGGAGCATGTCTGGCACATACCAAGCACTCAACAGTTGATGTATTGACTTCATCCAGATACTCTGAGGGCGAGTTATTTCCTGCTACTAGCCTTTCACCTTTCAATGTTTAAGAGCACAAATACAGAGATGGGCACGTTTTGGCATTTCTTATTTTGATAACCTTTTCCTGGTAAGATTTTTTAATGTTGAAAAAAAAAAACAAGAAAAGAGGGTTAAAAATAGTCTTATGTCAGATCCTGTGATAGAATTCACACTTGGCTTAAGCTGCTGGGCACCTTCCTATCTTGGATGTCATATTAGCTTATCTACAGCAGAATTTTTACTGTTTTATGTAGTAAGGAAGCAATTATATGATTATTTTACAGACAAATTATTCTTTATCTTTTATTTTTTTAGACGGAGTCTCTCTTTGTCTCCCAGGCTGGAGTACAGTGTCGCGATCTCGGCTCACTGCAACCTCCGCCTCCTGGGTTCAAGCAATTCTCTGCCTCAGCCTCCCAAGTAGCTGGGCTTACAGGTGTCCGCCACCACACCCAGCTCATTGTTTTGTATTTTTAGTAGAGATGGGGTTTCACCATGTTGGCCAGGCTGGTCTTGAGCTACTGACCTCAGGTGATCCACCCGCCTTGGCATCCCAAAGTGCTGGAATTACAGGCGTGAGCCACCGTGCCTGGCCCAGACAAATTATTATACTCTGAGTGTTAGAGGCTTAGGATGTTTTCACTTGATGCTATGGGAGGAATAAGTAATAAGATATGATACACAACCAAAGACCTTTCTTCACTATGCTTCTAGTAGCTAGTACTATGGATGACACATGGTAATAATATTGGTTAGCATTTGTCCTCAATTTACTGTGCTAGTTACTCTTCTAAGCCCCTTACAGGTATATATTTTTTTTCATCAATAATCCTCTAAGGTAGTTTTTATTATTGACCTAATTTTATAAATCAAGAAAATTAAGACCCAGAGAAGTAAGTAACTTGTCCAAGATCACATGGCTTATAAGTGGTAGAGCCAGAATTTGACCCCAGATGTTGTGACTACATTGTCTCTCCATAAGCAGGTTCAACTCTTTTGACTGGATGCTGTTCCAAGGTCACTTCCTTAGAGAAGCCTTTGCTGACAACTACCCTCCTGTGCCCTCCTCCAAGGCTGTCCATTGTTCTAGAACTTTGAATACTCATCTTAGAATAAAGCTGGTCTAATTTTTACAGTGTTATAGAATGGATCTCTGACTGCAAAAGTTGGTCATAATTATCTTTTTATGTTCTAGTGAAAGGCAAAGAACAAGAGAAGACCTCAGATGTGAAGTCCATTAAAGGTAAGTTCTGCCCTTGGCAGTCCACTGCATTAAAAAGTGATGTGCTTTGCATTTGTGAGTTCTTTAATCCTGTTATACTCTCTCTTTTGGCATTAATCATTTCTGCCTTATTTTATAATTACTTATGATTTTGATTTATTTCCCTCTTTAACCTGTATAATGCTTTAACATCTAGCATATAATAAGTAGGCTTTTTTTTTTTTTTTTTTTTTGGAGACGGAGTCTTGCTCTGTTACCCAGGCTGGAGTGCAGTGGCGCGATCTTGGCTCACTGCAAGCTCTGTCTCCCGGGTTCACACCATTCTCCTGCCTCAGCCTCCCCAGCAGCTGGGACTACAGGTGCACGGCGCCACGCCTGGCTAATTTTTTGTATTTTTTAGTAGAGACAGAGTTTCACCATGTTAGCCAGTATGGTCTCGATCTCCTGACCTTGTGATCCGCCCGCCTCGGCCTCCCAAAGTGCTGGGATTACAAGCGTGAGCCACCGCACCCGGCCGTAAGTAGGCTTTTTTTACCTTAATTTTATTTTTTTGAGATGGAGTCTTGCTCTTATCCCCAGGCTGGAGTGCAGTGGTGCCATCTCGGCTCACTGCAGCATCCACCTCCCGGGTTCAAGCGATTCTCCTGCCTCAGCCTCCCGAGTAGCTGGGATTACAGGTGGCCGCCACCATGCCCAGCTAATTTTTGTATTTTTAGTAGAGACAGGGTTTCACCGTGTTGGCCAGGCCAGTCTCAAACTCCTGACCTCAAGTGATCCACTCGCCTTGGCCTCCCAAAGTCCTGGGATTACAGGCGTGAGCCACCATGCCTGGCCATAAGTAGGCTTTTACTGAGCCTTGTGTGTATTGGCTATCCTAGTGATTACAGTGAACCAGTGCCCTTCTTATTAATCACACATTTAATTGTTCCCTAAAAGTGATTAGTTCACTTTATTTATTTAGTAAGACAAAAAATGAAGAATACTCTTAACTGAGCAGTCTGTTAACTGTAGGAAAGCACTGACACTTATAAGGCTTAGTTTTCTGTCATTTATCCAGAAGTATGGTTGATTACAGTTTTTACTTTTTTATTTGAATGAACAACCTTAATTTAAAATATATTTTGTTTATTTTTTGTTGGGATCGATACATTGTCCTTGTTTATAGATTAGAGCATGCTTTTTAAAGATGCTGTATTACTCACTGATTTTATTTGTCCAGTGTACAGAGATTGAAGTGGGAAAATTATAATGGAAATTGTTTCCATAGTCATTACATATTAATTTCATCAATTTATTTCCATAAAATCTGTAGATTGCTACTTATTTAGATTTTTCCTTCAAATGTTTTTATGTTGTATTGCTTGCACTGAGTATTTATTCTATATGCTCAATTTGCTGGAGAAGAAGACTAATTATAACTTAGGCAAGTTGTAAAATTAGGGAAAAAAGTAAGGTACCTTACAGCCTAGTTTACTTATTTCTTATGTAAAGCCAGTTAGATTCCACATTAGTTCAAACTGCCTTCTTTGAGCAAAACTTGATTGGCAGTGATAAAGGCTTAAAGCCCTTCTCAAGCAGAGACCTGTAAAGACTAGATCTGACTGTAGTAGAAGGAAGGAACTTAGATGTTTCAGGCAGTGAGAACACCAGTCTTCCACTCTAAACTTTGCCACTAACAGTATGACCTTGGGAAGTTGTAACTTTCTTCAGATTCTTCATTTGTTGAATGGGGGGATTGGCCTAGCTAATTTCTAAATCTCTACTGGGCTAAAAAATTCTGTGCTTATACTCTGATTATGAAGTACATAATCTGTGCTTAACATTCACTGACTTATCCTTAGGATAATACAGAAGCAGTACAAGAAACAGCCCCTCAAGATGTTTGCAGTCTGGTTAGAAAGACAAACTTATACACAGAACAGTAGCAAATAGACCAAAATAATAATAGCTGCCATTTATAGAACACTTCTTCTGTTCTGGGCATTAGACAAAAACTGACTATAACGGTGAACAAAAAAGACTTAGGTCCTGCCCTCATTGAACTTACAGATTAGTAGGGGAGAGGAACATTAATCAAGTAATTCCACAGATGGCTTAGCCTAGATTGGTAGTGATGGAAGTAAAGAGATGTGAACGGACTTGAAAAAAAATTCGGAGGCAAAATGGATAGAAGTTTATTATTGATTAAATATGAGGTGTGAGAGAGAGGGATATTTAAGATTGATACCTACCTTCTGGCTTGCCTAACAGAACCAAAACAGGAAATTATATGTTCAGTTTTGTTATGTTGGGTGGGAGGTGCTTTTGAGTCATTCATTTATATATGTTATATATGTTATTTTATATGCATAGTAATTTTAAGGTCTGAGTTTTAAACCAAAGGTTAGAGAGTGATTTTTTAGAGTCTAGCAAACCTAAGTTGAAATCCTGCCTGTTGAAATGGCTGTTTACTAGCTCATTAACCTAGGGCAAAGTATTCAACTTGTTTTCATTTTTGTCTTCATCTCTAAAATGAGGAAAATATGGTCTTACAAGATTGTCCTGAGAGATAGATGAAATAATATCCAAAAAAAAAAAAGGTACATAGAGAAACTCGTATAGTGCCTGGTATATAGTAGGTCCTCCATTGGTAGCTATCATTATCTAGTTTTAACATAGCCTTCAGTTTGTTGAATTAGTCAAACTGAGTGAAGCACTGCAAGGAATTCAGAGGAATTTGAGATCAACAAATGATTTCTGAAGTTTAGGGAAGACTTCATGGCAATGACACTTACCTTGTATAAAAGTTGAAGAATAAGAAAGATTTGAATGAGAGATTCTTTCTCTTCTCCCTACCAGCCCAGCTTCTTATTTGAGGATATATTGGGCAAAGGGGCCTTCAGACAAGTAGAGGGAGATTTTTACAGAAAGATTGAGATGAAGGTATAGAAGGCTGTAAAGACCAGAAAAGAGAATTGAGACAGAGGAAGCAGGAAGCCACTGTAGGTTTTTGAGCAAGATATTGATGCTGTAAGTATGGTGTTTATGAAAGGTTAGTCTGGAAGAGATTTGCAGGATGGAGACCCCGGAAGTTTTTTTGTTATAATACAGAAAGACTTGCACTGAGGGTGAGGTGTTAAAAATAAACAGGTAAGTAAATGTTTAAACATCTTGAAGGAAAAGTCAACAAATCTTGGCAAGTAAACAGATAACAGTGAAAAAGAATGGGACCAAGATTTTGAGTTTTGGAGACTGGTGGATTGAACAGACAGGGAAATTGAGAGGAGAATCAGATGATGATGTTTTAAGTTGATATTTAGACAGATTGTGCTTGAGATGGTAAAGTCAATGTGGGTGGGAATGCTTAGTAGCGAGTAATCAGTGATACAAGACCAAAGCCCAGGTCAAAGACAAGTCACAGATACAGATCAGGGCTTTTTCATCTGCTCCACAGAGGTGTACCCTAGGAGCTGTTGCAAACAGTCCATGTGGAGGGTGTGAGTAAGATGTTTCCCTTGAATTTGCCAGAATTACTTTTTTGTTGTTGTTGTTGTTTTTTCTGAGACAGATTCTCGCTCTGTTGCCCAGGCTGGAGGGCAGTGGCGAGATCGCGCAGCTCACTGCAACCTCTGCCTCTCGGGTTCGAGTGATTCTCCTGCCTCAGCCTCCCAAGTAGCTGGGATTACAGGCTTGTGCCACCAAGCCCAGCTAATTTCTTTTGTATTTTTAGTAGAGATGGGGTTTCACCATGTTGGCCAGACTGGTCTCGAACTCCTGGCCTCGTGATCTGCCTGCCTCAGCCTCCAAAAGTTCTGGGATTACAGGCGTGAACCACTGCACCCGGTCCCTTGTTAAGTTTATTTTGGTGGGAAGCAAAGGAGGTTTCAGCTTTTAAAAAGTTTGAAAATTATTGCTCTGGTAATAATTAAAGATTTGAGAGTAAATATGCTTTCTAGCAGAAAGAATAAAAGAAGAACAGATAGCCTCAAGAAGGGGAGCCAAAGAAGCAGGCTATATCTGACACACTGGGTGTTGATAAATGGGTATTAAAAGAATGAGAGCAATGAGCAGATAGAAGAGGAAATTAGGAGAGTATAATACCATGGAGACCAAGAAAGATAGACTATCAGGAAGGAGTGGTAAAAATAAGTTACTAGTTCTAAGAGAGATGTTAAGAGGGACCGGGGAAAGCCTTGTACAAATGAGTTAGTAGCATTTTACATTATATACATCTAATTAAGAAACAATGCGAGAGTCTCACCATTCCTATAGACTCTTACTTGTACTTGTCTGAACACGAAAACTGGCTTTTGTTTATAAATAAGCTAAAAATTATTTTGCTCCAATTTCTCATGAAAATAAAAATAAACCTTCTTTTAACATTGAAAAAATAGTTTGAAGACAGTCACTCTTCATTTTGTAATTCCCACAACTATTATTGAATGACTGAAATTATCTTTATTCTGAAGCCAAAGGGGTGATACTGATATTTCTTCAGACTACTAAAAATATATTTTATGAATTTTTAGTGTGCTTTATCTTTTTTTGTTTTTTTTTTTGAGATGGAGTTTCACTCCCGTTGCTCAGGCTGGAGGGCAGTGGTGCAATCTCAGCTCACTGCAACCTTCGCCTCCCAGATTCAAGCAATTCTCCTGCCTCGGTCTCCCAAGTAGCTGGGATTACAGGCACCTGCCCCCACACCCAGCTAATTTTTTGTATTTTTAGTAGAGACAGGGTTTCACCATGTTGGTCAGGCTGGTCTTGAACTCCTGACCTCAGGTGATCCACCCACCTTGGCCTCCCAAAGTACTGCGATTGCAGGCATGAGCCACCATGCCTGGCCTGAGGAATATTTTTCTAGGTTCCCCCCACCCCAAGCATTTATTCTGCAATTTTAGTTTTGTTCCTAAAGCAAGCAAGGTTTAAGGATTTAAAAATAATCCGTATTTTAGAATGCTTTCTGGCTTTGTTACTTTTTATCCACAGTAGAAGTTCTCAGAGAATGATCTCCCTCTTTTAATTTAACTTTTTGGCACAGTATTTTGAGAATTATAAATAATATTAGAATGTTTTCTGGCTGGGTGTGGTGGCTCATGCCTGTAATCCTGGCTACTTGGGAGGCTGAGGCAGGAGAATCACTTGAACATGGGAGGCAGAGGTTGCAGTGAGCCGAGGTCATGCCACTGCACTCCAGCCTGGGTGACAGAGCAAGACTCTGTCTGGGAAAAAAAAAAAAAAAAAAAAGAGTGTTTTCTTTCCTATTTTCCACCACTTGATTAAGTTACTTTTCCTCTTAAGTATTTTTTGCTGAGTATGCTGACTTAAGAGTAATGTTACAAAATTTAATTTTTAAAGTTCTCTGAAAGCCCCTTTATGAGAGTTTTAGGCTATCAAATTGTGTTTAATTCTTAACAATTTTTTGAAAAATTATAGCTTCAATATCCGTACATTCCCCACAAAAAAGCACTAAAAATCATGCCTTGCTGGAGGCTGCAGGACCAAGTCATGTTGCAATCAATGCCATTTCTGCCAACATGGACTCCTTTTCAAGTAGCAGGACAGCCACACTTAAGAAGCAGCCAAGCCACATGGAGGCCGCTCATTTTGGTGACCTGGGTAAGTAACTATCATTTTTTATTAACTTGTATTAGAAGGATTTGAGTACAATATGTGAAACTTCTGTCATAGGATACAGAACTATATAATTGGAAAGTGCTTTGGAAAAAATGTATTTAAAATAACAGCTACAAGTATAATGGGTAGCTGTGTTGTGTTCCTGTAAATATAGAATATAAAGCATGCCCAGTAGAAAAACAAGCATTTCCAGAAGAAATATATCTGATCACTAAATATAAATATATGAAAAAGATGTCTCACTTTATTACTGAGGGAAGTGCAAATTAAAATAATCAGTTAATGTTCTCCTAACACATTAGCATATTTTTTAAAGTTTGACAATTTGAATGTCAGTGAAGATGCAGGGAAATACCCCTCCTATTTAGTGATAATATAATCTGGTGAAGACTCTTTGGAAAGCAATTTGGAAATCAGTATAAAATATGCATGTCATTTAGGCCACTCTTTCTAAGACCTAGCCCTCAGATATGCTCATTCATATGTGCAGGTGTGTATGTGTGTGTGTGTGTGTGTGTGTGTGTGTATATGTATGTATGTATGTATGTATGTATGTATGTTGAAGGCTATTCATTATAGTATTGTTTGTGATAGCAAAAAATTATGGACAACATATAAATATCTGTTATAGGGAAATAACCAAATTGTGGTATACGCATGCTCTGGAGTATAATATAGCCATTTGTTTCTATTTATTTATTTTCTTGAGACAGGGTTTTACTCTGTTGCCCAGGCTGGAGTGCAGTGGTATGATCATGGTTCACTGCAGCCTTCACCTCCTGGGCACAAGCCATTCTCTCGCCTCAGCCTCCAGAGTTACTAGGACTGCAGGCATGTGTCACCACACCCAGATAATTTTTTAATTTTTTGTAGAGACAGGGTCTCACTATGTTGCCTAAGCTGGTCTCAAACTCCTGGCCTCAAGCAATTCTCCCACACAGGCCTCCCAAAGTGCTGGGATTACCAACGTGAACCACCACACCTGGTTCAGTGTAGCCATTTAGAAATCTAAAAAAGACGTGGGAAAATGTCTAAGGCATGTTTAAATGTGAGAAAAGCAAGTCACAGTATGCATGGTAAAATCCGTTATATTAAAATAAGTTCTTCCAAAACAAAAACATATGCAGGAGACCTTTATTTTGTCAGTATTTCTTACCCAAATTTCTGCACTTAGAAAATTGCATGTCATGTTGTCATAAGTTGAAAAAAAGATCCATGAACCAATGGACTTCTAATAAAATCAGTCCTGCTTTTGACATCTCTCTCTACTTTTGTGTATATTCAAACCAGAGTGTCAATGTGTTTGTGGGGCACACTTAGCAATAATACATAGCAGACAAAATGCATATAGCTCAGAGAGTAAAATTGTAAGTTTTGCTAGATCACTCATAAATTGCTGATGAGAATTTAAAATGGTGCAGATGCTCTGGAAAACAGGCAGTTTCTTTCTTTCTTTTTTTTTTTCTTTTTGAGACAGGGTCTCACTCTGTTGCGCAGGCTGGAGTACAGTGGCGTGATTACAACTCACTGCAGCCTCACCCTCCTCAGGTTCAGGTGATCCTCCCTCAGTCTCCTGAGTAGCTGGGACTATAGGCATGCACCACCACGCCTGGCTAATTTTTGTATTTTTTTTTTTTTTTTTTGTAGAGACGGGGTTTCGCCATGTTTCCCAGGCTGGTCTCAAACTCCTGGAATCAAGCGATCCACTTGCGTAGGCCTCCCAAAGTGCTGGGATTACGGGCGTGAGCTACTGTGCCTGGCCTAGGCAGTTTGTTTGTTTGTTTGTTTGTTTGTTTATTTATTTGTAGACGGAGTCTCACAGGCTGGAGTGCAGTGGCCCAATTTTTGGCTCACTGCAACCTCCGCCTCCCAGGTTCAAGCTATTCTCCTGCCTCAGCCTCCTGAGTAGCTGGGATGACAGGTGCCTGCCATAATGCCTGGCTGATTTTTGTATATTTAGTAGATATGGGGTTTCACCATGTTGGTCAGGCTGGTTTTGAACTCCTGACCTCAGGTGATCAGCCCGCCTCGGCCTCCCAAAGTGCTGGGATTACAGGCATGAGCCGTCATCCCTGGCTGGTGGTTTCTTATGACGTGAAACATGCAATTACCATATGACCTAGCAGTTGCACTCTGTATTTATCCCAGATAAATGAAAACTTACCTTCCAATAAAAACCTGTGCACAAATGTTCATAGCAGCTTAATATTGAAAAACTGGATGTTCTTCAGCAGGTGAATGAACTGGTTCATTCATACCATGGAATACCATTCAGCAATAAAAAGGAACAAACTGTTGATACATTTAACCACCTGGATGAATATCAAGGGAATTATGCTGTCAGACAAAAACCAGTCCCTAAAGACTACATATAGTATGATTCCGTTTGGATAATATTCTTGAAATAGAGAAATTAAGAGAAATGAAAAGATTAGTGTTTGCCAGATGTTAGAGACAGGGAGGTGAGAGGGGTAAGTGGGTGTAGTTATAAAAGTGCAACATGAGGGATCTTTGTGATGTTGAAGTTGTATCTTGGCAGTGGATGCAGAAATCTCAATGTGATAAAATTACAAAGAACTAAAAACAAGAATGAGTATAGATAAAACTGGGGAAATCTGAACAAGTTAGAGTGTTGTATCACTGTCAGTATCTTAGAGTGATATTGTACTATAGCTTTGCAAGATGTTACCATGGGAGAAACTAAAGTGTACAAGGGATCTCTAGGTATTATTATTTTTTTAGAGATGGGGTTTCACTATGTTCCCCAGGCCGGTCTTGAACTCCTGGGCTCTAGTGATCCGCCTGCCCCAGCCTCCTAAAGTACTGGAATTACAGGCGTGAGCGACCATGCCTGGCCCTTTCAGTATTGTATCTTAGAACTTCATGTGAATCTAGCATTATCTCATAGAATTTAATTAAAAGAAATTGTAAACCTCACAGAAGATCAGAATTTCCTCAAGTTTGTGATGTTGACAAAGATGAACTAGTTGACACTGACAGTAAGACTGAGGATGAAGACACGACGTGCTTCAAAAAAATGATTTGAATATCAATGGATTAAGAAGAACTCTTTTGACAAATTGATGAAACCCTCAGTCAGTTTTATAAGAATGCCCATCTTTATGATCATGCTATGAAAGCCAATTTTTAAAAAAATTTTTTGTCTTTCCTAACAATTAGCTTGTGGTTATAATTTAAATTTAGTTAAATATAAGATAAATGATTTTTTATTAAGTTTAGTTTCATTTTTCAAGGTACGATCTCAAAGCTACTCTTTAACCTACTATGAATGAATAATGCTGAGTTCATAACATCTTTGTAGATATATCCACAATTTTCCCTCAGGATAAGTGCCTACAAGTGGAATTACTGGACTGAAAATAATGCAGTTTGCTAAGACTTTGCTATCTGTTCCTGAATGCTCCTCCAAAAAGGTTTTGCCAGTTTACATCCTCATGACCAGCGAATGAGAGTGTTGCCTATTTTCCTGTGCCCTTGTTACTGCTTAATAATTTTTGAAAAAAATCTAATTTGACAGACAAAAATGCATTTTATGTTAATTTGCTTTTCTGGGATTTTTAATGAGGTTGAGTATAGTTTTTAATATTTTTATTGGCCCCTTTGGAACTAGTATCATAAGTTTTTTTTCTTAAGAATTTATGTAGTCTGGGCTGGGCGCAGTGGCTCACGCCTGCAATCCCAGCACTTTGGGAGGCCGAGGTGGGTGGATTGCCGAAGGTCAGGAGTTTGAGACCATCCTGACCAACATGGTGAAACCGAATCTCTACTAAAAGTACAAAAACTAGCTCAGCGTGGTGGCGGGTGCCTGTAATCCCAGCTACTTAGGAGGCTGAGTCAAGAGAATCGCTTGAACCCGGGAGGTGGAGGTTGGTTGCATTGAGCCGAGATCGCGCCATTGCTCTCCAGCCTAGGCAACAAGAGTGAAAAGTCTCAAAAAAAAAAAAAAAAAAAAAAAAAAGAATTTACATGGTCTGAATTGCCATTAAAAGAGATATGAGAATTATTGAGTAACAAATAACTTTTTAATAATTTAGGCAAGTTTTGGACGATTGTACTTTGTTTAGAAACCAAAAGCATAGTATTTGTAGTTTTTTTATTTACTTTAGTTGCTAGGAAGTAAACTTTATTCAAGGTCTCTGGTACCAGTTGTTGCTAAAAGTGATTGACTAATCTGTCAATCTGAAATTATTTGTTGCTGAACTGCTAATTCTTTTGCTTCTATCTTTTAGGCAGATCTTGTCTGGACTACCAGACTCAAGAGACCAAATCAAGCCTTTCTAAGACCCTTGAACAAGTCTTGCACGACACTATTGTCCTCCCTTACTTCATTCAATTCATGGAACTTCGGCGAATGGAGCATTTGGTGAAATTTTGGTTAGAGGCTGAAAGTTTTCATTCAACAACTTGGTCGCGAATAAGAGCACACAGTCTAAACACAGTGAAGCAGAGCTCACTGGCTGAGCCTGTCTCTCCATCTAAAAAGCATGAAACTACAGCGTCTTTTTTAACTGATTCTCTTGATAAGAGATTGGAGGATTCTGGCTCAGCACAGTTGTTTATGACTCATTCAGAAGGAATTGACCTGAATAATAGAACTAACAGCACTCAGAATCACTTGCTGCTTTCCCAGGAATGTGACAGTGCCCATTCTCTCCGTCTTGAAATGGCCAGAGCAGGAACTCACCAAGTTTCCATGGAAACCCAAGAATCTTCCTCTACACTTACAGTAGCCAGTAGAAATAGTCCCGCTTCTCCACTAAAAGAATTGTCAGGAAAACTAATGAAAAGTGAGTATGTGATTTTCTTGTGTGTACATATGTGTCTCACTTTCTTTTTTTAATTTACTAAGCAGAACTTCAGATGAGGAATAAAATGATTGGAATATTTTTTTTCTCCTCTAACTACTTGTAAATTTGGGAGAATTTGGAGAGTGTAGTAGAGTCAGATCAGTGTATGGAAAAGGAGCAGGAGTGACTGGACCTTCTAAGAAGTGTGTTATCAGAATTAGTAAATGAAGGGTCAAATGTCCTACTTTTCCCCTCCACTGATTTTGACATCAAACCATTATCCACATAGCCTTATTTCCTCCCTCGGTCTTAATTTTATTAATATTTTACTGCACTTTGCAGATAAAATTTTTAAAAAATTTTTAAAAATTGCCAATAAGTGACATTTATTAAGTTCAGTGCTTAGTGTATATTTGGATTTTATTTATTAGTCACAAGACCTTTGTGCAGGTAGTAGGCATGATTATCTTTTTTTTTTTGAGATGGAGTCTTGCTCTGTCGCCCAGGCTGGAGTGCAATGGCGCGGTCTCGGCTCACTGCAACCTCCGGGTTCATGCCATTCTCCTGCCTCAGCCTCCCAAATAGCTGGGACTACAGGCGCCTGCCACCACACCCGGCTAATTTTTTTGTATTTTTAGTAGAGACGGGGTTTCACCATGTTCGCCAGGATGGTCTCGATCTCCTGACTTTGTGATCCGCCTGCCTCGGCCTCCCAAAGTGCTGGGATTACAGGCATGAGCCACCGCGCCCGGACTGATTATCTTATTTACACATGAGAAAACCAGGGCTTAGAAAGGTTAGGTAACTTCCTCTAGGTTGTACAGTAAATGTGGACCTAGAAGCATTTTGACAAGAGCACCTGTTTTTTTTTCTTCTCTATTAGTTTAGAAATTATATACTCTTAATTATCACCTGGGATTTTGATTAGACAGCCTTCATGTTCTTTTTCATCTTAAATGTTCTTTGTGTCTTAAAGGGCTAAGTGATTTCTTCAGATCTTTTAGTTCACTCATTCTCAGTGAACTAAAATGAGGTCTAATCTGCTACTGAATCAAGTTTTCAGCATGTTATTTCCTTCCTCCCTCCCTCCCTCCTTCCTTCCCTCAACCAGGCTCCCGAGGAGCTGGGATTACAGGCGCCCGCCACCACTCCTGGCTAATTTTTATATTTTAGTAGAGACGGGGTTTCACCATGTTGGTCAGGCTGATCTTGAACTCCTGACCTCAAGTGACCCACCTGCCTCGGCCTCCCAAAGTGCTGGGATTACAGGCATGAATCACCACACCTGACGGCATGTTATTTTCATCGCAAAGTTACTGTAAGCTGGGAGAAGTGGCACACACTTGTACTCCCAGCTACTCAGGAAGCTTAAGGTGAGAAGATTGCTTGAGCCCAGGAGTTTTGAGACCAACCTGGGCAACACAGCAAGACCCCAGCTCAAACAAAGAAAAAAAGTTATTGAATTTTTTATTTCTATGGATCATTTTTTGTAGTTTCTTATTCCTTTCACCCTTCATTCCCACTTTTGATCCCATCTTTTATTTATTTAGTTTTATTAAATGTATATTTGTCTGATAATTCTGCTATCTACAGTTTTTTGTGGACCTGACTCAGCATTTCTTTGTTTCTTCGGATTCAGACTGTTGGTGGCTTGTGATTTTAGTGATTTTTGGCCGTGAACATGTTTCTTGGACTTTTGTCTGTGGGAATTCTCTGTGTACTCTGTATAAATTAAGTTACTTCAGGTGTTTTGCATTTTCTTTTGCCATGCACCTGGGGCCTGGGTCACTACCCTTCTGGTACCACTTAAAACTGAATTTTTGTCTTGGGTGCTCGTACTGATCCTGTATGAGTACAGGTTTATACTTACTGTAGAAATATGGTGTTTGATTATGGGGTATTGTCCCAGATGGTGCTGGAGTATTAATATGCTCTCTGTTAAACTTAATGTGTTGTCCCTGTAAAACTCCAAAATTCTGAATTCCAGAATACTACTGGCCCCAAATGTTTAAGATAAGGGCACTGCCTGTATTTGTTTCTGCCTCCCACTATTTTCCTTAGTTTAACACAAACTCACCTTTTTAAAAAACATTTTGAGAGAATTCAGTATTGGGAAGAGTTTCTAACCTGTTTCTGGAAATGGAAGTCCAAAGTCTGTTTCTGTAATTGTTTTTTTTTTGAGATGGAGTCTCACTCTGTCACCCAGGCTGGAGTGCAATGACGTACTCTCAGCTCACTGCAACCTCCACCTCCCGGGTTCAAGCGATTCTCTTGCCTCAGCCCCCTGAGTAGCTGGGATTACAGGTGCCCACCACCATGCCTGGCTGATTTTTGTATTTTTAGAAGAGATGGGGTTTCGCCATGTTGGCCAGGCTGGTCTTGAACTCCTGACTTTGTGATCTGCCCACCTCAGCCTCCCAAAGTGCTAGGATTATGTTTCTGTAATTGTAATACATTTATTGTTTTTAGAAACTGTCTTTGCTTTAGTGGTAATTTTCAATAAAAATAGAAATAGCAGTGGAGTTATTAAAAGAGCATTAGTTACATTTTTCCCTTTTTCATTATCTTCAAATATTATATATAGTAAGTTTGACCTTTTTAAAATGTATACTTGTATCAGTTTTAACACATACATAGATTCCTGTAACTGTCACCACTATAAGGGTAAAGAACAGTTAGTTCCTTCACCTTTGAAGTCAAGCCCCACCTCTATCCCAACACTTGGCAACCGCTGATCTTTCTCCGTCTCAATAGCTTTGCCTTTTCTCTTTTTTTTTCTTATTTTTTTTTTTGAGACAGCGTCTTGCTCTGTCGCCCGAGCTGGAGTGCAGTGAGGCAATCTCGGCTCACTGCAACCTCCGCCTCCTGGGTTCAAGCAGTTCTCCTGCCTTAGCCTCCCTAGTAGCTGGGATTATAGGCACGCACCACCACACCCGGCTGATTTTTTTGTATTTTTAGTAGAAATGGGGTTTCACCATGTTGGCCAGGCTGGTCTCAAACTCTTGACCTCAAGTGATCCACCTGCCTCGGCCTCCCAAAGTGCTGGGATTACAGGCGTGAGCCACTGTGCCCAATCAGGACTTTTTTTTTTTAAATTTACATTCAACTTGTCATTTTTTTCTTGTATGGATTGTGCCTTCAGAGTCACACCTAAGAGCCCTTTGCCTAAGCAAAGGTCATGAAGATTTTCTCATATGTTTCCTTTTAAAAGTATTGTGGTTGGCCAGGTGCCATGGCTTATGCCTGTAATCTCAGCACTTTGAGAAGCTGAGGTGGGCAGATTACGAGGTCAGGAGATCGAGACCATCCTGGCTAATGCGGTGAAACCCCATCTCTACTAAAAATACAAAAAAAAAAAAAAATTAGCCGGGCGTGGTGGCGGGCACCTGTAGTCCCAGCTACTTGAGAGGTTGAGGCAGGAGAATAGTGTGAACCCGGGAGGTGGAGCTTGCAGTGAGCCGAGATCGCGCCACTGCACTCCAGCCTGGGCAACACAGTGAGACTCCATCTCAAAAAAAAAAAAAAAGTATTATGGTTTTACACTTTACGTTTAGATATATATCTTTTTTGAGTTAATGTCGTATAAGTATGAGGGTTACGTCAGATTTTTTGTTTTTTGTTTATTTTTACATATGGATGTCTAGTTGTTCTAATACCATTTGTTGAAAAGACAACCTTTACTCCATTGAATTGCCTTTGTACTTTTGCCATATTTGTCTAGGCCTGTTTTTGGACTCCTTTTTCTGTTTCATGATGTGTGTGTCTATTCCTTTGTTAATACCACATGGTCTTAATTACTGTATAGTAAGTCTTAAAATTGGGTAATGCTGGCCTTATAAAACGAATTGGGAAGTTTTTATTTTTACTCTTATTTCCATTTTCTAGAAGAGATTGTGTAGAATTGGTGTCATTTCTTCTTTAGATATTTGGTTGAATTGGGAAGTGATGCCATCTGGGCCTAGGGTTTTGTTTTTTGTGTGTGAGACAGAGTCTCACTTCTGTCACCCAGGTTGGAGTGCAGTGGTGAGATCTTGGCTTACTGCAACCTCTGCCTCCCAGGTTCAAGTTATCCTCCTGCCTCAGCCTCCCAAATAGCTGGGATTACAAGCGTGTGCCACCATGCCCGACTAATTTTTGTATTTTTAATGCAGACAGGGTTTCACCATGTTAGCCAAGCTGGTCTCGAACTTGTGACCTCAAGTGATTAGCCCACCTTGGCCTCCCAAAGTGTTAGGATTATAGATGTGAGCCACCGTGCCTGGCAGGGGCCTAGGGTTTTCTTTTTCAGAGTATTTTAAACTATGAATTCAGATTATTTAATAGATATAGGACTATTTAAGTTATCTGTTTCTTCTTGAGTGAATTTTTACTGTAGTTTATGGCCTTTGAGTAATTAATTGTATTGAATTGTCAAATTTATGAGCGTGTAATTATTTATAGCATTTCGGGTTTGTAGTGGTATCCCTCTTTTATTCCTGGTGTTGGCAATTGTGTCTTGTTTTTCTTTGTCAGATTGTATAGGGATTTATTAGTCTTTTCAAAGAACTAGCTTTTGTTTTGATTTTTCTGTTGTTTTGTTTTCAATTTTATTGATTTTCTGCTCTTTATTATTTCTTTTCTATTATTTCTGCTTGCTTTGGGTTTATTTTACTCTTTTTTTTTTCTCCAAGTTGCTTAAAGTAGAAACTTAGATTTCTGGTTTGAGACCTTTCTTTTCTAAGATAAGCATTTAATACTGTAAATTTCCTTCTAACCACTGCTTTAGTTACACCCCCACAAATTCTGGTATTTTGAACTGAGCACAAATGAAATGTTCTAATTTCCCTTGAATCTTATTCTTTTACCAATGAATTATTTAGAAATATGTTATTTAGTTTGCAAGCAATTGGAGACTTTTTTCCTGTTATTTTTCTACCATTTATTTCTCATTTCATTATATTATGGTCAGAGAATATATTTTGAATGATTTCATTTATTAATTTTTAAAAATAACATTAAAAAATTTTTTAAAATGTGAATATACCACATACAGTATAAAGATTGTACATTCTGTTTTTGGACAGTTTTCTATAAATGTCAAGTTGATTTAGTTGGTTAATGATGGTGTTCAGTTTTTCTTTATTCTTGCTGATACTTTGTATGCAGTTATATCACTTTATTACTCAGAAGAGTGTTGAACTTTCCAACTACAATTTTTTTTTCCAATTTTACTTTCAGCTCTATCTGGTTTTGCTTCATGTATTTTGAGGCTCTGTTGTTAGGTGTGTACACATTCAGGATGATATCTTCTGGGTGAATTGCCTGTTTTATCATTATGTAATTCCCTCTTTATGGTAATTTTCCTTGTTCTAAGATCAGAAATATCTGTTGTCCAATTTATATAGACACTGCAGCTTTCATTTGATTAGTGCTTGCATGGCATATCTTTTTCCATTTTTTTACTTTTGATCTACCTTTATAATTCTATTTAAAGGGGGCTTCTTGTAGGCAGCATATAGTTGGGTAGTGTTATTTATTTATTTATTTATTTATTTATTTATTTATTTATTGAGACAGAGTTTTGCTCTTGTTGCCCAAGCTGGAGTGCAGTGGTGCAATCCTGGCTTACCACAACCTCCACCTCCTGGGTTGCAGTGATTCTCCTGCCTCAGCCTCCCAAGTAGCTGGGATTACAGGCACGCGCACCATGCCTGGCTGATTTTTTGTATTTTTAGTAGAAACGGATTTTCACCATGTTAGCCAGGCTCGTCTTGAACTCCTGACCTCAGGTGATCCACCTGCTTTGGCCTCCCAAAGTGCTGGGATTACAGGCGTGAGCCACTGCACCCGGCTGAGTCATGTTATTTTTAATCTTTTCTCACAATACAGGGTTTTTGTTGGTAAATTTAATTATTTTAATATAAATTTTAGTATAATTATTTACATTAAATGTAACTGTTGCACTGGGGTATTTATAATGTGTAAATATAATTATTGGTATTAATATAATTATATTACTCATAATAATATTAATATCTTTGGATTTAGATTACCAGTTTAGTATATGTTTTTCTGTTTCTCCCTCTTTGATTTCCCCTTTTTTGCTTTTTTTTTTTTTTTAATTCTTATTTTTTTTTAGTATTTGTTGATCATTCTTGGGTGTTTCTTGGAGAGGGGGATTTGGCAGGGTCATAGGACAATAGTTGAGGGAAGGTCAGCAGATAAACATGTGAACAAGGTCTCTGGTTTTCCTAGACAGAGGACCCTGCGGCCTTCTGCAGTGTTTGTGTCCCTGGGTACTTGAGATTAGGGAGTGGTGATGACTCTTAACGAGCATGCTGCCTTCAAGCATCTGTTTAACAAAGCACATCTTGCACCACCCTTAATCCATTTAACCCTGAGTGGTAATAGCACATGTTTCAGAGAGCAGGGGGTTGGGGGTAAGGTTATAGATTAACAGCATCCCAAGGCAGAAGAATTTTTCTTAGTACAGAACAAAATGGAGTCTCCCATGTCTACTTCTTTCTACACAGACACAGTAACAATCTGATCTCTCTTTCTTTTCCCCACATTTCCCCCTTTTCTATTCGACAAAACTGCCATCGTCATCATGGCCCGTTCTCAATGAGCTGTTGGGTACACCTCCCAGACGGGGTGGCAGCTGGGCAGAGGGGCTCCTCACTTCCCAGATGGGGCAGCCGGGCAGAGGCGCCCCCCACCTCCCAGACGGGGCAGTGGCCGGGCGGAGGCGCCCCCCACCTCCCTCCCGGATGGGGCGGCTGGCCGGGCGGGGGCTGACCCCCCACCTCCCTCCCGGACGGGGCGGCTGGCCGGGCGGGGGCTGACCCCCCACCTCCCTCCCAGATGGGGCGGCTGGCCGGGCGGGGGCTGCCCCCCACCTCCCTCCCGGACGGGGCGGCTGCCGGGCTGAGGGGCTCCTCACTTCGCAGACCGGGCGGCTGCCGGGCGGAGGGGCTCCTCACTTCTCAGACGGGGCGGCCGGGCAGAGACGCTCCTCACCTCCCAGATGGGGTGGCGGTCGGGCAGAGACACTCCTCAGTTCCCAGACGGGGTCGCGGCCGGGCAGAGGCGCTCCTCCCATCCCAGACGGGGCGGCGGGGCAGAGGTGGTCCCCACATCTCAGACGATGGGCTGCCGGGCAGAGACACTCCTCACTTCCTAGACGGGATGGCAGCCGGGAAGAGGTGCTCCTCACTTCCCAGACGGGGCGGCCGGTCAGAGGGGCTCCTCACATCCCAGACGATGGGCGGCTAGGCAGAGACGCTCCTCACTTCCCGGACGGGGTGGCGGCCGGGCAGAGGCTGCAATCTCGGCACTTTGGGAGGCCAAGGCAGGCGGCTGGGAAGTGGAGGTTGTAGGGAGCTGAGATCACGCCACTGCACTCCAGCCTGGGCAACATTGAGCATTGAGTGAGCGAGACTCCGTCTGCAATCCTGGCACCTCGGGAGGCCGAGGCAGGCAGATCACTCGCGGTCAGGAGCTGGAGACCAGCCCGGCCAACACAGCGAAACCCCGTCTCCACCAAAAAATGCAAAAACCAGTCAGGTGTGGCGGCGTGCGCCTGCAATCCCAGGCACTCTGCAGGCTGAGGCAGGAGAATCAGGCAGGGAGGTTGCAGTGAGCCGAGATGGCGGCAGTACAGTCCAGCCTCGGCTTTCACAACTTTGGTGGCATCAGAGGGAGACCGGGGAGAGGGAGAGGGAGACGAGGGAGAGCCCCTTTTTTGCTTTCTTTTGGATTATTTGAATTTTTCCTTAAATTTATTTATCTTACTTATTTATTTATTTTTTTGAGTGATTCTCCTGCCACAGCTCCCAAGTAGCTGGGACTGCAGGCATGTGCCACTACACCCAGCTAATTTTTTTGTATTTTTAGTAGAGACAGGGTTTCACCATATTGGCCAGGCTGGTCTTGAACTCTTGACCTCAAGTGATCCACCTGCCTCGGCCTCCCAAAGTGCTGGGATTACAGGCGTGAGCCACCATGCCCTGCCTTTTTCTAGAATTTATATATTGAGTTCTTGATTGTATCTTTTTATGTAGGCTTTTTAGTGGCTTCTCTAGGAATTACAATATACATACTTTTCACAGTGTACTCACATTTAATATTTTGTAACTTCAAGTGGAATGTAGAAAACTTAACCACCATAAAAATAGAACTAGGGATGAGGTTAAAAAAGAGAGAGAAAAGAAATGTAATAAAGATTTAATAACACCGTTTTTTTTTTTTTTTCTCTTTTTTTTTTGAGACAGAGTCTCTCTTTCTGTTACCAGGCTGGAGTGCAGTGGCGTGATCTTGGCTCACTGCAACCTCCGCCTCCTGGGTTCAAGTGTTTCTCCTGCCTCAGCCTACTGAGTAGCTGGGATTACAGGTGCGCGCCACCATGCCCAGCTAATTTTTGTATTTTTAGTAGAGACGGTTTCACTGTGTTGGCCAGGATGGTCTCGATTTCTTGACCTTGTGATTCGCTCTCCTCAGCCTCCCAAAGTGCTGGGATTACAGGCGTGAGCCACCGCGCCCGGCTAAGTCTTTAAATATTTTTTTGACATTGCACTTTTTCTCTTTTCCTTCTAGGATTTTAGTAACCCAAATGTTAGTTTTGTTATTGTTTGGCAGGTTCCTGAGGCTTTCCTTACTTCTTTAAATTTTTTTTTCCTGTTGTTCAGCTTCGAAAATTTCTATTCATCTGTCTTCAAATTCACTGGTTCTTTCCCGTTATTTCCATTCTGTTATTGAGTCTTTGTAGTGAATTTTAAATTTTGTTTATTATGTTTTTTAGTTCTAAAATTTTCTTTTTTTGTGTATGTCTTATACTTTGCTCCTGAAACTCTTATTTGTTTCAGGAGTGATCTTATTTCTTAGAGCATGGTTTTAGTAGCTACTTAAAATTTGTTTTATCATCCCAGCATATGTGTCCTCTTGATTGTCTTTTCTCTTGTGAGATAATGGGATTTTCTGGTTCTTTATATGACAATTAATTTTGGATTGTATCTTGGACAGTTTGACTTACGTTACATGATTCTGAATCTTGTTTAAATCCTGTGGAAAATATTGAAGTTTTTGCTTTAACAAGCAGTTGACCTAGTTAGGTTCAGTCCACAAATTCTAAGCAGCATTCTGTCGGCTCTGGTTCCATCATCAGTTCAGTTTTGTATCTTATCTGCTTATGTGCCTTTCTGTGTCCAGTCTGGGACCTGGCCAATGGTCAGGTCCCAAAGCCTTTGTACACTTTTAGAAGCAGGGCCATGCACACCCAGCTCACGAGTGGCCCCGGGAGTGCACATACAACTCGACGTTTTCATGGGCTCCTTCTTTTCTGTGATGTCCCTGACACGTTCTGCCTTCTAAGAACCTCCCTTTATCCCTTTCCTGTTGTCTGGCTAGAAAGTCAGGGCTTTAGATTCCCTATACTTCAGCACACTTCCTGTAGCTATGTCAACCTCTGTGGCCACGACTTCTTCTTCTTGGGACTGCAGTTTCTCTTGTCAGAAAGTAGGATTCTTGGAGCTGCTGTCATTGCTGCTGTGGCTGCTCTGATGCTGCCTGGGAGTCGAAGGAGAGAAAGGAACAAAACAAAACAACCCAGGGGATTTCCTCCACTCTCTTTGATCCGTGAGAGCCCCCTTTCCTGTTCCTCAGACCAGAAATAGAGGGCCTGTCTTGGAACTTCTTCTTTGTGCATCTGGTGTGCAGTTTCAGCTTTTGAGTCCAGGCCAGGAGGTGCTGGACAAACTTGTCAGGAGTACGGAGGTACTGCAAGTTCTGATTACTTTTCTCAGTCCACCTGCTTCCAAGTCCTTGGATGCATTTGTCCATTGTTTTGAGTTGCATTCCATGGGAGAGACAGAAGAGTGTGCTTATTTCATCTTGACATACTTATTAGGATTTCATATCAAATCAACGGATGATATTCTCTATATTAATTTGCTGTTTTCCCTTTAGCAAGCACATTAGGAAAATAACACTTTAACACCCGCCTTTGGTGGTTTCTGTCATAATTATTAATACTTGACTTTTTTTTTTTTTTTGAGACGGAGTCTCACTCTGTCCTTTGAGGCATTGTCCCCATAAACTTTTGGTAAAGCATCAATAATTTTATCTTTCATCCACACAAGCTTCACCATAAATTTGATGTTTATTCTTCCATTTTAGCAGAATTCATGTTGCTCCAATAGGGGCTGTCTTCAAACTGATGTTTTCTCCTTCTTAGTGCCTCAGAGTAGATCCTGTTCAGATACGTTATAACAGGTTAATATGAGTTTATTTTGGTGTAAAAGTACTTTGAAATTCATGCATAGTTTTTTCATCATATGCATTTTCCATAGCTTTGAACACCCCCATGTAACTCTCCTCTTCCACAAACCAAACAATGAAAAAGCACCTTTGTGATGGAAGTTTATTTTGCAATAGGAACTCACAGTGATCTAAGCCCTGCTATTCATGAATATAATTCATTACTGGAGTCCAAGTTGCTTTTTGGTTTTTGAAGTTCTCTTCTTCCCTTGCAGGTATAGAACAAGATGCAGTGAATACTTTTACCAAATATATATCTCCAGATGCTGCTAAACCAATACCAATTACAGAAGCAATGAGAAATGACATCATAGGTAAGCAGTGCTTGAAACTATGGCAAAAAAAAAATGACAAAAAATGCACAGAACTGACAATTTTCGTTATTGACTAAGATAATTTTTTCTTAACATGGAATTTAGCAGTTCCCTTCCTAATTTGTTTTCTGAGTATTTTTTATATCGGATTATAGCTCACTTTAAAAGTTTCTCGGCTGCATTCGGTGCGAGGGTCTTTGCCTGGGCCAGATGGGCTGCAGTGTAGCGGGTGCTCAGGCCTGCCCGCTGCTGAGCAGCCGGGCCGGCGGGCGGCTACGCTAACCGGCACAGACCACCGGATGGACTGGCCGGCAGCCCCGCACCAGTGCACGAAGTGGGCGGGACAGAAACTTCTGGGGTTGGAAGTCCAGTGAGGCTAAAAGCCGGTACCAAAGTCTCTAGGCATCAGGGCTGCAGCCCAAGAGTCTCACGACCAGTGGGCAACTGGATGGCCAGACAGGTGTCTCAGTGGTGGCCTCTCCGTCTCAGGGCTTCATCCCACTTCTCAGTGGGCCTGACGTCCCTGGGCACCCTGGATGTCTACCTGCATTAGCCAGAGCCATCACATGGCCTGTGACTTGCCTTTTTTTGCCAGTTGATTGTGCCACACACAGTGTCATTTCTGTGTCATTTGGCACAGCTGGAGGTGCAAGGAGGAGGGCAGCCTCATGTCCAGTCCCAGTTTCACGTAACTTTATTCTTCTGAATAAAGACAATTTGCTAACCTTAAAAAAAAAAAAAAAAAAAAAGTTTTTCTTATATGTTGGACCCAAATTCTTAGGCTTTAACCTGAATAACAATGACAGCAAGATCAATAAATAGTACACATTTATTAAACACTCACTGTGTCCCAGACAATATTCCAAGCACTTTTTATGGATAGACTCATTTTAACTTCTAAAGAACTTTGTGGGATAAATACAGTTATTTTATAGATGAAGAAACTGAAGCACAGAGAAGTTAAGTGCTTTGTCCAGGGTAACAGCTCAGATATGGCAGAGTCAGGATTTGAAACTAGACCCTCACATACCTTAACTGCTGTGCTGTGGCAGTGTTTTTCATACTGTAGGTTGGGACCAGCCTTCTCTTATGCCCTCACCCCCTGCCAAAAAAAAAAAAAAAAAAAAAAAATATATATATATATATATATATATATATATATATATATAATATATATATATATAAAATATATATATATATAAAATATATGTATTAGTATATATGCATATATAGTATATATTATATATTAGTATATATACTAATATATAATATACATATTAGTGTGTGTATATATATATATACTAGAATAAAAAAATCAAAGTATCTCAGAGTAGTAAGGACAAACATTTCAGAAAAATGTTTTCATTATATATACATGTATGTATGTGTATGCTGATTCAACAAATATATTTCTTATAGGTTATAGCAAAATAGTTTGAAAGCTTTTACTGTGTTTTATCAGGAAGACCTTAGGTGAACGTATATTCACAGATAAAAGAGGTTATTTATTCATTCAATAAATATTACATTCTCATAAGTCCTAATATTATGTATTTTTATTCTTCAAAAAAGTTAGTATTTGTGATTTATGAAATAAGACATGTTCTTGCACTTTTAGCAGATCTGTCCCGATGTTGGGCTTCTTTAATCCTTAGTGTGGGTGCTTT
This sequence comes from Homo sapiens, assembly GCF_000001405.40. Classification (NCBI taxonomy): domain Eukaryota; kingdom Metazoa; phylum Chordata; class Mammalia; order Primates; family Hominidae; genus Homo; species Homo sapiens. The sequence continues at coordinate 19,945,739 of NC_000017.11, read as the reverse complement.
GCACTCACTCACTGCTGGGGACAGCAAGACCCCTGTTAGTCTCAGCTGTGTTTCTTAAATTGGCCCACTGTACCTTCCAGTTAGCTATTCTGGGGTCCATGTCATGTTGGCTCCATTTTCCTTTTCTTTCTCCCACACAGATACCTATAACGGCTATAACATAGGCCTGGTGGCTGTTGGTGGCTTATCCCTATCTGCTTGTATTTAAGGGGTACTGTTTCACTGAGTTTTGCTGACAGATGTTGTCATGAGATTTGAGGTTTTCTGTGTTGTTGCTCTATTTTTATGTGGGAATTTGCTACTATCATCATCCCTAGACCAGCTTTTCCTAGTAATACAACAGGGATGTTCTGACTGATTAGAGTTTGCCTGTTTGAAGAATTGGTTGGCTAGTGATTTTTTTTTGAGGGGAGTCTGTACCAGTTAATAGCCTGACTGGCGTGTGGATAAAAAGGAAGCAGTTTCAAGTCAAATAAAACACTTAAAATGAAACCACACTGCAACTCTCTTTCTTTTACTTAAGCTTAATCAAATTAATGATGATGTAATCCCATGAAGGAAAAGTCTTCTGAAGGATCAAGTTGATAACATTTTGTGATCAAAGAATTTGAGAAAACCTCTATCCCAGTGTCTATCATTATATATTTTAGGATGTTAATTACCTGTGTGGCTTTAGGCAAGTCATTTTTCCTCCTTGAGCCCCATTCTTAATCCTGTCCAAATTATTTGTCTCCTCTTGCAGTTGGACTATTTTAATATAGCTGTCCTTCAAGTGAGTTTTGTTCAAAGGAGCCTTCACTTTAGCTCTTACTGTGTACCCACTTTGCATAGTCTTGTTTTAAATGTAATCCTTGGATTTTTGGTGTTGCTAACTAATTACTGTTTTTATGTGAGGATTTAGAGTGATCCAGAATCTATACTTGCACTACCTCCTTCATCTTCCACAAATGTTTGAAGTGGTAGAATTTTTAAAAACTTTGAAGGTACAGCTGACAGAATTTGCTGATGGTTTGGAAGTGAGTGGTATGAGAGGGAAAAAAAGGAATAAAGCATGACTGCATTTTTTGTTTGTTTGTTTGTTTGTTTTTGAGACGGAGTCTCACTCTCGCCAGGCTGGAGTGCAGTGGCGTGATCTTGGCTCACGGCAACCTCCGCCTCCTGGGTTCAAGCGATTCCCCTGCCTCAGCCTCCCAAGTAGCTGGGACTACAGGCGCTCGCCACCACGCCTGGCTAATTTTTTTTTTTGTATTTTAGTAGAAACGGGGTTTCACCGTGTTGGCCAGGATGGTCTCCATCTCCTGACCTCATGATCTACTCACCTTGGCCTCCCAAAGTGCTGAGGTTACAGGCATATATATAAGCATATAAAGTGTGTTATAGCATACAAACAGGTATATATATAAACATGCAGTCCACACAGCTGATAGGAATGAGGCAGTAGTGAAGGAGAAGTTGATGTAGGAGAGGGGACAGTTGTTACAGGAAAGAAGTCTGGAGGCAGAAGGGATGAATTCCAGTGCTCACATAGAAGATTGCTTAGATGGGAGCAAGGACAATTTATCTAGAGTCACAGGAAAGAATGCAGTACACGGGTAGAGATGCAGGTGAGTTGAAAGATGTGAGAGATGATGGAAATAATTTTCTGATTGCTTCTATATTCTCAAGGAAGCAGGAAGCAAAGTCCTCAGCAAAGAGAATAGAAGAGGTGTTAAATATTTGAGAAAGGAGATGTACTGTAGAAAAAAAAAAAACTCAGTTTCTCCTTCTGAACTCTCACAAAACAGAACCCTTCCATGACTCTAGTTGTGTGGGGTTTTTTCCCTGTCAGCTACCAATTCTGCAGATGATTGTTCAGTGAACACCAACTGGGTGTCCTCTAAGTCAGTTCAGTTCTCACACTGTTTACCTGGAGATAGCATCAGATCCCACAGATTGAGGACTCTGTCCCACAAGACTGCCTCCACTTCAGATGCCAGTCTCAAGTACAAGTTGTGGCCTGTGCTTCTGACTGACCTTCTATAAATTGGAGTTCCCACAGTCCCCTCCTTGGGTTCAATAAATTTGCTAGAGCAGCTCTCAGAACTCAGGGAAATGCTTTACATATATTTACCCATTTATTATAAAGGATATTACAAAGGATACAGATTGAACAGGCAGATGGAAGAGATGCATGGGCAAGGTATGGGAGAGGGGCACAGAGCTTCCATGCACTCTCCAGGTCATGCCACCCTCCAAGAACCTCTACAGATTTAGCTATTCAGAAGCCCCCCTCCCCATTCTGTCCTTTTGGGTTTTTTGTGGAGACTTCATTATATAGGCATGATTGATCATTGGCTATTGGTGATCAGCTCAACCTTCAGCCCCCTCATCCCGGGAGGTTGGTGGGTAGGGCTGAAAGTCCCAAACGTGTAATTCTGCCTTGGTCTTTCTGGTGATTAGCCCTCATCCTAAAGCTCTTTAGAGGCCACAGCCACAAGTCATCTCATTAGCCTTCAAAAGAATCCAGAGATTCCATGAATTTTAGGCGCTGTATGCTAAGAAACTGGCTAAAGGCCAGTTGCAATGTCTCAGGCCTGTAATCCCAGCACTTTGGGAGGCTGAGGCAGGAGGATCGTTTCAGGCCATGAGATCAAAACCAGCCTGGTCAACATAGTGAGACCCCCTTACAAAAAATTTAAAAATTGGCCAGGCGTAATAGCTCTTGTCTGTAGTCTCAGCTACTCAGAAGGCTGAGGATCACTGAGCCCTGGAGTTGAAGGCAGCAGTGAGCCATGATCGTGCCACTGACTCCGGCTTGGGTGACAAAGTGAGACCTTGTCTCAGAAGAAAAAGGAAAAAAAAAAAACTGGGCAAAGACTAAATAACATATTTCACAGTATCACAGATTTGTATTGTCTAGGAAAGTGAATGTAAACAGACCAGGACACTAGTATGATCCCTTGGTTTCATGAAGGTCCCACTAAAGTCATGAACACAAAGTGAGACTAGGCATCATGTTATATGGTTTTTCCAGCCATGTTTAACAGCTAGCTAAATAGCTAATTGTTTCGCTGCAGTTTATTTTAGCAGTTCCTTATTTTAGCACATTTCATGTTTTAAAATTTCTACCAATAACATTTTAATAAACTTTTTTACAGATAACTTCACAAATCCATAATTTTTTAAGTTACAATCCCAGAAATAGAATTGCTCATTGAAAGGGTATGTTCATTTTTAAAGTTATGCTAGAAACTGCCAAATTGCCTTCAGAAAAAGGTGTTTGTATCCCCACTAACACTAGTGTTAGTTTTCTTGTGCCCTTGCTCAAGTATACATATTATTAAAAACAATGTTGGGCCAGTTTACTAGATAAAAGGTGTAGTGCCTCCTTATTCTAATCTATTTGATTACTAGTGAGTATGTATGTCTTTTCACGTTGGTCATTTTATGTTTGTTCCTTTGTGGATTGTCATGTCCTTTGCTCATTTTTCTTTTGGAACATTTCTTAGTAGTTTATAAGAGCTCTTGGTATTTTAATGATAGTAACCTTTTAACTGTCATGCATGCTGCAAATCTTTTTTCTGTTTGTTTGCCTTTGTATTTTGTTTTTGGAGGGTTTCTATGTATAGGAATTAAATTTTATGTTGTTAAATCTTTTGATTTCTGCTTTTGCATATGTACTTCAAAAGACTTTCTATTTTAAGATCAAGTGTTACCTGTATTTTCTTTTAGTTCTATTTAAAACCTCTTAATTTATATGCCTGTGCTGTTAACTCCCAAGTTGATTCACAAGTGTGTATACATAGTTTGAATTTAGTGGCAATTTAATTATTTACAACTTCTTTTGCAGCAAGGATTTGTGGAGAAGATGGACAGGTGGATCCCAACTGTTTCGTTTTGGCACAGTCCATAGTCTTTAGTGCAATGGAGCAAGAGTAAGTTAGTTCATATTTTCACATTGTGCATCCTAGGGAATTTGGGTTCATTGTTAGGAATGGGCTTCACTCAGCTAAAAACAAAGTATTTTTGAGAATTTAAATATTTTGGATATTTACAAGATCATATAAAGCATACTCTATCTTGGTTAACAGTTTCTTTTAAATATAAATTATGTGAACTCTTAAAATTTTCATTTTCATTTTCAATGTTAATATTTCCTAAGTTAAAATAATTTGTTTTTAGTTCTGAAATAATTTGGGGAGTGATTGAGTCTGTAGTGATTATGACTATTAGAATTGGTTTATTTATTTAAATAATGCATGTCTTCAGATGGCTCTCCTAATTTGTTAGTTAGGCTTTAAGCTAAATGGATGCTATATAACTAAATCCACATAGATTTGTTGAAATGGCTCCAGAGGTTTTTTAGATTTATTACTGCTATGTGCCCTTAAAAAAAATCTATTCATTCTTTCACTTAACATTTATCAGAAGAGTGCTCTGTGTAAGACGTGGTTAGGCATAGTGCCAGTCTTGAAGGAAGTTACAGCCTAATAAAAGACATAGGGCATGTTGTTTGGTTACTGTAATATGAAGTGGCATGTGTTAAATGTCAGGGGAGAACTACAAAGTCATAAAAAGGTGGGAGAGATTACATACAGGTAAAGGAATCAGGAATGACACCATGGGGAGTAAGGTAGTGTTGACCTAGGCCTTTAAGATACAATAGGGACAGTATGGAAAGAGTATATTTTTCCCACTTAAACTCTTTCCTTGGTCGTTCCCTCAAATTTTCCCTTTTGTCCATGTGCAGGCACTTTAGTGAGTTTCTGCGAAGTCACCATTTCTGTAAATACCAGATTGAAGTGCTGACCAGTGGAACTGTTTACCTGGCTGACATTCTCTTCTGTGAGTCAGCCCTCTTTTATTTCTCTGAGGTAAAGTCTGCATTTCTTTTCACACTCTATTCGAGCATTCCAGCCTCTAACTATCAATGCTGGGGCCCTGTCTATAGGAAATAACACAGAAGAGCCAAGTCATTTCCAAAAAGATGTATCATTGTTTCAAGTTGTTTCTGATGGCAAGAGTAATTTAATAATATATTAGAGAGAACATGAAAATTCAATGTATTAAATAACTCTAATTTTGAGAAACCTAATTAAACTACTGCATGTAAGAGAGTGCATGTTTTTAATTATTTGGAGCTATTTTAAAACCACAGAATTTGAAACTTGCTTCCAGTGCATAAATTGCAGACCAGACTTCAGAAGAGAAAAAAAGTAGTAAATTTTTTCTTATGCTCATCATTTTTACTTTAGTCACTTGATAGGATTGCCCAGTGAAGAAGCATTTGCAACAGACAATGAGTATATTAATCTTTTTGAGGCATACAGTTTAGTATAATGCTCTTTGTTAGGCTTCAACAAGTGAAATTATTTTGTTGGAAAGCAAATGACTATTAAGTAGAAAGAGGATTCCCAGTCTCACAAAGCAGTAATTTAGACACTCGATTCTGCCTCTTTACAAGAATACAGGTACTCAGTTGATTTGTTTTCTCACTCCCTTTCTTTGCTATAAGTTTAAATCAACAATTTGTTTAGGTTAATATGTCCTCATGGAATGGTGGAAATGATCAGATATAAAATATTTGGTTTGGTTAGTTTACTCTTTATATGTTTGCTGGCAAGGAACCACAAATCCAGTTTAGTATAATTTTTACTCTAGTTCACTAAAAGTTTGCATCCAGCTGTGTAGGTAGTGTTTGTTTCTTGTTAACTTTTTTTTCGTCTAAAAGAATACTTTAAAACTTTTCAATCTCAAATGACTGTAACTTGCTGACAGGTGTTAACAGAAGAAGTAGATCTTTTTGTTTTTTGCTTATGACCTGTATTTTAATATTTGAGCTTATAGATTAGAGATTGTGAGAGAAATCTGTTTATAGTCTTATTTTCCCTTGTGTATTTTTTCTTCCTAGTACATGGAAAAAGAGGATGCAGTGAATATCTTACAATTCTGGTTGGCAGCAGATAACTTCCAGTCTCAGCTTGCTGCCAAAAAGGGCCAATATGATGGACAGGAGGCACAGAATGATGCCATGATTTTATATGACAAGTGAGTTATATTGATAGATGGATTCAGCAGATACTTATTGAACATTTGATATGTTTTGTGGAAATAAAGATGAATAAACTCAGTCTCTGTTGTCAAGGAGCTCACAGGAGGCAGCATAAAAGCTGCTTTTATATGGTGTTTGTAAAGCTTTGGGGGTTCTTAGAACAAAAGTTTCTGCTGGGAAAGGGGAGGTGTATGTGGGGTAAACAGGATGGCAATGGTGGTGTTCAAGGAGTGTTTCCCAGAAGAGAGATTTTGTTTGGATCCCAAAGAAAGAAGGGAATTTTGCTACCCAGAGAAGGCAGAAAACAACATTCTAGGCAAAGGCATTGGCCCAGAAGCCATGGAAACGTAGGGGAAAGTGGCACTTTCAAGAAACTTGAGTTTAGATAATCAAAGGAGTGGGGAATAAATATGAGGATGCTGGTACTAATTGGAATAGATTGTAAGGGACCTTGAATGCCTATTTATGGGTATATTATACTTTCTGTATAAATCTGCTCAGGCACGTTGTTAATTAGTTTTTTATTAGTTTTCACTGAAAATGAGAGGATGGAAACATCATACAGTAAACAAAATTGAAAATATCTGGTCAGGCAGATGATGAGCTTGTGGCCAGCTCTGTAACGTATGGTATTCTTTTCATTTAACTTTTCTTACTCTGTAAAAAAAGTAATTCGTGGTCGGGCACGGTGGCTCACTCCTGTAATCACAACACTTTGAGAGGCAGAGGCAGGTGAATCGCTTGAGCCCAGGAATTTGAGACCAGCCTGGGCAACATGGCAAAACCCGCCTTTACTAAAAATACAAAAATTAGCTGAGCGTGATGGCGTGCGCCTGTTGTCCTAGCTACTTAGGGGCCTGAGGCAGAAGGATCACCTGAGCCTTGGGAGGTCGAGGCTGCAGTGAGCTGTGATCCACTGTACTCCACCCTGGGCAGGGCAGTAGAGTGAGACCCTGTCTCCAAAAAAAAAAAAAACAACAAAGGTAATTTGTTATTTGTATCCTTAAGCAAATGCTAAAGGGGTAACTTGGGGATAGAGAAAAGTCCACAGATGTTAGGGTTTGAAGACACTAATAGTATCTAGGCCAGTGGTTCCTGAACATTAGTCTGTGGGCTCTTGCTGGGCTGTCTGCATAGGAATCACCTGAGAGCTTATTAAAAATAGGTTTTCAGGCTGGTTGCGGTGGCTCACGCCTATAATCCCAGCACTTTGGGAGGCTGAGGCAGGCGGATTACTTGAGGTCAGGCGTTCAAGACCAGCCTGGCCAACATGGTAAAACCCCGTCTCTACTAAAAATACAAGAATTAGCCAGGCATGATGGCACACACCTGTAATCCCAGCTACTCAGGAGGCTGAGGAAGGAGAATTGCTCGAGCCCGGGAGGTGGAGGTTGCAGTGAGCGGAGATCATGCCACTGCACTCCAGGCTGGCTGACAGAGGGAGACTCTGTCTCAGAAAAAAAAAAAAAAATAGGTTTTCAGTCTGGGTACCGGTGGCTCACACCTGTAATCCCAGCACTTTGGGAGGCCAAGGCAGGCAGATCACTTGAGGTCAGGAGTTTGAGAACTGCCTGGCCAACATAGTGAAACCTTGTCTCTACTAGAAACTACAAAAAATTAACTGGGCATTTTGACGGGTGCCTATAATCCCAGCTACTAGGGAGGCTGAGGCAGGAGAATTGCTTGAACCCGGGAGGCAGAGGACTGCATCTCAAAAAAAAAAAAAAAAAAAAGGTTTCCAGTCCCCCTGTCTCAGAAATTCTGATTCTGCAGGTTTGAGGTGTGACCAGGAATCTTTATTTTTAGAAGACATACCAGATAATTCTGATAAATAGCCAGTTTAGGGATGTAGTCTAATTTTCCTATTTTGCAAGTAAGGAAAATAAGGCCCAGAGAGGTAATGATTTTCTCAAAGTCACAGAACAAGTTAGTGGCAGAATTTGGACTGGAATGCAGTTCTTAATGTTCTGTCCAGTGTTTATTCTGGTACAGTATGTTTGTAGAAGGTATTACGTAAGAAACATTGTTATATAGATGTTGAGATAGGAAGAGTTTACATTTAGAAATTTGGTCTAAAATGCCTGAACATTCAAGTCGTGGAGGAGTATTGACCAACTTACTCAATACAACATAGGAGATTCACATTTTGTTACAAAAATGCTGATTTAAAAGGAGAGTTTTCTTTTTTTTCTTCTTTTTTATTTTTTGAGATGGAGTCTTGCTCTGTCACCCAGGCTAGAGTGCAGTGACACGATCTCAGCTCACTGCAACCTCCACCTCCTGGGTTCAAGCGGTTCTCCTGCCTCAGCCTCCTGAGTAGCTGGGATTACAGGTGGGGGCCACCACGCCCAGCTAATTTTTGTATTTTTAGTAGAGACAGGGTTTCACCATGTTGGCCAGGCCGGTCTTGAACTCCTGACCTCAAGTGATCCACCCACCACTGCCTCCCAAAGTGCTGGGATTATAGGCGTGAGCCACTGTGCCCAGCCTGCTTGTTTTTGTATCATATATATGCATCATCATAATCATGCATTATCAACCTTTGTATTTCTGTCAGGACATAGAAACCATTAGAGTGCTTGGAAGAGAGCCTTTTTTTTTTTCTCGCATTTAATGCTTTTTTTGGTATTCATTTCATAATCAGCTTACCAAAACATTACCTGCATTATACCCCATCAAGGTAGAAATCTTTGTGTTATCAATATTGGTTACTCCCTTTCCACACCGAGTCATCAGTAAGTCCTGTTCTATCCAAATAGGTCATATGCATCTAGCTCACCCCTCAGTGCTGTTTTGTTTTGAATTTGTACATGTTTACTCCTGATGCCTTGTAGTTATGATGATGTGTTCTTATTTTATTCTGTGCATACAAGTTCTCAGCTCGCTTTTTAGGGAAAATGACCATGTCTTCCTTTCCTATAAATTCCTTTCTATCTATCAAGTCCTCAACAGAGAATAGGTACCCATAAATATGTGATTGTTAGTTTCTTTGCCTCAGTTGTAGTCTGATCCTTACAGCTTTTAAACAACAGTAGAGTTCACCGTCAAGAACTAAGGATGGTTGGCAGGCAGATAGAAAGGTAGCAAGTTGACCCAACTATCTCTGGGGAAGTGGGAACAAAGAAAGGTTACATCAGCACTGTCATCACATAGCTCTATAGTTCTAGGCCTGCAGGCTCAATCAAGTAGCCTTGTATAAGATTCTCTGGAGGAGGTGCTGAAAGTTGCTTATACTTGCTATGGAATTTGATTTTACTTCGGATATCTTTTTACCATAGGTACTTCTCCCTCCAAGCCACACATCCTCTTGGATTTGATGATGTTGTACGATTAGAAATTGAATCCAATATCTGCAGGGAAGGTGGGCCACTCCCCAACTGTTTCACAACTCCATTACGTCAGGCCTGGACAACCATGGAGAAGGTAACCCAGAACTTCAAACGTATCAAACTACAAGAAGTTTTATTGGTAGAACTCATAAAATATAAGGTGGGAAAACCAAGCAGAATAGCACAGTGGAAATTGAAGCAGTCCAGCAAAGTGATTAAGAGCAGAGGCCTTGAGTCTGGCCTGGTATGTACAGTCACGTGCCACATAACATTTTAGTCAACAGTGGACTGCGTGTACGATGGTCCTGTACGATTATAATGGATCAAAGCTGGTAGTGCAATAATAACAAAAGTTAGAAAAAATAAATTTTAATAAGTAAAAAAGAAAAAAGAAAAACTAAAAAGATAAAAGAATAACCAAGAACAAAACAAAAAAAATTATAATGGAGCTGAAAAATCTCTGTTGCCTCATATTTACTGTACTATACTTTTAATCATTATTTTAGAGTGCTCCTTCTACTTACTAAGAAAACAGTTAACTGTAAAACAGCTTCAGACAGGTCCTTCAGGAGGTTTCCAGAAGGAGGCATTGTTATCAAAGGAGATGACGGCTCCATGCGTGTTACTGCCCCTGAAGACCTTCCAGTGGGACAAGATGTGGAGGTGAAAGAAAGTGTTATTGATGATCCTGACCCTGTGTAGGCTTAGGCTAATGTGGGTGTTTGTCTTAGTTTTTAACAAACAAATTTAAAAAGAAAAAAAAAATTAAAAATAGAAAAAAGCTTATAAAATAAGGATATAATGAAAATATTTTTGTACAGCTGTATATGTTTGTGTTTTAAGCTGTTATGACAACAGAGTCAAAAAGCTAAAAAAAGTAAAACAGTTAAAAAGTTACAGTAAGCTAATTTATTATTAAAGAAAAAAATTTTAAATAAATTTAGTGTAGCCTAAGTGTACAGTGTAAGTCTACAGTAGTGTACAATAATGTGCTAGGCCTTCACATTCACTTACCACTCACTCGCTGACTCACCCAGAGCAACTTCCAGTCTTGCAAGCTCCATTCATGGTAAGTGCCCTATACAGATGTACCATTTTTTATCTTTTATACTGTATTTTTACTGTGCCTTTTCTGTATTTGTGTTTAAATACACAAATTCTTACCATTGCAATAGTGGCCTACGATATTCATTATAGTAACATGTGATACAGGTTTGTAGCCCAAAAGCAATAGGTTGTACCATATAGCCAAGGGGTGTAGTAGGCCATACCATCTAGGTTTGTATAAGTACACTCTGTGATGTTAGCACAATGGCAAGCAGCCTAACGGAAATTCTGTTTATTGATTGATTGATTGATTGATTGATTGAGACAGAGTTTCACTCCATTGTCCAGGCTGGAGTGCAGTTGCACAGTCTTGGCACACTGCAACTTCTGCCTCCCAGGTTCAACCAATTATCCTGCCTCATCCTCCCAAGTAGCTGGGATTACAGGCAGGCACCACCATACCTGGCTAATTTTTGTATTTTAGTAGAGACAGGGTTTCACCATTTTGGCCAGGCTGTTCTCGAACTCCTGACCTTAAGTGATCTGCCTGCTTTGGCCTCCGAAAGTGCTGGGATTACAGGCATGAGCTACCATGCCTGGGCAGTAACTGAAATTCTCTAATGCCATTTTCCTTATCTGTAAAGTGACGATAATATGCACGTTTACCTCAAAGTTACTTTGATGATTAAAGTAAGGTAATGTATATAAAATACATATTAACATAGTACCTGACACATGGTAAGCATCAAAAAATGTTAACTACTTTTATTACTATTATTATTACGTATTTTTAAATAATTAGAGAGCAGTATCAAAAATTAGCTGGGCGTAGTGGCATGCACCTATAGTTCCAGCTACTCAGGAGGCTGAAGCTGGAGGATTGCATGAGCCTGGGAATTAAAGGCTGCAGTGAGCCGTGTTCATGCCCCTGCACTCCAGCCTTGGTGACAGAGCAAGACCCTGTCTTGAACAATTAAAGAAGGCATTATGCCGCAACGTTAGCTTAGAAATGATCCACATATATCACCAGTAACTGTCAACAGGATTGGAACCCTAGTTTTGGGTATTATGATCACAAGGTATTATTAATAGCTTATTAATAATAAAGCGTTGGCTAGGCACGGCGACTCACATCTGTAATCCCAGCACTTTGGGAGGCCGAGGTGGGTGGATCACCTGAGGTCAGGAGTTTGAGACCAGCCTGACCAACATGGAGAAACCCCATCTCTACTAAAAATACAAAATTAGCCGGGCGTGGTGGTGCATGCCTGTAATCCCAGCTACTTAGGAGGCTGAGGCAGGAAAATCTCTTGAACCCGGGAGGCAGAGGTTGCAGTGAGCTGAGATCGCACCATTGCACTCCAGCCTGGGCAACAAGAGCAAAACTCCGTCTCAAAAATATAATTATAATAAATAAATAAAAGTAAAGTATTGATGTTTGTGAATGATTTATTCTTCTAATGAACTAGAGGAGATTTTTCCAGGAATTTCAGAGCCAGTGAGGTTATGTTGCTTGTATGTGTCATGTGTATCCAGGTGAAAAAACTTAATTAAACGCTATTATATAATACCATACATAAAAACTGAATTTTAGGAATACTGAAGAATGACATATAGAAGTCAAATCATTAAATAGCTAGTAGTAAACAGAATAGAGTGTCAGCTGTTACCCAATGATGATAATATTTTCACGATTAAAATTAAACCTTTTCTGATTTTAAAGGAAAAGTTCAGATCTGTATCATATAAAGAATGTAAATTTTCAGGGTAATAAAATTAAAATGCAGAGAGAAAAATGCAAAAATAGTTCTTACTAGATGTGTGTATGTAAGGAACTTAGACTAATTTTAAGAACACTGTCAAGACCCTGGTAGTTAGGTAGGAAAAAAGACATGAATGATTCATTCAACAAAAACTTTGAGTATTTCTGTGCTAGATGGTAGTGTTACAGTGGTAAACAAAATAAATGTGTTTCTGCTATCCTGGAGCTTAGTCTACAAAAAAGGTACATATTGGCCGGGCACGGTGGCTCACGCCTGTAATCCTAGCACTTTGGAAGATCGAGGCGGGTGGATCACCTGAGGTCAGGAGTTCAAGACCAGCTTGGCCAACATGGCGAAACCCCGTCTCTACTAAAAATACAAAAATTAACTGGGTGTGGTGGCGGACACCTGTAATCCCAGCTACTCGGGAGGCTGAGGCAGGAGAATCACTTGAACCTGGGAGACAGAGGTTCCAGTGAGTCGAGATCATGCCACTGCATTCCAGCCCGGGGGACAAAAGCGAAAATACGTCTCAAAAAAACAAAAACAAACAACAAAGGCACGTATTAAATACGAACATAAATATTTACAAATTATACTGAATAAGTTCTCATGTTTATTATTTGCTTGTCCAGTTACAAACTTTTCCTTCGTAGAATTAGAAATATAAATAATAAACATGAGAACTCATTCAGTATAATTAATAATTATTAAATGTAAATAAAAACATCTATGTACAATTAGGCATTTATTTAAGAATTATTTGAAAAAAAAACAATGTGGAAACAGATATTTTGATATATTGCTAGTGATTGAAATTGATAATGTTCTTTTGAAGAGTAAAGTGACCATATATATTAAAGTTAAAATTTAACTCAGCAATCACACGCCTGGTGAGTTATCTTAAGGAAATCAGTTTGAAAGTAAAATCAATATATGCACAAAGACTTTAACATTTATCATAAACCAGAAAAATCGAGTTTCAAATTATATCCTATGGACTATTTTCTGCTAAAAAGTATTAATATCAACTTTATGTAATACTTTCGTGACAAATATTTTGGGGGAGAAAACCCAACAAAATTACATGCATTGTAATTTTTTTTTTTTTTTTTTTTTTAGACAGTCTTGCTCCAGCGTCCAGGCTGGAGTGCAGTGGTGCAATCTCGGCTCACTGCAACCTCCATCTCCCAGGTTCAAGCAATTCTCCTGCCTCAGGCCTCCCGAGTAGCTGGGATTACAGGCGCTCACCACCATGCCTAGCTAATTTTTATAGTTTTTAGTAGAGATGGGGTTTCATCATGTTGGCCAGGCTGGTCTTGAACTCCTGGTCTCAAGTGATCCGTCTGCCTCGGCCTCCTAGAGTGCTGAGATTACAGGTGTAAGCCACTGCACCCAGCCTTATGCATTATAATTTTAATTTGTAAACTGTACAAAGGGATAATACTTGTAGTACAACAAGAAGTAAAAACATTTGTTATAGGTAGTTAACATTTGTAACCAGTAGAATTATAGGTAAAATTTATTTATTTAAAACAGTTTTAGTTGGATTTGATTTCAACTTTAAAATAATGCTTTTCATCTCTATCAGGTCTTTTTGCCTGGCTTTTTGTCCAGCAATCTTTATTATAAATATTTGAATGATCTCATCCATTCGGTTCGAGGAGATGAATTTCTGGGCGGGAACGTGTCGCTGACTGCTCCTGGCTCTGTTGGCCCTCCTGATGAGTCTCACCCAGGGAGTTCTGACAGCTCTGCGTCTCAGGTATTGACTGATTGCGTCTGCCATTAGGGAGAAAAGCATACACATCCTTTCCTTCACATCCCAGTAACAGATCCTATTATTTGTAAATTTTAAGTTGTGGAAAAAAAAGATAAAAGCCAGGCACAGTGGCCTGTGCCTGTAATCCCAGCACTTTGGGAGGCTGCGGTGGGCGGATCACACGAGGTCAGGAATTCGAGACCAGCCTGGCCGACATGGTGAAACCCCATCTCTACTAAAAATACAAAAATTAGCCGGGCATGGTGGCAGGCACCTGTAATCCTAGCTACTTGGGAGGCTGAGGCAGGAGAATCGCTTGAACCCAGGAGGCAGAGGTTGCAATGAACCAAAATCACGCCACTGCACTCCAGCCTGGGTGACAAAGTGAGACTGTGTCTCAAAAAAAAAAAAAAAAGAGAGAAATAAAATTAGCCTACTTACTATCTTCTAATCAAAGCATTTGTGGTAACTTAAAATATACTGTATTGTAAAGTATCATGCTGTTTCATTTAGGCCATTATTCTATTTGAATCTGTGGCTGTTTCTCTTAATAAATCAAGTAATATGGAATATATTCATAGCCTCTGAAGAGCTCTTTATGTAAGTATTTATTTAGGATACTTTTTGTAAAATAAGTGAATGAATTCTTAGGTCTCCTTTTTTTTTCTTTTCTTGAGACAGGGTCTCCTCGCTGCAACCTGGAAATTCTGGGCTCAAATAATCCACCCACCACAGCCTCCTGAATAGCTGGGACTAGAGGCATGCACCACCACGCCTGGCTAATTTGAAATTTTTTTTTGGCCAGGCATGATGGTTCACGCCTGTAATCCCAGCACTTTGGGAGACCGAGGCAGGCAGATCACGAGGTCGGGAGATGGAGACCAGCCTGGCCAACGTGGTGAAACCCCGTCTCTACTAAAAATACAAAAATTAGCTGGTTATGGTGGCTCATGCCTGTAATCCCAGCTACTTGGGAGGCTGAGGCAGGAGAATGGCTTCAACCAGGGAGTCGGAGGTTGCAGTGAGCCGAGATCACGCCACTGCACTCCTGCATGGTGACAGAGTGAGACTCCATCTCAAAAAAAATTTTTTTTTTAAATGATGGAGTCTTGCTGTGTTGCTCAGGCTGGTCTTGAACCCCTGACCTCAAATGCCGCCTGCTTCAGCCTAAGTTTCTTTTTTTTTTGTAAAGAGACAGGGTCTTGCTATGTTGGCCAGGGTAGTCTCAAACTCCTGGCTTCAAGCAGTCCTCCCACCTTGGCCTCTCAAAGTGCTGGGATTACAGGCGTGAACCACTACCTATAATGTTGTGTTTCACTCAAGGCCTTTTGATTTCGTTTTGCATTACCGTGCCACATTGTGCATTTCCTTGACCTTTTTTGGGTTTTTTGGAGTGCTTTCATATGTTAAACCATACCTGATTCTCCTCAAAATCACACAAAGTAGAATATCCTAAGACAAGAAATCTAAGGAGGCATAAAGAAGTTAACTGGTTTTATTAAACTCACACAGTAAATGATAGAGCCAGAAATATTCCCCTTCTAGTGTTCTTCACCATCAGCTTAATGTAGCATAATAATTTTCTAATTACTGTTGACAAATAAATAACCCTTTGAATTTTCAATACTGGGCCTTGGATAAATTTTCCTAATTTGTAAGAGAGTATTATCGTATTGCCATTTACAAAGCTCTCCTGAGTATCTTTTTCTTCTGTTAAGTTTACCTAGGAGATAAACTGCTGAGTATGGTTGCCATTTTGGTTTTTTGATATAGGTTAGAATGTCTTGGTTTTTTTTTTTTTTTTTTTTGGTTTTTGTTGTTGTCATTGTTTGAGACAGCATCTTGCTCTGTCGCCCAGGCTGGAGTGCAATGGCACGATCGTGGCTCACTGCAACCTCCACCTCCCGGGTTCAAGCAATTCTCCTGCCTCAGCTTCCTGAGTAGCTGGGATTACAGGCATGTGCAACCACACCTGGCTAATTTTTGTGTTTTTAGTAGAGAAGGGGTTTCACCATGTTGGTCAGGCTGGTATTGAACTGCTGACCTCATGATCCACCTGCCTCGGCCTCCCAAAGTGCTGGGATTGCAGGCATGAGCCACTGCACCTGGCTGAATGTCTTGTTTTTGATTAGGCACTTAAGAAAGGCCTAGGTACTAACCATAAAATATATTTTTATACCTTTTGTTGATACTATATATATAGAAAACTGCACTTATCATAACCTTAGACACCTTGAAGAATGTTCACAAGCAGAACTAACCCATGTGACCCAGCATCCAGATCAAAAACAGCATTATCAGCCCCTCTAGAAGCCCTCTTGGGCCCCTTCCATTCACTGTCCTTCTTGTCACCAGGGTAGCTACTATCCTGACTTTTGATGGCATAGATTAGCATTACCTGTTCTTGTCATTTTATAAATAAAACCATACTGTGTATTCTTTTCTTGTACAGCTTTATTGTGCTAATTCACATTTACATCATACAATTCAGTGGTTTTTATATGGTCACAGAGTTAGGTAACCATTACCACATCGATTTTAGAACATTTTTTTCACTCCAGATAGAAACCCCCTTTACTTAAACTCCAAATCCCCCACTCCACCAGCCCTAGGCAGCCACTAGTCTACTTTTTATCTCTATAGAGACAATAGATTTGCTTATTCTGGACATTTCATAAACATGGAACCGTATATTATGTGGTCTTTTGTTGCCAACTGTCTTTCACTTAGCATCATGTGTTCAAAAGAGCATCATGTTATCCATGTTTGGCATGTATCAGAATTTTATTCCTCATTATGGCCAAATATCCCATTGCAAGGATTTATGACATTTTATTTGAATTGTACCCTCCTTTCTGCCATTTATCAATAATGCTACTGTGACCATTTGTGTACAAGTTTTTGTGTGGATACAGGTTTTCTTTTTGTTTTTAAATTTGAGGTGGAGTCTTGCTCTGTCGCCCAGGCTGGAGTGCAGTGGCACAATCTCGGCTCACTGCAACCTCTGTCTCCTGGGTTCAAGCAGTTCTCCTGCCTCAGCCTCCCGAGTATCTGGGACTATAGGCACGCACCACCACGCCCAGCTAATTTTTTAGTAGAGATGGGGTTTCACCATGTTGGCCAGTCTGGTCTCGAACTCTTGACCTCAAGTGATCCACCCATCTCGGCCTCCCAAAGTGCTGGGATTACAGGGGTGAGCCACTATGCCCGGCTGTGGTTTTCATTTCTTTTGTTGTATATACATAGGAGTAGAATTGCTGAGTCAAGAGGTAACTCTTAAACTTATTGAAAAACTGCCAGATTGTTTTCCGAAAAGGCTGCACCA
Source organism: Homo sapiens (assembly GCF_000001405.40). Lineage (NCBI taxonomy): Eukaryota > Metazoa > Chordata > Mammalia > Primates > Hominidae > Homo > Homo sapiens. Next base: position 19,928,482 of record NC_000017.11, on the reverse strand, counting down.
TTTTGCAATCCCACCAGCAGTGTATGAGTTTTACAGCTTCTCCACATTTCATTGGAACTTATTATCTGTTTGGCTGTTTTTAAAAATGATAGTCATTCCAATAAGTTCTACTTCAGTGTGGTTTTTGCACTTCTCTGATGAGTAATGATGTTGAGCATCTTTTCATTTGCTTATTGGCCTTTGTTCTAGCTTTGGAAAAATGTTTATTCAAATCCTTTGGCCATTTTTATTTTTATTTTTATTTATTTATTTTTTTTTGAGACCAAGTCTCACTCTGTCAGCCAGGCTGGAGTACAATGGTGTGGTCTCAGCTCACTGCAACCTCCGCCTCCTGTGTTCAAGTGATTCTCCTGCCTCAGCCTCCCGAGTAGCTGGGATTACATTTCAGGCACCTGCCAGCATGCCGGGCTGATTTTTGTATTTTTACTAGTGACAGGGTTTCACCATGTTAGCCAGGCTGGTCACAAACTCCTGACCTCAGGTGATCTGCCTGCCTAGGCTTCCCAAAGTGCTGGGATTACAGGCGTGAGCCATTGGGCCCAGCCTAGATTTTCTTTTTTCTTTTTTTTTTTGAGAAGGAGTCTTGCTCTTGTTGCCCAGGCTGGAGTGCAATGGCACAATCTTGGCTCACTGCAACCTCTGCCTCCTGGGTTCAAGCGATTTTCCTGCCTCAGCCTCCCCAGTAGCTGGGATTACAGGTGCCTACCACCACACCCAGCTAACTTTTGTATTTTTTTTAGAGACAGGGTTTCACCATGTTGGCCAGGCTGGTCTCAACTCCTGACCTCAGGTGATCCACCTGCCTTGGCCTCCCGAAGTGCTGGGATTACCGGCATGAGCTACCAGGCCCAGCCAATTTTCTCATTATATTGCCCAGGCTGGTCTCAAACTCCTGGGTTCAAGTGATCCTCCTGCCTTGGCCTCCCAAAGTGTGGGGAGTACAGGCGTGAGCCACCTTGCTCAGCCCCTTTGCCCATTTTTAAATTAGATTGCCTTTTTATATTGAGTTTCAGGAGTCCTTTATATATTCTAGATAAATGTCCCTTATCAAATTATATTATTTCCAGGTATTTTCTTCATTCTGTGAGTTGTCTTTCCTCTACCTTTTAAAAAAGGTGGGTTTTTGTTTGTTTGTTTGTTTGTTTTTTTAAGATAAGGTCTCATTCTGCTGCCCAGGCTGGAGTGCAGTGGCACAATCACAGCTCACTGCCACCTCAACTTCCTGGGCCGAAGTGATCCTCTTACTTCAGCCTCCTGAATAGCTAGGGCCATAGATACACACTATCACACCCAGCTTTTTTTTTCTGTTTGTAGAGACAGATCTTACTGTGTTGCCCAAGTTGGTCTCAAACTCTAGGCTCAAAGTGATTCTCCCACCTCTGCCTCCCAGAGTGCTGGGATTACAGGTGTGAGCCACACGCAACCTGTCTTTTCACTATTAATAGTGTCTTCCTGCTTCAGCCTCCCGAGTAGCTGGGATTACAGGCACCCACCACCATGCCTGGCTAATTTTTTTGCATTTTTAGTAGAGACAGTGTTTCACCATGTTCACCCGGCTGGTCTTGAACTCCTGACCTCAGGTGATTCACCTGCCATGGCCTCCCAAAGTGCTGGGATTACAGGCGTGAGCCACTGCACCCGGCCAAAATATTGCCTTCTTAACAGTATTGTCTTCTAATTTGTGAACATGGATGTATCTTCATGTATTTATGTGTTCTTTCATTTCAGCAGAATTTTGTAGTTTTCAGAGTAGAAGCCTTTCACCTCCTTGGGTCATTTATTCCTATGTTTTAAGTTCTTTTCGATTCCATTATAAATAGAATTGTTTTCTTAATTTCATTTTCAGATTGTTTGATGAGAGAGCATAGAAATACAAGTGATTTTTACATGTTGATCTTGCAACTTCAACTTTGATAAATCTGATTGTTAGCTCTAATAGTTTTCTTGTGGATTCTTTAGGATTTTCAATATATAAGATCATGTCATTTATGGATAGAGATAGTTTTTTTTCTGGCTAGAACTTACAGAGCAATGATGAGTAGAAGTGGCAGAAGCAAAAATCTTTGTCTTGTTTCCTATCTGACAGGGAAAGCTTTCAGTTTCATCATTTAATATGATGTTAGGTGTGGGTTTTCAATAAATGCCTTTTTTCAGATTCAGGAATTTCCCTATCATTCCTGATTTTTTAAGGCTTTTTTTTTTTTTTAAATCATGAAAGGGTGTTGAATATTGTCATGTTCTTTCTGTATCAGTATAAATGATCCTATGGATTTTGGGTTTTATTCTGTTGATGTGAAATATTAATTGATTTTCAGATGTTAAACCAACCTTGCATACCTGAGATGAATCTCACTTGGTCATGGTGTATAATCTTTTCAATATGCTGCTGGATTCCATTTACTGGTATTTTGTTGAAGATTTTGTATCTGAACGCTTAAGATAACATTTACACTCTATCAGAAATGAATTGACCATAAATGTGAGAGTGTATTTGTGGGTTCTTGATTCTCTTCCATTCCAAAGATAGACATACATCCGTCTGTATGTCTGTCTTTATGCCAGTACCATACTCTCTTGATTACTATTGCTTTGTAATAAGTTTTGAAATCAGAAAGTATAAATGAGATTTTGGTATCTGAGTAACAGTCCTCATAGAATTAGTTGGGAAATATTCCCTCTTTATTCTGGTCCCTCTTTCTTTTTTGTTTAACTGTGTATCTTGGAGATTGTTCCTTCTCAACACATGAGAGCCGCTTTCCCTACCCTCCCACCCCTGCTATAGAGAGGTCTATAAGTGTCTGTTCAATTATTTTATTTACTTAACCTATTACTTAGTCGGGGACATTAAGCTTGTTTATGTCTTTTATTTTAAACAATGCTGCAGTGAATAATCTTGTATATAAGTCATTTTCCATCAATATAAGTCTCTCTGTAACTGAATTTTTAGAAGTGGAATTTCTAGGTCAACCTATGGCTCTGTATTTCACAAAAATACCAATTCTGGTTTTTCTTGTGGAGGTGGGGAGTAGGAGGTAGAATGCTGGAGGAGAACTTGCTGTACTCAGCTGGCTAGTCATTTTAGAAAGGTTTCCTTAGCTTCTTTTTGTCATATGGCCTCACCAAGAATCAAAAACATTCCTATTTACCCTGTAAACATGGGGCTTTACTACCCAAGATACATATTTCTGGATGTATGACAGCTTTTCATATTGAAGAAATAATGCTGTGAGTACAGCACATTTGTTGGAACTTAGGTCGTTAAGAATGTCTTATAAATTCATACATTATACATTTTATTTTATTTTATTTTTTAGTTTTTGATACAGAGTCTTCCTCTGTCGCCCAGGCCAGCGTGCAGTGGTACAATCTTGGCTCACTGCGACCTCCATCTCCTGGGCTCAAGTGATTCTCATGTCTCAGCCTCCAGAGTAGCTATGGTTACAGGCATGCACCACCATGCCCGGCTAATTTTTTTATTTTTAGTAGAAACTGGGTTTCACCATATTGACCATGCTGGCCTCGAACTCTTGGCCTCAAGTGATCGGCCTGCCTCAGCCTCCCAAAGTGCTGGGATCCTTGTATTGGGTAAAAGATGAATATTGAGGGCTGCATGGTGGCTCATACCTGTAATCCCAGCACTTTCTGAGACTGAGGTGGGAGGAGTCCTGGAGCCCAGGAGGGTGAGGCTGCAGTGAGTTGTGATCGCGCCATTGCACTTCAACCTAGGAATTATAGGCTTCAGTCACTGTGCCCGGCATGTACATTTTAATATTGTGCTTTCCTCTTTTAGCTATAGTATGAGGTTACATTTCAGAGTCATTGTTGTTAAGCATCTTAATAGTGATGAGGTTGAGTGAAAGTTACTTCTATTTCAAACACTGAAGAAAATTTTGTACAAATCTGTCACATTCCAAGCCCAGGACTGATTGTTTCATATACTTCTAATTTTACAATTTCTATTGTAGTCCAGTGTGAAAAAAGCCAGTATTAAAATACTGAAAAATTTTGATGAAGCGATAATTGTGGATGCGGCAAGTCTGGATCCAGAATCTTTATATCAACGGACATATGCCGGGTAAGCTTAGCTCATGCCTAGAATTTTTACAAGTGTAAATAACTTTGCATCTTTTAAATTTTTTAATTAAATTTTACATTTTTTTCTAATCTATTATTATATGCCCAGAACTTTCACTTAGAGTGTGCAGTATAATGTGGTGGTTAAGTATAAAGGCTCTGGAGTGACTTCCTGGGTTTTAATCTTGGCTCTGCCATTTATTGGCAGCCGCTAACCTCTTGGTATCTCAGTTTCTTCATCTGTAAAATGAGAATAATAAAGTGAAAAGATGCCAACATCATTTACTCTGGGCTGCATAACTGATACTTGGAAAAAGTATTCCTTTGAGTTTAAGAATTAAGTTGGTTATTCATTTTAGCTTGTAATAAAAAGATAGTGATTCATAGGATATGCCACTTACTGAAATTTACCACAGATCCAATCATAAAATCACTTTCTCTTCCCTAAAGATAGCTTGATTAACATGTAAAGGTGTGTAAAGGCTTGATTACACTACCCTGATCCGTACCCCAGTTCCCAGCAGCACCATGAAAAAGGGATTTCAACATATTTAATTACTTTCAGTAGAAAGTAACAGTGGTAGGCCAGGCGCAGTGGCTCACACCTGTAATCCCAGCACTTTGGGAGGCCGAGGTGGGCGGATCACGAGGTCAGGAGATTGAGACCATCCTGGCTAACACGATGAAACCCCGTCTCTACTAAAAATACAAAAAATTAGCCGGGCATGGTGGCAGGCACCTGTAGTCCCAGCTACTTGGGAGGCTGAGACAGGAGAATGGCGTGAGCCCGGGAGGCGGAGCTTGCAGTGAGCTTAGATTGTGCCACTGCACTCCAGCCTGCGCAGTGGAGCGAGACTCTTGTCTCAAAAAAAAAGAAAGTAACAGTGGTATTGGGAGACTGAGGAGCCTAGAAAGTACTTGAAGGAAGTAAAAGGTTTGTTTGACCACATTGTATTTGGAAAGCCAGCTTTTTCAGCTGTGTCAGCTTTGTGTAGTGATTTTTAGTTCTTCTTTTAGAAAATAACGGACAAGGCCGGGCACGGTGGCTCACGCCTGTAATCCCACCACTTTGGGAGGCCGAGACGGGCGGATTACCTGATCTCAGGAGTTCGAGACCAGCCTGGGCAACATGGTGAAACCCCGTCTCTACTAAAATACAAAAAGTTAGCCGGGCGTGGTGGCGTGTGCCTGTAGTCCCAGCTACTCCGGAGGCTGAGGCAGGAGAATTGCTTGAACCCGGGAGGCGGAGGTTGCAGTGAGCCAAGATCACACCATTGCACTGCAGCCTGCGCGACAGAGTAAGACTCTGTCTCAAAAAATAATAATAAAATAAAAAAGAATGGACAGTAAACCTAAATGAGTTCATTCCCAAAGATGATGTTATTCTTAAGGGATGGTTCATTTATTTAAGACCTTACATAAAGTCTATCAATTGCGTGATTTTTCACTTCTGTAATTGTGTGTATGTATAATGTAAATATATATGTTTTTGTTTTGTTTTGGTTTTTTGAGACGGAGTCTCGCTCTGTTGCTCAGGCTGGAATGCAGTGGTGCAATCTCAGCTCTCTGCAACCTCTGTCTCCCAGGTTCAAGCGTTTCTTCTGCCTCATCCTCCCAAGTAGCTGGGACTACAGGCACGTGCCACCACGCCCGGCTAATTTTTTGTATTTTTAGTAGAGATGGGGTTTCACCGTGTTAGCCAGGATGGTCTCAATCTCCTGACCTCGTGATCCACCCGCCTTGGCTTCCCAAAGTGTTGCTATTACAGGCATGAGCCACCACACCCAGCATGTATTTTTTAAATGTATAAAATGAAGCAGAAAAGAGAAATGATAATTTTTCTTCATCTTGAAAGATTATCTTCACCAGGCGCAGTGGCTCACACTTGTAATCCCAGCACTTTGGGAGGCCTCGGCAGGCGGCTCACTTGAGTTCGAAACCAGCCTGGCCGACATGGTGAAACTCCGTCTCTACTAAAAATAAATAAATAAAGATGGTTTTAATATATGTTTTAGTTTTATGATTTTAGCATCTTTCTGAAATTTTTCTCAAGGCAAGTAAATTTGTATCAGTTGGTATATTGGTACCCATCTATGAAATAACTTATTAGGAAGATATCTCTAAAATAAGATCACTTTGCCTAAAATAAACTGATATATTGATGTTCACAGAATTTTTCTTTTAACCGACTTGATAAATGCATTATTCTTGACGTCAAGTGATCCACCTTCCTCAGCCTCCCAAAGTGCTGGGATTACACACATGAGCCACCGCACCTGGCATTATTCTTATAAAAGGTTAAATTTCTAGTTAAGTTTAATGTCCTCTTTGTTCATGTACCATTGCTTATTTTCTTCCCTTCCTACTCACAGTAATCATTCTTATGGTATGCACTTTTGTTTGCTTATTTTTATGTAATTGATATTACGCTCCATTCTGTACGTTGTACTTTCATTCACAGTGAGTTTTGGACATTCCTATGTTCATCTATACAGACTTACTTCATTTTAACTACACTGTAGTATTCCGTATGTAATATTTACTATAACTCATCACTGTAGCAGAGCATCTCATAGTGTATGTATTACTGTTTTGCCATTTTGGTATCAATGAGTATTTAAGTCATTTGCAGTTTTTCCCTCTTATACCCAGTATTACAGAGGATCTCTTTTTATATGCTTCTTTGTACCAAGAGGCAGATTAAAAAATTTTTTTTTGAAAAAATTTTTGAAAAAAAATGAAATGAAGTCTCACTATGTTGCCCAGGCTGGTCTCAAACTCCTAGGCTCAAGCAATCCTTCCATCTTGGCCTCCCAAAGTGCTGGGGTTACAGGCATGAGCCACCATGCCTGGCCTACATTTTAAATTTTGATAGCTCTTACAATTTACTTTGTAAAGTATCTGCATCATTTTATGTTCTCACCAGTCTTTAATAAGAATACTTCATACTTTTGGCTGGACACAGTGGCTCACGCCTGTAATCCCAGCACTTTGGGAGGCCGAGGCGGGCAGATCAAGAGATCGAGACCACCCTGGCCAATATGGTGAAACCCTGTCTCTACTAAAAATACAAAAATTAGCTGGGCGTGGTGGCGCACCCGTAGTCCCAGCTACTCGAGAGGCTGAGACAGGAGAATCACTTGAACCCGGGAGGTGGAGGTTGCAGTGAACTTAGATCACACCACTGCACTCCAGCCTAGCAACAGAGTGAGACTCTGTCTCAAAAAAAAAAAAGAATACTTCAGACTTAATTTTTTTTCCAGTCTTAAGTGTTTGCTAATGAGATTGAGTTTCTTTTGGTATGTCTCTTGATTGTTCAGGTTTTTTCTTTTATGAATTGACTGTTCATCTCTTTTTCACATTATTTCTGTTGGGTGATTTTATTAGTGACTTGTTAAAATTCTGTATATTTTTTCAGCATGACACTTCATTATTCAAAAAAAAAAAAAGATTCTCTATGTTTCTCGATACTAATCATTGGTTGGTAATACCTTAAAAATAAGACCCTTACTGTATTTTTTGCTTTTTTTTTTTTTTTTTTTTTTTTTTTTTTGAGATAGAGTCTTGCTCTGTTGCCCAGGCTGGAGTGCAATGGTATGATCTCGGCTCTCAGCTCACTGCAACTGCAACCTCTACCTCCCTGTTTCAAGCAATTCTCCTGCCTTAGCCTCCCAAGTAGCTGGGATTACAGGCATCCACCACCACACCCAGCTAATTTTTGTATTTTTAGTAGAGACAGGGTTTCACCATGTTGGCCAGGCTGGTCTCAAACTACTGGCCTCAAGTGATCCGCCTGCCTCGGCATCCCAAAGTACTGGGATTACAGGCATGAGCCACAGTGCCTAGCCACTTTTTGCTTTTTAACTTTGTTTTATAGTACTATAGTTTTAGTATAAACAGATGTATGTATACACACAACTATGGCTTTATAATATGTTTCAGTCATTGTTAGAGCAAGGCCTACCTTTTGGGTGCTTCTTTTACAAAATTGTCTTGGCTATTCTTGTGCCTTTTTTCTTATTTGTGAATTTTAGAATTGTGAATTACCTGTTGACTCACCATGTTTTGTAAACTGAGGATTTTGAATGGAATTGCACTCAATTAAAGATTATCTTGCTTTCTGTGCAGCAATGTTTTATTTCAAATAATCCCTACTTTAAATTACTTAGGATAGCTATAAATTGTGTTTCTGGCTTTCTAGATTTAGATGAAACGCTTTAAATTGATTGTTTTCTCCTAAATTTAAAACTGATTGTTAGAAGTTAAAGTCTTCTGTTCATTCTTATTTAGGAAGATGACATTTGGAAGAGTCAGTGACTTGGGGCAATTCATCCGAGAATCTGAGCCTGAACCTGATGTAAGGAAATCAAAAGGTTTGTGGTGTTTTTATACTTCATATTAAGCCTTTACTCACATTAGTGATTGACTGTAAGTCAAAGACCACTTAAGGTTTAAACTGTTTATTTTGTAAAGTAACCACTGTATCTTTCACCTTGTGTTTATAGTCAGAAGTAAGTACAAGGGCTTCCTGTAGTCACATCTTTATGCAATCTCCTCTGAATCAAAAGTTAGTGAACTTGCTTTGCCACTCCAGAAGGCACATGAATATGAAAAAGCATTGTCTATTTTCTTATTTAATGGCAAAATACCCGACCTAAGTTGGACTTAATGTTTGAGACCGTTTATTTTATTAAATTATATTTTTTCTCTTTTCTTTTTTTTTTTTGAGACAGTTCTTGCTCTGTCACCCAGACCGGAGTGCAGTGGTCTGACCGCACCTCACTGCAACCTCTGCTTCCTAGGTTCAAGCGATTTTCCTGCCTCATCCTCCTGAGTAGCTGGGACTACAAGTGCGCACCACCACACCTGGCTAATTTTTGTATTTTTAGCAGAGATGAGGTTTCACCACGTTGGCTAGGCTGGTCTCATACTCCTGACCTCAAGCAATCCATCCGCCTTGGCTTCCCAAAGTGCTGGGATTACAAGTGTGAGCCACCATGCCTGGCCTTATTAAATTATTTTTATTAAATTTCCTCAAGATTGATGAAAGTAATGAAATATAAAAGTAATGAAATATATGTGGAAAATAGACTGGATTAAGAAAATGTGGCACATATACACCATGGATACTATGCAGCCATAAAAAAGGATGAGTTCATGTCCTTTGTAGGGACATGGATGAAGCTGGAAACCATCATTCTGAGCAAACTGTCTCAAGGATAGAAAACCAAACACCGCATGCTCTCACTCATAGGTGGGAATTGAACAATGAGAACACTTGGACACAGGGTGGGGAACATCACACGCTGGGGCCTGTCGTGGGGTGGGGGGCTGGGGGAGGAATAGCATTAGGAGATATACCTAATATAAATGACGAGTTAATGGGTGCAGCACACCAACATGGTACATGTATACATATGTAACAAAGCTGCACGTTGTGCACATGTACCCTAGAACTTAAAGTATAATAAATTTAAAAAAAATAAATATATGTGGAAAATATTAATAGGTCAAAATTCAAATTGTTCATTTAATCAGAAGAGTAGTTTAGTCAAATCCAAGGGTTAGACAACAGAAATCTTTTTTGTCAAGTGCATTCTTTGTGACTGATTTCATTTTCTTCCTGGTTTACACAGGAAGATTTCAGAAACAAATGTGGATCCGTGACAGATGGTATCTAGAAGTTTTTAGTTTGGTTGAATTGACAGTATTTTATTGAGTAAAAGATACTAATTTTTGTAAGAAGAAAAATTCAATTTTGATAAGTATGTTTAAGATTAAGAGCTATTGGCCAGGCGCTGTGGCTCATGCCTGTAATCCTAGCACTTTGGGAAGCTGGAGCAGGTGGGTCACGAGGTCAAGAGATTGAGACCATCCTGGCCAACATGGTGAAACCCTGTCTCTACTAAATTAGCCAGGCGTGGTGGCACATGCCTGTGCACCCGCCTCCGGGTTTAAGCGATCCTACTGCCTCAGGCTCCTGAGTAGCTGGGATTACAGGCGCCATGGCTAATTTTTGCATTTTTAGTAGAGACAGGGTTTCACTACATTGGCCAGGCTGGTCTGGTCTCAAACTCCTGACCTCAGGTGATCTGCCCGCCTTAGCCTCCCAAAGTGCTGGGATTACAGGCATGATTCACCATGTCTGGCCATTTATCTTATTTTCTTTTTTTTTTTTTTTTTTGTTTGAGACGGAGTCTTGCTGTGTCGCCCAGAGCTGGAGTGCAATGGTGCGATCTCAGCTCACTGCAACCTCTGCCTCCTGGGTTCAAGCAATTCTCCTGCCTCAGTCTTCCAAGTAGCTGGGATTACAGGCGCGTGCCACCACATCTAGCTAATTTTTGTATTTTTAGTAGAGACAGGGTTTCACCATGTTGGCCAGGCTGGTCTCGGAACTCCTGACCTCGTAATCTGCCCACCTCGGCCTCCCAAAGTGCTGAGATTACAAGTGTGAGCCACTGTGCCCAGCCATCTTATTTTCTTTCTTTTTTTTTGTCGGGTGGGAGGGGGACAGAGTCTAGCTCTGTCGCCAGGCTTGGCTCACTGCAACCTCTGCCCCCCAGGTTCTAGCAATTATTCTGCCTCAGCCTCCCAAGTAGCTGGGATTATAGGCACCTGCCACCACGCCTGGCTAATTTTTTGTTATTTTTAGTAGAGATGGGGTTTTGCTATGTTGACCATGCTGGCCTCAAGTGATCCGCCCACCTTGGCCTCCCAAAGTACTGGGCTTACAGGCGTGAGCTTGTATTGGGTAAAAGAACAATATTGGGGGCTGCATGGTGGTTCATACCTGTAATCTGAGCACTTTGTGAGACTGAGATGGAAGGAGTGTTGGAGCCCAGGAGGGTGAGGCTGCGGCTGCAGTGAATTGTGATCACGCCATTGCACTTCCACCTAGGTAATGGAGCAAGACCATGTCTCTAAAAAACAAAACACAATTTTTTTAAGGAATACTGGGAAGAGGTCAGTGGTGGTTTTAGAACAGAGGAAGTGCCAGATGACCTTTGTGAGGCATTGGCCAGGAAGAACTCTACAGTGTCTTTAGGTAGCTTCTGTCCATAAGGATAATGGGGTCTCCTCCCCAGTATTAATAGAAAATCTCTGAGCTGTTTTTTTTTGTTTGTTTGTTTTGTTTTTTTTTCCTGAGATGGAGTCTCTCTCTGTCGGCCAGGCTGGAGTGCTGTGGCGCGATCTTGGCTCACTGCAAGCTCTGCCTCCCAGGTTCACACCATTCTCCTGCCTCAGCCTCCCAAGTAGCTGGGACTACAGGTGTCCACCACCACGCCCAGCTAATTTTTTGTTATTTTTAGTAGAGATGGGGTTTCACCATGTCAGCCAGGATGGTCTCGATCTCCTGACCTCGTGATCCGCTCGCCTCTGCCTTGCAAAGTGCTGGAGTTACAGGCGTGAGCCACCGTGCCTGGCCTGGTTTTTTTGTTGTTGTTATTTATTTATTTATTTATTTATTTTTTGAGACAGACTCTCGCTCTGTCGCCCGGGCTGGAGTGTAGTGGCACGATGTCGGCTCACTGCAAGCTCTGCCTGCCAGGTTCAAGCCATTCTCCTGCCTCAGCCTCCTGAGTAGCAGGGACCACAGGCGCTCGCCACCACGCCCGGCTAATTTTTTGTATTTTTAGAAGAGACGGGGTTTCACCGCATTAGCCAGGATGGTCTCGATCTCCTGATGTCGTGATCCGCCCACCTCGGCCTCCCAAAGTGCTGGGATTACAGGTGTGAGCCACCGTGCCTGGCCTGATTTTTTTTTTTTTTTAATCTGGTCTCATACCTCTGACAGCTCATGAAGAAGTGCTCCTGCTTCATATGTATATGTGTTAGCATAGTGTTAACATAGCATAGGTGTTCGGTGTTTGCAGTTTCTGTTTGTTTTATATGAATTAAGGTGTATTATGAGCAGTTGAAGATATATAGGAAATTTTTTCCCAAACCACTATCTCTGCTCGTTCTATTCATTCAGTCTGTTTATGTTATTCCTTCATTCATTCATTTTATAGAACAGTGGAGTGCCTACTGTATGCATCTATTGTTCTGGGTCCTGGGGAAGAAAACAAAGTTCCTGCTTTCATGGAACTTACATTATATTGGCGGAGACAGTAACAGACAAACAAATGTAGCCTGTGTACATGTGTTACATGAAAAGCAGGGTAGGGGGCTGGGAGAGAGTAGTAGGGAGTGCTATTTTCGAGGTGGTTGTCAGGAAAGGCCTCACTGAGGAGGTGGCATTTTGAGTAGACCTGAGCGCAGCGGGGGCGTAAGCCCAGGCAGCATGTGGAGGAAGAGTGTTCTTGGTGAAAGGAACAAGGATAGAGGCCCGAAGCTAGAGAGCTCAGCATGATCAAGGAACAGCAAGCCCCGTGTGGCTGGAATGGAGTGAGCAAAGGAATGAGCAGTAGAAGGTGAGTGAGTTGGGAGGTCACCAGAGACCATGGCAAGGACTTGAAAGTGTCAGGGACACATTGGAAGTTGGAGCAGGGAAATGATGGGATTTATGTTTTGTTTTTGTTTTATGTTTAGTGTTTTTAAGGGATTGCTCTATCAGCTATTTGGAAAATTTAGTGTAGGGCTTCAAGAAGAGAAGCAGAGAAACAACATTCTTGCCATAGTCATAGTCTAAGTAAGGGATGATGGTGGTGTGGATTAGGCTGGTAGTGGAAGACCAGTCCAGTTCGGGTTGTATTTGAAGGTAGAGGCAAAAAGATTATATTTCTACCAGCAAGCCCATCTATGAAGTTACTTGTATTATTAATTTAATTGAGACATGCCCACATAAACTAATAAATAGGAATTTCTGCAGTTTGGTTAAACACCCCTGTATATCCTGGTTCTTCTTTTAGTTGTCCAGATGTCTCTTTAAGTCAAGTATTTTTTGGTGGTGTAGGAGCCTAGAGATTGAATTTATTCACCCAAAAGGCATTTGAGTGATTACTATGTGCCAGGCACTATGCTGAATGCCAAGGATGTAAATAAGAGGGCGTAGTCTCAGTCTGTTTTACTCCAGCTTGGTTCCTTTTTAATGACCCTGACTTGTTAAGCATATCAGTTATCCTACAGAATGTTTAATCTTCTGTACTTTCCTGGTTGTGTTATTTAGCTTATTTCTCTTTCCTTGACATTTCTTGTAAACTGGAAGTTACACCTATAGTCTTGATGATTCGTGTTACACATTTTAGATTAGAACACATCATGTGTTGTATATGGTGTTTTTGAAAGCCTCTCTGTATATTGGTCTGTACATTAAAATGTTGCCTGAATGGATACACATAAAATTTAACAGTGATTACATTAGAGATGAGAAGAAAGAGGTGCCTTTTACTTTTCAATATACCTTTTCCTCTGCTTTTTGAACTTTCTTGCCCTATGCATACGTTATTGCTTAATCATCCACCTCATCTCTTCCCCTGTGGCTTTCTGTTGCATTTGGAATGAAATCTAGCCTCTTTGCTGTTACCTGTGGATGTCCCTTGCTGGCCTCTATCACCTTACTTTGAACCACTCCTTTCATGGACTGAGCTCTCATTGGACTATCTTTTATTCTTTTGCTGAAGTTTCTTCACTTTGAGTGCCTCTGCAGTTGCTATTTCATGGCTGTGGCAAGCCCTGCCATGGCTTTCATGCAAGGATGGTTCCTCCTTCTCATCTCAATATTATCTCTTCAGAGAGGGACCTTCCCAACTCCGATGATCTAAAATCCTTTGTATATACCACTCACTACCACTTCTTTCTTTTCTTTTCCTTTTATCTTTTTTTTTTTTTTTTTTTTTTGAGATAGGGTCTTGCTCTGTTGCCCAGGCTGGAATCACGACTCACTGCAGCCTCATCTTCTTGGGCTCAAATGATCCTCTCACCTCAGCCTCTCGAGTAGCTGGAACTGCAGGCACACACCACCATACTTGGCTTATTATTTTACTTTTTGTAGAGACAGGGTTTCACCAAGGCTGGTCTCAAGCTCCTGCCGCAAGCAATCCACATCTCTCAGCCTCCCAAAGTATTGGGATTATAGGAGTGAGCCACTACTCCTGGCCTATTTTCTTATTCACTGTCTAAAATTATCTTGTTCATTTATTTACATACTTGTTTATAGCTTATTTCTCAGCTGGACATGGTGCCTCACACCTGTAATCTCAATACTTTGGGAGGCTGGGTTGGAGAATTGGTTGAGCCCAGGACTTCAAGACCAGCCTGGGCAACAAAGTGAGACCCTGTCTATAAAAAATTGTTTAAAAATTAGCTGGGCATGGTGGCACATGCCTGTGGTCCCAGCTACTTGGGAGGCAGAGGTGGGAGAATCGCTTGGGCCCAGGAGGTTGAGGCGACGGTGAGCCATGATTGTGCCACTGCACTCTAGCCTAGTGACAGAGTGAGACCATGTGTCTAAAAAGTAAATAAAAATAGTTTCTCTTTCATGACTAGAATATTACCTCTATGTGGGCAGGGAGTTTGTCTATACTATTTGGCACTATATTTCCTGATTCTGAAATTATGCCTAGCACATGGTAAGTACTCCTTAAATATTTATTGACTGAATTATTTAATACTTAAGAATTTCATTTGGGATTATCTGAGTGGTAAGATTACGGATTATATTTATGTAAGAAAAAATCATTTTTTAAACTTGGTTGCCCTTTGCCACACTGACATAGACACTAAGTTTTCTTAGCCAGATTACTTCCGAGGATACTCACAGAGGCCATTCTCTTCTCAATCCCCAAATAATTGATATTTCTTAGCACTTTCAAGCTAATGCAATTCTTAGATGATGTATCTGTGTATATCATATCCTCATTCTACAAATGTAGAAATTGAAGTCTGGGCACAGTGGCTCTCACCTGTAATCTCAGCAGTTTGGGAGGCCAAGGCGAGCGGATCACTGAGGACAAGAGTTAAGACCAGCCTGGCCAACATGGTAAAGCCTTGCCTCTATTAAAAATACAACAATTAGGGCCGGGCGTGGTGGCTCACGCCTATAATCCCAGCACGTTGGGAGGCCAAGGCAGGCAGATCACGAGGTCAGGAGTTCGAGACCATCCTGGCTAACACAGTGAAACCCCATCTCTACTAAAAATACAAAAAATTAGCCAGGCATGGTGGCACGCGCTTGTAGTCCCAGCTATCGGGAGGCTGAGGCAGGTGAATCCCTTGAACCCGGGAGGCGGAGGTTGCAATGAGCTGAGATTGCACCGCTGAACTCCAGCCTGGTCAACAGAGGGAGACTCTGTCTCAAAAAAAAAAAAAAAAAACAATTAGCCAGGCGTGGTGGCGGGTACGAGTACCTGTAATCCCAGCTACTAGGGAGGCTGAGGGAGGAGAATCACTTAAACCCAGGAGGTGGAGTTTGCAGCGGGCTGATAATGCACCACTACATTCCAGCCTGGGCAACAGAGTGAGACTCTGTCTTAAAAAAAAAAAAAAGAAAGAAAGAAATTGAGGAATGTGGAGATTGTGGTCTGTGATTTGTTAGGAATCACACAGCAGGTTAGTAGCAACTACAGGGCTTTGGTTCAGAATACCACCTTGACAATGGTTTGTTTACAGTTCGGCTCCCCTTCCTCTGCCTTTCTCTCCTTCCTTATTGAGGGCAGCTGGAAAGAATTTTCATCATTTACTAGCCTATAGCTTTAATTTGAGTTTTGAAACCTTGATAATAGAGCACAGAGGAAAAGACTGAGTTTTCTTTTTTTGAGACAGTCTTGCTCTATGGCCCAGGCTGGAGTGCAGTGACACCATCTCAGCTGGTTGCAACCTCTGCCTCCCAGGTTCAAGCAATTCTGCCTCAGCCTCTCGAGTAGCTGAGATTACAGGCACGTGTCACCACGCCCAGCTAATTTTCTGTTTTTGTTTCGTTTTGTTTTTTTCTGAGATGGAGTCTTGCTCTGTCACCCAGGCTGGAGTGCAGTGGTGCGATGTTGGCTCACTCAAACCTCTGTCTCCTGGGTTCAAGCAATTCTTCTGCCTCAGCCTCCCCAGTAGCTGGGACTACAGGTACGTGCCACCATCCCTAGTTCATTTTTGTATGTTTAGTAGAGATGGGGTTTCACTATGTTGACCAGGCTGGTCTCGAACTCCTGATCTCAGGTGATCTACTCGTCTCAGTTTCCCAAAGTGCTGGGATTATTGGCACACGCCTATTTTTGTATTTTTAGTAGAGACGGGGTTTCACCATGTTGGTTAGACTGGTCTCAAACTTCTGACCTCAAGTGATTTGCCCGCCCCAGCCTCCCAAAGTGCTGGGATTACAGGCGTGAGCCACCGTGCCCAGCCAAGATTGAGTTTTGAAAAGAGCCTTCTGAGATTATGAGAAGGGCAAGCAAGATAACTTAAGAAGTTACATTAAAATCATCTAAGAGACAGTGTAACAAGAAGGAATTGTAAAATGATGTTATGAGCACGTGCCCAATGTAGTGGCAATCCCTTGTGCTTCGATACATTGGTGGGAGACAAAACTGTACTTAAATTGATAAATCCCTTACATGTCATTTTAAGGAGCTTAGACTGACTCCCATCATGTAGACATCAGAGATTTCTTTTTTTTTTTTTTTTTTTTTTTTTTTTTTTTTTGTGACAGAGTTTTGCTCTTGTTGCCGAGGCTGGAGTGCAATGGCGTGATCTCGGCTCACCACAACCTCCACCTCCCAGGTTCAAGCAATTCTCCTGCCTCAGCCTCCCGAGTAGCTGGGATTACAGCCATGCACCACCACGCCTGGCTAATTTTGTATTTTTAGTAGAGACGGGGTTTCTCCATGTTGTGGCTGGTCTCGAACTCCTGACCTCAGGTGATCCTCCCGCCTCAGCCACCCAAAGTTCTGAAATTACAGGCGTGAGCCACCGCGCCCAGCCCAGAGATTTCTAAACAGAGTTCTAACCAGATGCTTTTCCCTGTCAGTAGAATGAGAATGAATTGGAGGTGGGAGAGACTGGCATGAGGGACACCAGTCAGCCAGTGGAATTAGCTGGTAATGTTGATAGGAGAAGAAAAAGATTCAAAGTTAGGTAGTGGTAGCAAG
Source organism: Homo sapiens (assembly GCF_000001405.40). Lineage (NCBI taxonomy): Eukaryota > Metazoa > Chordata > Mammalia > Primates > Hominidae > Homo > Homo sapiens. Next base: position 19,911,389 of record NC_000017.11, on the reverse strand, counting down.
AATTAGAGGGAAGGTCGGATTTATGATATGTCCAAGGTTGAATTCTAAGGTGAAATTTGGTGGCAGATTTCATGTGTAAATTGGGAAGGTAGATTGAGTTTTTTTAACATGGGTTTTCTAACATGTCAATAGAGTGACTCTGCAGGGGGGCCTGACGAGAGAACAGTGCATGGGGTGATTCAACAGCCAGTTGAGCCTTCATGCAGAGCATTTAACACTGTGACTCTGTAGACTCTGGTTGGCAGTAAAATTTCATTAAACCAATATTTAAACCCTTAGGTAATAATAAAAATTGAGGGAAAAGGATCCAGGTTTTGTATTTTTTATGAATTCAGTTATTGAATTAAACAGGACCTTGCCTCAAGAAATAATCTACCAACAATTAACTTGTTTTAAAGCAAAGTTAGGAAGTGAGCATGTTCAAATTATTAAATAAAAAAGTAAGCTGTGTATTTCATTCATAGAAATAGAGGCTGGCCTACTTCGGATGATTCTCAGCATGTGATTACAGATGTGGGCTTATACATCCTAGGGAGTTAAGGCGTACTCTGGCTTGGATAGAGTAGAGCTCTTTGAAACTCTTCTCTCACCCAGCTAGTTTATATAGACTAGAGAACTAGAATGTAGCAGCATACTCTGTCTTAGAAGCCCTTTTATATAGGAGCTGGTCTGGAAGGTTTGAAAACATAACAAATGTGTTGGTGTCTCCCAATGTATTGCTAGATTCTTACCCAAGAGCATTATCCTGGTTAGGGTTTGGTTTGGTTTTGTTTTGTTTTTTAATGTTTGCCACAAACTAACACTAGATGTTAGTTCTTTCATCAAGTGAGGAGAGTAGAAGAAAAGTCCAGAACTCTGAAACACCTTTTCAAAAGTTTTTCAAGCCATGATGTTTGCAAGTTAAATGCTCTGTTATGTAAGCAATATAATCAGTTTTTATTAATGTAACATTCCTTAGTGTTTTGGGGTATCACACAAAAAAGAATATCCATATCTGGAAGCAACAGCTTTTAAATAAGAGCATTGTGGTGGTGGTGGTGATAGTGGTTTTTTTTTTTTTTTTTGAGTTGGAGTCTCGCTCTGTTGCCCAGGTTGGAGTGCAGTGGCACGATCTCAGCTCGCTTCAACCTCTGCTCCCAGGTTCAAGCAATTCTTCTGCCTCAGCCTCCTGAGTAGCTGGGATTATAGGCACCTGCTACCATGCCTGGCTGATTTTTATTATTTTAGTAGAGACAGGTTTCACCATGTTGGCCAGGCTGGTCTTGAACTCTTAACCTCAGGTGAATCACCCACCTCGGCCTCCCAAAGTGCTGGAATTACAGGCATGAACCACCATGGCCAGCCAAATAAGAGCATTTTTAATGTAAAATTATGCATGAAATGTACATTCAATTTTGTCTTTGTTTACTAGGATCCATGTTCTCACAAGCTATGAAGAAATGGGTGCAAGGAAATACTGATGAGGTAAATCCTACCTTTAGGATAAAAAGATTTCTGTTTATAAGTGCCACCCTCATGTAAGTGAGGTTTAAAATTTTCCTTTTCTTTAGGTCCCATGTTTAAGCAGCATGGCACATTTATGTTCTCTTACCCAGAATGTACCAAGAAAGGGTGGTCCCTTCTTAACATCTAACAATTGCCTGGTAGTAGCAGTGAAGGTATCTTCAGTCAGAGGCTAGGACCACTGAAGGATATACATGCATTCAAGTTTCCATCAGCCAGCAGGCATCAGTAATCAGTGTGTAGATCAAAAGCTCAAATGTTTCCTTCCCCACTGGCAGTTTTACTTCAAGTAGTGGAGGCTTGCTTTTTTAATAGTTAATTAAGTACATTGAGAGATGGGAGGTGAAAAAAGGAAAATGTTTTATTTTGACCATCTAATATGAAAGTAGTTCGGTGTTAGGTATCCAGTAGTTGACACTGGAAGACAGGGAATGACATGTTAATATTCATAGCCAGAGGGTGGCCCAGGTTTTTTCGTACATGGGAATGAAATTCTTATCCAAATAAGTAGAAATTATGTGCGTAAGCCATTTGTTAAGAGCACTGAGTATGTGCATCTCGATCCATCTAATGAATAACCATTATCACCAGTTTAAATTATTTTCTTTAGGCCCAGGAAGAGCTAGCTTGGAAGATTGCTAAAATGATAGTCAGTGACATTATGCAGCAGGCTCAGTATGATCAACCGTTAGAGAAATCTACAAAGGTAAGGATGACTTCGTTTTGTGTAAACTAAAAAGTATTATTTTCCAGGTGTAAAAATAAAAAAGAACATAAGGGGTTTCTTTGCCTTTGAAGGATTAACTGCTGTGGGGATTACCTTCTTATCATAAGCAACTAGAAAATTGACAAACTAAATGAAACAACTGTTTGCATATATTGGACAATGGGCAATACAGGGAAACCATGGAAACCAAACAGAGCCCAGTAGTCTTGCTGAACGAAAGAGTTAAATATCAAAGTTCAGGCCAGGTGCAGTGGCTCACGCCTGTAATCCCAGCACTTTGGGAGGCCAAGGCGGGTGAATCACTTGAGGTCAGGAGTTCAAGACCAGCCTGGCCAACATGGTGAAACCCTGTCTTAGCCGGGTGTGGTGGCAGGCACCTGTAATCCCAACTATTTGGGAGGCTGAGGCAGGAGAATCGCTTGAACCAGGGAGGCGGAGGTTGCAGTGAGCCGAGATCACACCACTGCACTCCAGCCTGGGCGACGAGCGAAACCCCATTTCAAAAAAAAAATCAAAGTTCAGAGAGCTCAATTTGAGTAGAAGTTGTAGGATAAGGTAGCAGAAAAGAGGAAGCTGCCCAGAAAGAAAGCCGTAGAGATATTTAGAGAGATTCCCATGGATCCTTGGCCTAGGAGTGATCTGTATATGTGTGGGGTGAAAACGCATGTGTCCAGGTAGAGAACCCCCCAGAAATTAGTAGGCTGAATGATTGCTGGAACATAGGGCTAAGAAAAGTTCATGGCCAGAAGGATCTGGCCAGAGTAGAGAGACTTAGTAATACACAAGGCATTGGGTAGTGTCTTCACAGAGGTTATGCCTTACTACTGAAGATAAATTAGTCCTAGAGTACAAGCACCTGAACCAAGTTTCAAAGCAAATTTTTAAAGGGTCAAATTACCTAACAACTGCATGCCAAAACAAAGGCCTAACCCTCTTTACAGTAACACAACAAAATTCAGCACTTCACAGTGTAAAGTTAGAATGTCTGACGTCCAGGCTGGGCGCAGTGGCTCATGCCTGTAATCCCAGCACTTTGGGAGGCCGAGGCAGGTAGATGACCTGAGGTCAGGAGTTCAAGACCAGCCTGGCTAACATGGTGCAACCCCGTCTCTATTAAAAATACAAAAACTTAGCCAGGCATGGTGGCCGGCACCTGTGATCCCGGCTACTTGGGAGGCTGAGGCAGGAGAATTGCCTGAACCCAGGAGGTGAAGGTTGCAGTGAGCCGAGATCGCACCACTGCACTCTGGTCTGGGCAAAAAGAGCAAAACTCAGGCTCAAAAAAAAAAAAGAATGTCTGACGTCAATCACAAATTACCAAGCATGACATGAAGTTGACCTATAACCAGGAGAAAACTCAATCTATAGAAACAGACCCAGATGTGAGAAAGATGATGAATTTAGCAGACAAAGACCATCAAGTGGCTATTTTAAATATTAAAAATATGTTCAAGTGGCCAGGTGCAGTGGCTCATGCCTGTAATCCCAGCACTTTGGGAGGCCAAGGTGGGTAGGAGTTCAAGACCAGCTTGGCCAATATGGTGAAACCCCTTCTCTACTAAAAATACAAAAAAATTAGCTGGGCATGGTGGCAGGTGCCTATAGTCCCAGCTATATGGGAGGCTGAGGCACAAGAATCACTTGAACCCGGGAGGTGGAGGTTGAGGTTGCAGTAAGCCGAGATTGTGCCACTTGTACTCCAGCCTGGACAACAGAGTGAGACTCTGTCTCAAAAAAAAAAAAAAAAAAGTTAAAGAAAACAAGAGTATAATGAGAAAAATGCAAAATAGTTTTAAAAGAACCAAATGGAATTTCTTAAAATAAAAAATACCAGAAATGGGGGCCGGGCGTGGTAGCTCACGTCTATAATCCCAGCACTTTGTGGGGGCTGAGGCAGGCAGATCACCTGAGATCGGTAGTTCAAGGCCAGCCTGACCAACATGGAGAAACCTCATCTCTACTAAAAATACAAAATTAGCTGGGCGTGGTGGCGCATTGCCTGTAATCCCAGCTACTTGGGAGGCTGAGGCAGGAGAATTGCTTGAACCCGGGAGGCAGAGGTTGCGGTGAGCTGAGATTGCACCAGTGCACTCCAGCTTGGGCCACAAGAGTGAAACTCCGTCTCAAAAAAAAAACAAAAAAAAACAGTAGACTCGAAGAACTAGCTGAGTTTTTCTTTACTTTAGGCAGTAAGTGTGACCTTTTGCAGGTGACTACTTTAGTTCCTCATGTCCTCATTAGTAGATCAGAGAAATTCGACACCAAAACCCCAAAAGAAAAACCCCTTCTAATCCTCATTCCATGATTTTATGAATGCATGAAGTCCTAGGCCTGCGAAGGAATACTCATTCTCTTTATCCTGTGTTGATACCTCTCTGCTTCAACCTCCAACTCGACATTTGCCTATAGGATGTACTTGGACATTCAGCATAAACTACCTCACACCATTACTGAATTGCTTCATGTGCACATGTCCCATGCCACAATACCGGGGACCTTGTCTTCCGTGATATTTGTCCGCAGTGCTGTGACTACAGGAGGGAGTCAGTGAATGTCTGCATGTGTGTCTTTACCATCCCTCTTGAATATGCTCTAGGGTTAATTCCTAGAAGTAGAATTACTCTATTGAAAATTGGCAATATTTTTCATTCTAATATCTATTGCCAACATGGGAAAGCAAGTCTGGATGCCAGTCCTTGTTATATGCCCCTTGGGTAAGTTACGTAACCTCTTTAAGCTTCTGTTCACTCATATTTTAACAAGGAAAATTACAATATTTTACCTCACAAAATTGTAGTCAGCTTCTGGCTGTCTTAAACTCTGGTATATAGTAAACACTAAGTGTTGGTGTCCATCCTTAATTTGTAATAATAGGTCACTTGTTAGAGAAATGCACCTTACCATTTTCTTTTCTTTTCTTTTTTCAGTTATGACTCAAAACTTGAGATAAAGGAAATCTGCTTGTGAAAAATAAGAGAACTTTTTTCCCTTGGTTGGATTCTTCAACACAGCCAATGAAAACAGCACTATATTTCTGATCTGTCACTGTTGTTTCCAGGAGAGAATGGGAGACAATCCTAGACTTCCACCATAATGCAGTTACCTGTAGGCATAATTGATGCACATGATGTTCACACAGTGAGAGTCTTAAAGATACAAAATGGTATTGTTTACATTACTAGAAAATTATTAGTTTTCCAATGGCAATAACCCATTTATGAGAGTGTTTTAGCCTACTGGAATAGACAGGGACCACATCCTCTGGGAAGCAGATAAGCATAGAACTGATACTTGATGCACACTCGTAGTGGTAACTCATCCCTAATCAGCATTGTAAAGCAGGTGCCAGAGGTGGTTTGCTTTGTCCTTCCAAAGCAGGTGAGTCAGCCCCACCGAGAGCCAGGCAGCTTTGAGTGGCAGCGTGGTGCTAGCAGCTTCAGCGGAACAGGGTGAGAGTTAATTATGCAGTCTTCTTGACAGCGGCATTAATTTGGAAGGAAACTGACAAGTCATGGGTCAAGTTTCAGTGACTTCCTCCTTCCTCTGATGGCAGTATATAGTTTTCACATTTTAATTCCTCCTCCTGAGATGCACTATACTTAAAACCATTCTCTCCCCTGCTAACAGAAGGGTGTGAATCTGGTTTACTTTGAGCATTAGGATTTGCCCCTTTGGAATTCTGCACTCCAGTTACTTAACTTTCCCTTCAGAATACATGTGGAAAGAAAGAAAGAAATAGCGATGACTCCACTTTTGCCCCTGTGGCACCTTGAACAAAGCAGTTCTTCCCAAATTATACTTTTTTTTTTTTTAAATAAGGTGAGCAGGATGACTGGGGAGAGAGAAACATTTGACTTTGACTGCCTCCCCCATTCTTTGCTGTGAGCTGGAAAGTGTGCAGTTGGTCGTCTTTCTTCTCCTTTCTTTAGGATAGTAAGAGACTCACTCACTGCACTTCTGCTCAGTTGGCTTCTGCATCGGGATCACACAGCCATCAGCAGGACTGCCCAGTTGGTGAGCACACTCCATTGACCACGTGGCGCCAGCGCTTCCTCAATGCACATGATTGAGAGGAAAGAAAGTTCTCTTAGATGTTACTGCTTTTGCTCAGACTTTGCAAAAAAAAAAATATATATATATATGTATAAATATATAATTATTAATCACTTTTGTCCTTGAGAAAGTCTTGAATGAACAGAGAATTTATTCCATTGCAATATTTGATTGTATAGAGGCACACTGTTTCATCGACAGAAGAAGCAAAAAGGCTTTGTGTAAGTTTTTGGTACTATGTACCACCTCTGTTATTCTTTTAAAGCTGAAGTATTCATGTACTTAAACCATATTATATTTAATTGTGTTTGATTTTAAAATATATATATATGAATTCTATTTAAAATTGTGTCAACTTTCTGCTTTCAGGGCATTTATGGCTCTTCTGTTGAAATATATTGATCTTTCCAAATATTTTCATTTGCTTTCTAAAAACCCAGAACATGAGCCACTACTGGACTTTGCCTTGTGTTTGAAGTGTATGGCATAAACCCAAGGTTTTTATTAGTCATCTATGCTGTGATTAATTCATTTTGTTCTTTTAACAAAATATTTCCATCCACTTCACATTGCTTCAATCTTTAACAGAAAAGCAATATAAAGGTTATAGAATAAAATGTGGTTTTGGGCAACTCTTGCTGCCTCTGCATGTTTTGGAATAACAATTTCTACAAGACTCTAGGCTGTTTAAACTAGTGCTTTCAGTTAAGATAAATTCTAATCATTTCTTTGTATATACATTTTGTGCTTCTGAGCTAGAGATGCCAAGTAGTTGTAAACTGCTTATAAAGAGAATAGCAGCAAATTTGAGACTCGGCTACTTTTTTCTGCCCCACCTGCTTTGAGACACAGAAGCGGAGTGTGGCCCGAAATTATTAGCCAGATTTAATATTTGATCTAAAGTAGGTCCTTGTACTCATTTTAAAGTTGGAATTTGATTCCTCCAACATTGAGCACCCACCATGTTCCAGGCTCTGTGCATTGTGCCCACAAAATAAGATTCCCTGGTGGAGTTTTTATGGGTTCAAATAATCAGTTGAACACCCTTCATCTTTATCATGTTGTTGACATTGACACAAATTGTTTAAAAAGAAAAGATATTAGAGAGAAAGTGGTACCTTTGTAACTTGATGTGTCTTCATCATTCGGTAAGATTTGATGAAAGTAAAAAGCAAATGTCAGCCAAATCCAGTGAACAGCAATAAAACAGGGAGTAACTTTTTATAACTTTTTCTACTTGGATTTCAACATTCAGTAGAGCTTTTCGAAATGTAAGTAGTTTACAGTACTGGAGGTTTGACTAGTTCAGTAGGAATTTGGAGGGGAAGGTCATTCTGAATTGTAACAAAGTACAAACTTCTTTGCTGTTTTATTTAAGTACTGAGAGCTAAGCACCTGATGAAGTGACTGACCTCTCTCCAGTGACAGTGTTTGGGTACCTGCCTGACTTCAGGAGTGGGGTTTATGTTTCTACACAGTGACCTTTTCTCTCGCCCTCTCCTCCCTCTTGCCCACACACCAGTTGATTGGACCTGGGTTGAACTCCTGATCCAGACAGGCCCAAGACAGTTCTTAATGTTAAGAATTTTGGGGCCGGGCACGGTGGCTCATGCCTGTAATTGCAACACTTTGGGAGGCCGAGACAGGCGGATCACTTGAGGTCAGGGGTTCGAGGCCAGCCTGGCCAACATGGTGAAACCCTGTCTTTACTAAAAATACAAAAATTAGCTGGGCATGGTGGCGCACGCCTGTAATCCCAGCTACGTGGGTGGCTGAGACAGGGGAATCGCTTGAACCTGGAGGCGGAGGTTGTGCAATGAGCCGAGACCGTGTCACTGCATTCCAGCCTGGGTGACAGAGGGAGACTCTGTCTCCAAAAATAAAAATAAGAAAAAGAATTTTGGGCTAGGTGCAGTGGCTCACGCCTGTAATTACAGCATTTTGGAAGGCCCAAGATGGGCAGATCACTTGAGGACAGGAGTTCGAGACCAGCCTGGACAACATGGTGAAACTCCATCTCTACTAAAAAGACAAAAGTTAGCCAGATGTGGTGATGGGCACCTATAATCCTAGCTCCTCGGGAGGCTGGGGCAGGAGAATCACTTGAACCCAGGAAGCAGAGATTGCAGTGAGCCAAGATCACATCTCTGCACTCCAGCCTGGGCAACAGAGCAAGACTCTGTCTCAAAAAAAAAAGAATTTGGCCAGGCGCAGTGGTTCACGCCTGTAATCCCAGCACTTTGGGAGGCCAAGGCAGGCAGATCACGAGGTCAGGAGATCGAGATTGTCCTGGCTAACATGGTGAAACCCTGTCTCTACTAAAAATACAAAACATTAGCCGGGTGTGGTGGTGGGCACCTGTAGTCCCAGCTACTAGGGAGGCTGAGGCAGAGGAAGGATGTGAACCCAGGAGGCGGAGCTTGCAGTAAGCCAAGATCGTGCCACTGCACTACAGTCTGGGCGACAGAGTGAGACTCCGTCTCAAAAAAAAAAAGAATTTTGGCCGGGTGCGGTGGCACATGCCTGTAGTCCCAGCACTTTGGGAGACCAAAGTGGGCGGATTACCTGAGGTCAGGAGTTCAAGACCAGTCCGGCCAATATGGCGAAACCCTGTCTCTTACTAAAAAAAATACAAAAATTAGCCAGGTGTGGTGGCGGGCACCTGGGGAGGCTGAGGCAGGGAGAAATGCTTGAACCGGGGAGGCAGAGGTTGCAGTAAGCCAAGATCGTGCCACTGCACTCCAGAGCAAGACTCTTTCTCAAAAAAAAAAAAAAAAGAATTTTGCATGGGGAAGGAGAGATACTGTTCACCATCTGGAATGGTGCTTGGATGTGGCACTTACAAAATCAGGAGCCAGCACTGCATGGACAAACAGAAGCATGTGGGCCTGAGATAGCAGGTACCTTGATAACCCTGAAGACATCCTTGGTTTCTGCATCTATTCCTGCATCCTTGCATTGGACTACATTAATCTGTCAGTTATCCTTATAATGATTTTTGATTTTTTTTTTTTGAGATGGAGTTTCGCTCTTGTTGCCCAGGCTGGAGTGCAATGGCACGATCTCGGCTCACCACAACCTCCACCTCCCAGGTTCAAGTGATTCTGCTGCCTCAGCCTCCTGAGTAACTGGGATTACAGGCATGCGCCACCACACCTGGCTAATTTTGTATTTTTAGTAGAGACGGGGTTTCTCCATGTTGGTCAGGCTGGTCTCGAACTCCCAACCTCAGGTGATCACCCTGTCTCGGCCTCCCAAAGTGCTGGGATTACAGGCGTAAGCCATGGTACCCGGTCTGTTTTTTGATTTTTTGAAACCAGTCTGAAGTGAGTTTTTTTAATTACGTGAAAGGAGTTTGGCTAAAATACTGCCATACTGCCCTAATGCCTAATGATTATGTATTCTCAGCATGTCTGCAAAGTACTGCTGATTTCTGGAGAATAATTTTTCTTTAGTAAACTTCACTTAAGTCGTCATGTGTATTCTCTCAAAATGGTATCCTAACCTAATGGAGCTAAAAGACACCCCTTGTTTTTATAACAAGCAGTTACTGAGGCCCAGGAAGGGGAGAAGTCCCTGGCTTGTGAGATGATCACCATTAGAACTCAGGCCTGGGCCAGTGCCTTTTCATGCTTCTCAGATCCTTCCAAAGAATAATGAAGATTATAACCGCTTTTAGCAATTGTAATAAACCCAGAAATAGAAAGCTTTTTGGTTAGAGTACTGGTAGAAGTTTGGCGGGAGAGATAATTTTTACAAAATTTGTAAATACCTGCCAATTCTATATACTAGGCAAGGTCTCTGGCCTTGTAAAACCCCTCAAGGTTACAACTTTGGTGGCCCACACTAATAGTTACCCACTGAGGCCCTCTCCGGGTGAACATTGAGCACTAGAGGAAGCCCCTCTGCTTGGGCAGGACTGGGCGTGGTGCAGAGTAGGAGCGGTGATACTGTGGATTCTGGGCAGGTGGAGATGGCCAGTGATGTCCAATAAAGGACACTGGAGGGAGCAGTGTGAGTAAAGGCCCTGAGGGCATTCATGTTCAGGGAGGGTTGCTGCCCACTGGCTTGCTTGGCACACAGGAGAGTGGGTATTCCTGCCTTAGTAACTTTATGTAAACAAGTATTTCCTCAGTCTGTTCCTCTCAAACTGCCTGCTCTGGCACATTCAGAATGTCACAGAACTCACCTGGATGCATTCAGCCCCTTGCCTAAAGGTGACAGTGCATCTCCTTCCCCACCCCACCCCTCATACCACTGAAGCACCTGTCAGACTGGCCCAGTCTGTGGGCAAGGAGCCTAGAGAGGGCTTAGTTTCAGCTTGAAAGGAGCTGGGATTTACCAAGAAGCAAATGAGAGACGAGGATTGCAACAACTGTGCCATTTCCCCAGCTTCAGCTGACTCCTGTATATTGACTGTGCCTTCAGACTCATCCGTAAGTGACCCCAGGCTGGCCTCTCCCACATCACAGTAAGAATTCCACACACCATACAACTTGGAAAGAGGCTCCAGCTGAAGGAAGCCCCACACTTCTTTCAAGTTTTTCTTAGTCTTCTCTTCTTGGCAAAGAGTACCTTTTGTTTCTTCTAATTATGTAACTATTGGTTTAGTAAATATTCACCCATTCAGTCACCCTGTAAGTGGCAGGCACTGTTTACAGGGACACAGGAAGGAATAAAAACTTGCAGGCACCTTGGAGCTTGCATTCTATTGAAGAGGTAATGGAAGTTGGGATAGCAGCTAAACTATGCTGGTATTGGCCAGGCGCAGTGGCTCACACCTGTAATCCCAGCACTTTGGAGGCCAAGGTGGGCAGATCATGAAGTCAGGAGATCGAGACCATCCTGGCTAACATGGTGAAACCCCGTCTCTACTAAAAGTAAAAAAAAAAATTAGCCAGGTGTGGTGGCGGGCGCCTGTAGTCCCAGCTACTTGGGAGGCTGAGGCAGGAGAATGGTGTGAACCCAGGAGGCGAAGATTGCAGTGAGCCGAGATGGCACCACTGCACTCCAGCCTGGGTGACAGAGCGAGACTCTGTCTCAGAAAAAAAAAATATGCTGGTAGTTTTGATTCAAGATGGCCTTTGGAGCCCATGATTTAGGTCTCGTACCCACCAAGGTCTACTGGAAAACATCAGGCTCTCCTGCTATAGACCCATAGGGAGAGCTGCAGCCGAGAGGGGGAGCTGAAGAGAAGTGCCCCTTCTGTGTCCTGTCAGCCTCATCCTTCCGCAAGGACCAGTTGCTGTGCCACTCCATTCACTTGCTGCAAGACTGGAGGTTTTTCCTCAGGTGTTGAGCACCTGGTTTACAAGATGTCAGCATCTTGATGCCTGAGACCATCAAGGCAAGTCTCTGAACAGGGCTTACCTTAGAGTAAGGCTTAGAAGAGGCCGTAAAGTCAGTCTCAGCTCCGTGGCTCTGCAGAGCTTTGGGACATGTGAATTCTTAAAAACAAGACTATTGTACAGTTACTATATGCATGCAGTATAAAATTATAACCTTGGAAAATCCTAGCTAGCTGTTGAGCTAATTCCATAAAGTAATCAGCTCCTGAGTTCTGCAGTGGTAATAATAATCAGCATAATGAGTAAACACTGTGTGTGCCAGGCAGCGTCTCATTTGATCCTTGTGATAATCTTGTAAGTACTGATTTTCTCCCTTCTTTAAACAAAGTTTTTTTTTTTTTTTTAGAGAGGGTCTCACTATGTTGCCCAGGCTAGTCTTGAATTCCTGGCCTCAAGCACTCTTCCCATCTCAGCCTCCCAAAGTGCTGGGATTATAGGTGTGAGCCACCATGCCTGGCCATTTTTTCCCTTCTTATAAAGAAGACAAGCTTAAGAGGTAAAGGAGGCCAGGTGTGGTGGCTCATGCCTGTAATCCCAGCACTTTGGGAGGCCAAGACAGGCAGATCACGAGGTCAGGAGATCGAGACCATCCTGGCCAACATGGTGAAACCCCATCTCTACTAAAATACAAAAAATTAGCTGGACATGGTGGCACAAGCCTGTAATCCCAGCTACTTGGGAGGCTGAGGCAGGGGAATCATTTGAACCTGGGAGGCAGAGGTTGCAGAGAGCCGAGATCGCGCCACTGCACTCCAGCCTGGCGACAGAGCAAGACTCCATCTCAAAAAAAAAAAAAAGAGGTAAAGGAATTTCACCAGGGTCTCAGCCAGGGGAAACTGCCCTCTTACTCACAACTGTGCTATCCTGCAAATGTTCTCTTCTCTCATTTTCCTGCTTATTGGTACTCACCACAGACAAGTATAGAAGATATCAAAAACTTCAGAAAAAAATTAGAGGGATTCACTTTAAAATGGAAAACATCCCATCTATCTACCTTAAAGCAGTGGTTCTTAAATTTTCACATGCATCAGGATCCCCTGGAGGACTTGTGAAAATGTGCATCATTGGGCCTAATCCCCAAAGTTTCTAATTTAGTAGGTCTGGGGTGGTGCAAGAATTTGCCTTTGTTTTTGTTTTTGTTTTTTCTCTGAGACAGAGTCTCATTCTGTCCCCCAGGCTGGAGTGCAGTGGCACGATCTCGGCTCACTGCAACCTCCGTCTCCCGGGTTCAAGCAGTTCTCTGCCTCAGCGTCCTGAGTAGCTGGGACTACAGGCGCCCGCCACCATGCCCGGCTAATTTTTGTATTTTTAGTAGAGACGGGGTTTCACCATCTTGGCCAGGCTGGTCTGAACTCCTGACCTCGTGATCCACCCACCTCGGCCTCCCAAAGTGCTGGGATTACAGGCAGGAATTTGCATTCTTAACAAATTCCCAGATGCTGCTGCTCTGGAGACCATACTTTTCAAGAATCCCTGCCTTAAAATCTTTCCTGTGAGTTGGGAAATGAATATTTTCATTCCCTTTTATTGGGAATGACCATGCTATACAGAAATGTAATTTGAGACCTATTATTTATGACTCACCCAAACAAGCACATAAATCCTTTACTATTATTCAGATGTTTATCAAAGCTGAGAACACCCAAACACCACTGTAGTTTCTCAGTCTCTGGTTGCCTAGGCAGATCTGAGGCCATCAAAGCAAGTCTCTTGCTGGGATGAGGCTTAGAAGAGGCCACAGACCAGTTTCAGCCCCATAGTCATCCACTCCCCAGCCCCTTTGCTGGGAACAGTACCCGTGACAGTCCAGGCTGAGACTTGCGGCTGTTGGGATCATACCCAAGGTTCCAGTGGAATCTCACACAAATCCTGTCTGGTTCATTTTCTTTCTGTTTGCACCTCAGGTCCTCAGTTCCCTCTGAGGTCCCCACCATGCCTTTCCTGGCCTGTCTCTCCTTCGCTGACCTCCTTTTCAAGTCCCTCCCAGAGAATGCTCATACCTTAGTCTTTTCTTTCCTTCTTCCTTCATCTCTCTATTTCTTCATCAGGTATGTATTTCCTGAGGGCCTATTATATGCCTGTTGTAGTTGCTGGGGATACAGCAGTATCCAAGACAAACACTGCCTGCCCTCCTTGCAGTCCAGAAAGCAAGCAATGACCACTCAATGGGATGAGTGCTACTAGACAGTAAGGGACCTGCGGGGGGCAGTTTAGGTGCCCTCCCTCAACCCTGCAGTTTACAGACTTTGTGACCATCTCACTCTTTCTCTAGGACTTGCCCATTCTGCAAGTCTCAAGACACCATTTCTTCCCAGTCCTGACTCCCTACCCCACACCCCATCATCATTGTCCGTAGCACCCACTCCCAGCCAGTGCTGCTTCCACAGCCTTGCCATCTGAAACTGCCCTTTCACTTTTGCCATCTGCTCAGCTCCAAGCCGCTCCTGCCTGTTTCTCCAAGTCTTCCATCTACCACTCCCAGGTTTCGTCACTTCATTCCCACCCCAGGAACATCACTGTCCATGATGGCAGTCTGCCCGGCAATCTGGCCTGTTCCCAAGACTGGCGTTTCACTCCTCGATTGCACCTGTAACCAAACTTGGTGATCTCCTGCAACTGCTCTACCTCTGGTTTCTCCTAACATACTACCCACAGCAACCTCAAACAATGAAGTTTTGTACCATTATAGAGTCCTCTTATTGGAATGGATTAGAGGGGAAGGAAGAAACTTAAGTCATTATACCAGGAAAATCATTCCCTCACTATTGCAAGAGTTAGGTTTCATAATCTGCCTTTCAAAGAGCAATTACAAAAGCAATAAGTAATTTTGTTGTAAGGATTACAAATACACCTACATGATAAATTGGGGGCCGGGGAGGATGGTCCTAATGTGGTAACTTGGGTCAAACTTGCCAGTGAGTCAGACATGTATTTGAGAAGTGCTGCATCTCAGACAGCTTAGATGCAAGTGAAGGAGATACACTTTGAGAAATGGACTGTAGATACCATGAAGACGTTGATGTCCAAGATGCATGTAGAGAGTGAATAAAATTGTTACTTGAAATGTGAGAATGGGAAAAAAGCAATATTTTGTATTAATGTATTATATATATAATGTTATTTTAAATATGCATGTGTAACTAAAGTAATAAATTAGATATTATAACTAGACGTGCCTATTTCATCAACATTCCTAGAAGTTTAAGTACTCTGGGTACTTTAAATTATTTTTTTATTAAATGTAGAAATCAACTGTATGTTTCATGAAGTTCCTATTGTCCGCTGAATAAAGTCCAGAGTCTCACTCTGTCACCAGGCTGGAGTGCAGTGGTGCAATCTCAGCTCACTGCAACCTCCACCTCCTGGGTTCAAGCGATTCTCTTGCCTCAGCCTCCTGAGTAGCTGGGATTACAGGAGCATCCAGCTAATTTTTGTAGCTGGGATTACACCACACCCAGCTAATTTTTGTATTTTTAGTAGAGATGGAGTTTCACCATGTTGGCCAGGCTGGTTTCGAACTCCTGACCTCAGGTGATCCACCTGCCTCAGCCTACCAAAGTGCTGGAATTACAGGCATGAGCCGCTGCACCCAGCCAGAACACTACTACTTGAACTGCACGTCTCTCTCCTCGGTGGGTTTCACACTTCAGAACTGGTACCTTTCCTCAAGCAATGCCCACAGTTTAAAATGTCTTCCCCCACATTCTGTCCAAAGAAGTCCTCATCTCTGAAGACTGACCATTTTCTCCTCCACATCCTCCCAAAGCCTTTCCCAATGCCCAGCCTGTCCTCACATAGCATCCAGTTTGGCATCACTGACAGTTCGGTTCTGGGCCTCTATGCCACCAGATGTGAGTGAGCTCTTCCTGGGAAAGACTGGGGTTTGTCCCCAGGAAGCATGACCCAGGAGATGCAGGGGAAAATAAGTTTGCTGTAAATGGACCAGGCCCAGCTAATGGCCCTGTTGGGTCCATCTGCCCAGAATCTGAACTAAGCCTTCCTTTGCTTTAGCGCCTGAAAAACACCCTATCTGCTCCTACAAAGAGGCTGACATTAAGATGTCTCTCTCTAGTGCTAGTCCAGCAGTTCACAAGACATCATCCCACAGGTGCCCAAGGGTCCCTGAGACCCTTTCTGGAGGTCTGCGAGGTCAAAACTTCATAATCAGACTAAGATGTGGGGTGTCACTATGTGAATATTTGTACTGATGATGCAAAAGCAAGGATGGGTGAAATGCATCTCAGTGGAAATCTGGACAGTGACACTGACCTGTGTCATCATTATTGAAATCTTCACCACCATGCACTCACCACAAAAAAGAAAAAGCCTGCCAGGCACGGTGGCTTATACCTGTAATCCCAACACTTTGGGAGGCTGAGGTGGGTGGATCATCTGAGGTCAGGAGTTCAAGACCAGCCTGGCCAACACGGCAAAACCTTGTCTCTACTAAAAAATACAAAAATTAGCCGGGCTTGGTGGTGGTCGCCTGTAATCCCAGTACCCAGGAGACTGAGGCAGGGGAATTGCTTGAACCTGGGAGGTGGAGGTTGCAGTGAGCCGAGAGAGTGCCACTGCACTCCAGCCTGGGTGACAGAGCAAGACTCCATCTCAAAAAAAAAAAAAAAAGTTTCCCATAGGAATGTTCTTGGTGAAGGAGTAACAATTGGTAATTTCATTAAATATCAACCCTCGAGTACATGTATTTTAATATGCGTGACAAATGGGAAGTCTGCGTAAAGCACTTCTGCACAGTGAAGTATGATGGCTGTCCCTAGGAAAAGCACTGGTGCAGTTGTCTGGATAGTCAGCCAACTTAGCCACCATTTTCATGGAATACCATTTTTGCTTGAAATAACAACTGACCAACTGGCTATTTATTGGGTTTTTAAAAGACATTTTCTTTTTTCTTTTCTTCATTTTTGAGATAGGGTCTCACTCTGTCACCCAAGCTGGAGTGCAGTGGTCTGATCATGGCTCACTGCAGCCTCAAACTCCCGTGCTCAAGCGATCCTCTCACCTCAGCCTCCCTCGTAGCTGGGACTACGAGTGTGTGCCACCATGATTTTTTTGTGGAGAAGAGGTCTCACTATGTTGCCCAGGCTGGTCTCCAACTCCTGGGCTCAACTGATCCACCTTGGCCTCCCAAAGTGCTGGTATTACAGCTGTGAGCCACCACACGAGTGAACAAATGTGATTTTTAAAATGCTGTGTAATAAAATGTGTCAATGTTTGGAGGATCTGCATAATCCAGTACAATTTTTGTTTTGTTCTGTTTTTTGAAACACAGTCTTGCTCTGTCACCCAGGCTGGAGTGCAGGGGTGCAATCTTGGCTCACTGCAACTTCCACCTCCCGGGTTCAAGCAATTCTCCTGCCTCAGCCTCCCAAGTAGCTGAGATTACAGGTGTGCACCACCACACTGACTAATTTTTTTTTTTTTTTTGTATTTTTAGTAGAGACGGGGTTTCACCGTGTTGTTAATTCCTGACCTCGGGTGATCCACCCACCTCGGCCTTCCAAAGTGCTGGGATTACAGACATGAGCCACCACGCCTAGCCCAGTCCAATTGTTTTTTGAGATGGAGGTCTTACTGTGTTGCCCAGGCTGGTCTCAAACTCCTAGCCTCAAGTGATGCTCCCACCTCAGCCTCTCAAAGCATTGGTATTATAGGCATGAGCCACCAAACCTGGCCAAGCCAGTATTTTCCAAATGACCAGTGCATGATATAAGAAATCATGTTTAGGTAATAGATCAAAGTGCAAGAACCAGCAATAGATTTCAATATAACAGTATCAACAGCTCATTGATATGGTTCAGATTCTACATTGTAACTAACCTTTAAGAAAAAAACACAAGGCTGGGCGTGGTGGCTCACGCCTGTAATCACAACACTTTGGGAGGCTGAGGCGGGTGGATCACCTGAGGTCGGGAGTTCAAGACCAGCCTGACTAACATGGAGAAACCCCGTCTCTACTAAAAATATAAAATTAGCCAGGTGTGGTGGTACATGCCTGTAATCCCAGCTACTCGGGAGGCTGAGGCAGGAGAATGGCTTAAACCCAGGAGACAGAGGTTGCAGTGAGCCAAAATTGTGCCATTGCACCCCAGCCTGGGCGACAAGAGCAAGACTCTGTCAAAAAAAAAAAAAAAAGAAAAAAAAGGCTGACTCCTTTTTCGGACTCAGCCCACCTGCACCCAGGTGAAATAAACAGCTTTGTTGCTCACACAAAGCCTGTTTAGTGGTCTCTTCACACGGCTGCACGTGACATGTGGTGCTGAAGACCCGGGACAGGAGGACTCCTTCAGGAGACCGGTCCCCTGTCCTTGCCCTCACTCCGTGAGGAGATCCACCTACAACCTCGGGTCCTCAGACCAACCAACCCAAGGAACATCTCACCAATTTCAAATCAGATAAGCGGTCTTTTCACTCCTCACCAGCCTCTCTCGCTACCCTTCAATCTTCCTCTCTCACTACCCTTCACAATCTTCCTCTCTCGCTACCCTTTAATCTCCCTGTCCTTCCAATTCCAGTTCTTTTTCCTCTCTAGTAGAGACAAGGAGACACATTTTATCCATGGACCCAAAACTCCAGTGCCGGTCACGGACTCGGGAGGACAGTCTTCCCTTGGTGTATAATCACTGCAGGGACGCCTGCCTGATTATTCACCAACACTCCATTGGTGTCTGATCACTGCGGGAATGCCTGCCTTGGTCATTCACCCACATTCCCTTGGTGGCAAGTCAATTGCGGGAACACCTGCTTTGACTACTCACCGCCCCTCTTCTCTGTGTCTCTACTTTTCTCTTTAAACTTACCTCCTTCACTTAGGGCAAACTTCCGCCCTCCATTCCCCCTTCTCCTCCCTTAGCCTGTGTTCTCAAGAACTTAAAAGCTCTTCAACTCACACCTGACCTAAAACTTAAATGCCTTATTTTCTTCTGCAATACTGCTTGACCCCAATACAAACTCGATAACAGTTCTAAATAGCCAGAAAACGGCACTTTTGATTTCTCCATTTTATAAGATCTAGATAATTTTTGTCAAAAAATGGGCAAATGGTCTGAGGTGCCTGACGTCCAGCCATTCTTTTACACATTGGCCCCTCCCTAGTCTCTGCTCCCAATGCGACTCGTCCCAAATCTTTCTTCTTTCTCTCCTGTCTGTTCCTTCAGTCTCCACCCCAAGCTCTAAGTCCTGTGAATCCTCCTTTTCTACAGATCCATGTGACCTCTTCCCTCCTCCCCAGGCTGCTCCTCACCAGTCCCAACTCTTCTTCAGCCTCCACTCCCCCACCGTAGAACCCTTCTATTACCTCCCCTCCTCACACCCGATCTGGCTTACAGTTTCGTTCTGCGACTAGCCCTCCCCAACCTGCCCAACAATTTCCTCTTAGAGAGGTGGCTGGAGCTGAAGGCATAGCCAAGGTTAATGCTCCTTTTTCTTTATCCGACCTCTCCCAAATCAGTTAGCGTTTAGGCTCTTTTTCATCAAATATGAAAACCCAGCCCAGTCCATGGCCTGTTTGGCAACAACTCTTAGATGCTTTACCACCCTAGACCCAGAGGGGCCAGAAGGCTGTCTTATTCTCAATATGCATTTTATTACCAAACCCACTCCCGACATTAGAAAAAGCTCCAAAAATTAGATTCTGGCCCTCAACCCACAACAGGACTTAACTGACCTCGCCTTCAAGGTGTACAATAATAGAGAAGAGTTGCAATTACTTGCCTCCGCTGTGAGAGAAACCCCAGCCACATCTCCAGCACACAAGAACTTCCAAACGCCTAAACCGCAGGGGCCAGGCATTCCTCCAGGACTGCCTCTCCCAGGATCTTGCTTCAAGTGCCGGAAATCTGGCCACTGGGCCAAGGAATGCCCATAGCCTGGGATTCCTCCTAAGCCACGTCCCATCTGTGTGGGACCCCACTGGAAATCGGACTGTCCAACTCGCCCGGCAGCCACTCCCAGCGCACCTGGAACTCTGGCCTAAGGCTCTCTGACTGACTTCTTCCCAGATCTTCTCAGCTTAGTGGCTGAAGACTGACACTGCCCGATCGCCTTGGAAGCCTACAGGACCATCACAGACGCTTTGGGTGACTTACAGTGGAGGGTAAGTCCATCCCCTTCTTAATCAATATGGAGGCTACCCACTCCACATTACCTTCTTTTCAAGGGCGTGTTTCCCTTGCCTCCATAACTGTTGAGGGTATCGACAGCCAGGCTTCTAAACCTCTTAAAACTCCCCAACTCTGGTGCCAACTTGGACAGCATTCTTTTATGCACTCTGTTTTAGTTATCCCCACCTGCCCAGCTCCCTTATTAGGTGAAGACACGTTAACCAAATTATCTGCTTCCCTGACTATCCCTGGGCTACAGCCACACCTCATTGCTGCCCTTTTCCCCAGTTCGAAGCCTTCTTCGCATCCTCCCCTTGTATCTCCCCACCTTAATCCACAAGTATGGGACACCTCTACTCCCTCCTTGGTGACCGATCATGCACGCCTTACCATCCCATTAAAACCTAATCACCCTTACTCCAATCAACGCCAATATCCCATCCCATGGCATGCTTTAAAAGGATTAAAGCCTGTTATCACTCGCCTGCTACAGCATGGTCTTCTAAAGCCTATAAACTCTCCTTACAATTCCCCCATTTTACCTGTCCAAAAACCAGACAAGTCTTACAGGTTAGTTCAGGATCTGCACCTTATCAACTAAATTGTCTTGCCTATCTACCCTGTGGTGCCAAACCCATATACTCTTCTATCCTCAACACCTCCCTCCACAACCCATTATTCTGTTCTAGATAAACCTAGCTGACCCCATAAATCCTAAATCCTTTTCCCACTCCCCTTTCCATTCCTTAAAAAACAGCCCTAAAAGCTGCTCCCAAACTAGCTCTCCCTAACTCATCCCAACCCTTTTCATTACACAACCCTGAAGTACAGGGCTATGCGGTCAGAATTCTTACACAAGAGCCAGGACCGTGCCCTGTAGCCTTTCTGTCCAAACAACTTGACCTTACTGTTTTAGCCTAACCCTCATGTTTGTGTGTGGCGGCTCCCGCTGCTTTAATACTTTTAGAGGCCCTCAAGATCACACGCTATGCTCCACTTACTGTCTACAGTTCCCATAACTTTCAAAATCTATTTTCCTCCTCACACTTGACACATATACTTTCTGCCCCCCAGCTCCTTCAGCTATGCTCAGTCTTTGTTGAGTCTCCCACAATTACAATTGTTCCTGGCCCAGACTTCAATCCGAACTCCCACATTATTATGGATATCAGAACTGACCCCCATGACTGTATCTCTCTGATCCACCTGACAGTCACCACATTTCCCCATATTTCCGTCTTTCCTGTTTCTCACCATGATCACACTTGGTTTATTGATGGCAGTTCCACCAGGCCTAATCACCACTCACCAGCAAAGGCAGGCTATGCTATAGTATCCTCCACATCTATCATTGAGGCTACTGCTCTGCCCGCCTCCACTACCTCTCAGCAAGCCAAACTCATTGCCTTAACTTGGGCCCTCACTCTTGCAAAGGGACTACACGTCAATATTTATACTGACTCTAAATATGCCTTCCGTATCCTGCACCACCATGCTGTTACATGGGCAGAAAGAAATTTCCTCACTACACAAGAGTCCTCCATCATTATTGCCTCCTTAATAAAAACGCTTCTTAAAGTCGCTTTACTTCCAAAGGAAGCTGGAGTCATTCACTGCAAGGGCCATCAAAAGGCATCAGATGTCATCGCTCAGGGCAACGCTTATGCTGATAAGGTAGCTAAAGAAGCAGCTAGCGTTCCAACTTCTGTCCCTCATGGCCAGCTTTTCTCTTTCTCACTGGTCACTCCTATTTACTCTCCAAATGAAGTTTCCACCTATCAATTCCTCTCCACTCAAGGCAGATGGTTCTTAGACCCAAAAAAAAAAAAAAAAAATCTCCTTCCAGCCTCACAGGCCCATTCTATTCTGTCGTCATTTCATAACCTCTTCCATGTAGGTTACAAGCCGATAGCCTGCCTCTTAAAACCTCTCATTTCCTTTTCATCATGAAAATCTATCCCCAGTCCACCACTCTTGACTCCCTCTTGGAGTGGATCTTTGCTGACAGGACACATGCCAACACTTTCACCCTGATGAAGTCCTATTCTTTACTTTTATACTCACTCTTATTCTCATTCTCGTTCTTATGCCACCCTCTAACTCTCCCCAGCTATCTCCACCACACTATCAATCTCTCTCACTCTCTGCTAGCCGTTTCTAATACTTTTTAAACAAACAGTTGCTGGCTTTGCATTTCTCTTTCCTCCAAAATCGCCAAGGCCTCGATTTACTCACTGCTGAAAAAGGAGGACTCTGTATATTTTTAAATGAAGAGTGTTGTTTTTACCTAAATCAGTCTGGCCTGGTATATGACAACATAAAACAACTCAAGGATAGAGCCCAAAAACTCGCCAACCAAACAAATAATTACGTTGAACCCCCTTGGACACTGTCTAATTGGATGTCCTGGGTACTCCCAATTCTTAGTCCTTTAATACCTATTTTTCTCCTTCTTTTATTCGGACCTTGTGTCTTCCGTTTAGTTTCTCAATTCATACAAAACCGCATCAGGCCATCACCAATAATTCTATACGACAAATGCTCCTTCTAACAACCCCACAATATCACCCCTTACCCCAAAATCTTTCTTCAGCTTAATCTCTCCCACTGTAGGTTCCCATGCTGCCCCTAATCCCGCTGGAAGCAGCCCTGAGAAACATCGCCCATTATCTCTCCATACCATCCCCAAAAATTTTCACTGCCCCAACACTTGACCACTATTTTGTTTTGTTTTTCTTATTAATATAGGAAGACAGGAATGTCAGGCCTCTGAGCCCAAGCTAAGTCATCATATCCCCTGTGACCTGCACGTATACATCCAGATGGCCTGAAGCAACTGAGGATTCACAAAAGAAGTGAAAATGGCCTTAATTGATGACATTCCACCATTGTGATTTGTTCCTGCCTCACCCTAACTGATAAGATATAGTCTCCCCCCGCCCTTAAAAAGGTACTTTGTAATATTCTCCCCCGCCCTTAAGAACATACTTTGTGTGCCTACCCCAACCATATAAGAACTAATGATAATCCTACCACCCTTTGATGACTCCTTTTTCAGACTCAGCCCGCCTGCACCCAGGTGAAATAAACAGCCTTGTTGCACACACACACACACACACACACTTACACACACACACAAAGGCCAGACATGGTGGCTCACGCCTGTAATCCCAGCACTTTGGGACGCCAAGGCAGGTGAATCACGAGGTCAGGAGATCGAGACCATCCTGACTAACACAGGGAAACCCCATCTCTACTAAAAAAATACAAAAAAATTAGCCGAGTGTGGTGGCAGGCCCCTGTAGTCCCAGCTACTTGGGAGGCTGAGGCAGGAGAATGGCATGAACCCGGGAGGTGGAGCTTGCAGTGAGCCAAGATCCCACCACTGCACTCCAGCCTGGGCGACACAGCAAGACTCCGTCTCAAAAAAAAAAAAAAAAAAAAAAAAAAAAAGAAGAAGAAGAAGAAAGAAAGAAAGAAATACTCGGCCAGGTGCAGTGGCTCACACCTGTAATCCCAGCACTTTGGAGGCCATGCTGGGCAGATCATGAGGTCAGGTGTTAGAGACCAGCTTGGCCAACATGGTGAAACCCCATCTCTACAAAAAACAAAAAAATTAGCTGGGCGTGGTGGTGCACACCTGTAATCCCAGCATTTAGGAGGCTGAGGCAGGAGAATCACTTGAAACGGAGAGGCAGAGGTTGTGGTGAGCCGAGATTGTGCCATTGCACTCCAGCCTGGGCAACAGAACTAGACCCTGTCTCAAACAAACAAAACAAAACAAAAAACACTTGTCAAATTTTGATCTGAATAGGCTTTTGAGTTAGTCCACCTCTTCAACTACATATCTATGAGGCCAGATTTTCCTTAACCAAAACAGTGTATTACAACAGATTGAATATAAAAAATATATGAGAATCCAGTTTTCTTCTATTAAGCCAGACACTAAAAAAATTTGTTAAAACATAAAACAATGCCACTTTTATCACTACGTGTGTTTTGGAAAACATAGATTTTTAATGATACATTTTTGTGTTAATTTATAATGAGCCTATTATTTTTAAATAAAATATATCCTAAGTTTCTTAGTTTTAATTTTCAATACAGTAAATATGTCAGGAATCTTGAAAGTAAAAAGCTTAAGAAGGCCAGGCGTGGTGGCTCACGCCTGTAATCCCAGCACTTTGGGAGGCTGAGGTGGGCGGAGCTCTTGAAGCCAGGAGTTCAAGACCAGTCTGGCCAACACGGCAAAACCCTGTCTCTACTAAAAATACAAAAACCAGCCAGGCATGGTGGCACATACCTGTAATCTTAGCTATTTGGGAGGCTCAGACACAAGAATCGCTTGAACCTGGGAGGCAGAGGTTACAGTGAGCTGAGATCGTGCAACTGCACTCCAACCTGGGTGACAGAGCGAGACTCGGTCTAAAAAAAGAAAAATGCGTAAGAACTGCTGGATTAACTAGGCAAATGACAAATGTGATTGAACACATAAAACTAGGGGAAACTATGAAAAGGTAGTTGAAGGAAGAGAATTGAACAGAGATGCTATTCAAAATAAAGCCAGGCAGCTGGGCACGATGGCCCACGCCTGTAATCCCAGCACTTTGAGAGGCCCAGGCGGGCGGATCATGAGGTCAGGAGTTCAAGACCAGCCTGGCCAACATGGTGAAACCCCGTCTCTACTAAAAATACAAAAAAAAAAAACTAGCCAGATGTGGTGGCAGGCGCCTGTAATCCCAGCTACTGAGGAGGCTGAGGCAGGAGAATGGCTTGAACCTGAGAGGTGGAGGTTGCAGTTAGCCGAGATAGCGCCATCGCACTCCAGTCTGGGCAACAAGAGCAAAACTCCGTCTCAAAAAAAAAAAAAAAAAAAGAAGAAGAAGAAATAAAGCCAGGCCAGGCCTGGTGCCTCGTGCCTGTAATCCCAGTACTTTTGGAGGCTGAAGCAGGCAGATCTCTTGGAGCCCAGGAGTTTGAGACCACCCTGGGCAATATAGGGAAACCCTGACCTGTCTCTACAAAAAATACAAAAAAATTAGCTGGGCATGGTGGCACATGCTTGTAGTCCCAGCTACTCCAGAGGCTGAGGTAGGAGGATCAGCTGAGGCCAGGAGGTCAAGGCTGCAGTGCAGTGAACTGTGATTGTGCCAGTGCACTCCAGCCTGGGTCACAGAGTAAGATGAAAGAAAGAAAGAAAAGAAAAGAAAAAGAAAGAAAGAAAGAAGGAAGGAAAGAAAGAAAGAAAAAGAAGGGAGGAAAGGAGGAAAGAAAGGAAGGAAGGAAAGAAGGAAGGAGAAGGGAAGGGAGGAAGAAAAGGAAGGGAGAGAAAGAGAAAGAGAGAGAGAAGAAAGAAAGAAAAAGAGAAAAGAAAAAGAAGGAAAGGAAAGGAAGAAAGGAAGGAAAGGGAAGGAAGGAAGGAAGAAAAAAAAAAAGTATCCAGCCTGACCAGCATGGTGAGACCCTATTGCTACCAAAACAACAAAAAAGTTACCAGGACATTGTGGTGTGTGCCTCTGGTCCCAGCTACTCAGGAGGCTGAGGCAAGAAGACATCCTTGAGCTTAGGAAGTCAAGTTTGGGTGAGCCGTGTTCATGCCCCTGCGCTCCAACCTGGATGACAGAGCAAGACACTGTCTTAAAAAATAAAATGAAAAGGAAAAAGAAAACCAAGTATCAATTTCAACAGAAAATTTCAGGTTGTCTAATGATATGAAAATTAATTTGTGGTCCAGGTGCGGTGGCTCATGCCTGGAATCCCACCATTTTGGGAGGCCAGGGTGGGAGGATCACTTGAGCCCAGGAGTTCAAGACCAGCCTGGGCAACATAGTGAGACCTCATCTCTACTAAAAATTTAAAAAGTTACCGAGGTGTGGCAGCATGTGCCCATAGTCCCAGCTACTCAGGAGGCTGAGGTAGGAGGATCGCTTGAATCCAGGAGTTCAAGGCTGTAGTATGCTGCACTTGAGGCTGGGTGACAGTGAGACCCTGTCTCTTAAAAAAATAAAAAAATAGGCCAGGCGCAGTGGCTCACGCCTATAATCCCAGCACTTTGGGAGGCTGAAGCGGGTGGATCACCTGAGGTCGGGAGTTTGAGACCAGCCTGACCAGCATGGAGAAATCCTGTCTCTACTAAAAATACAAAATTAGCCAGGCGTGGTGGCACAGCTACTCAAGAGGCTGAGGCAAGGAGAATCGTTTGAACCTGGGAGGCAGAGGTTGCGATGAGCCGAGATTGTGCCATTGCACTCTAGCCTGGGCAATAAGAGCAAAACTCTGTCTCAAAAAAAATTAAAAATAAAATAAAAATTAAACATAAATAAGATATTCATTCTAATAAATTATTTTATATATATTTCATAATAAAGCTGTTGGATATATTTTTTAAATCTCTGACCTTATTACAAGGATGAAGAAGATTCCGAGACATGAACAATATTGTTAATATTGAAACATTCTCTAGGTATTAAGAATACAGGCCAGGCCAGGCACGGTGGCTCACACCTGTAATCCCAGCACTTTGGGAGGCCAAGGCAGGCGGATCATGAGGTCAGGAGATCGAGACCATCCTGGCTAACATGGTGAAACCCC